>NC_000013.11:95949948-96252979 GCF_000001405.40 Homo sapiens | reverse complement strand
TGGGTAATTTATTTAATATAAAGAAAAGAGGTTTAATTAGCTCATGGTTCTGCAGGCTGCAGAGGAAACATAGTGCCAGCATCTGCTTGACTTCTGGAGAGGCCTCAGGGAGCTTTGACTCATGTCAGAAGGTGAAGCAGGAGCAAGGGAGAGTTGGGGGTGGGGTGCCACACTTTACAACAACCAGATCTTGCAAAAACTCAGTATTGTGAGGGCAGCGCCAAGCCAGGAGGGATCCATCCCCATGACCCAAACACCTCCCAACAGGCCCCACCTCCAATGCTGGGGATTACATTTCAACAAGAGATTTGGGTGGGGACAAATATCCAAATTATATCACTCCAACAAACAGCACACGGATCTCAACAAAAGTGCGTATCTGAGCAACTGGCTCAACTTTGATGGATTGGGAGAAACCAGAACACTGAAACACTTCAAGGCACTGCCCTAGACTAAATAAATTGGAGGTTCTCAGCACAAGACCTGACTGCAAAATGGGGGAAGGCACAACAATCCTAAGACTTGCTCCATTGGAGGGAACAGGAGGCATGGAGAGAGGGAATCCATAGAAAAGGTCGAAGAGACCCCAAGAATTGCCAGGTGGGCTCATGGGTGAAGATCTTTGTCTCCTGAAGCCAATCAGTAAAGACTAGAGGAAATGACTCCTTCTTCAAATGCAACTGTCACAAGAAACAAAGAAGGTCATTATATAAAGGCAATGGGGTCAATTCATCAAGAGAATACATCAATTGTAAATATACATGTACCCAACCTCAAACCACTTAAATATTATAAAGCAGATATAACTGAAGAAATAAATACACAGCAATACAATCATAGTAGGAGACCTCAATAGTCCACTTTCCAGACACAAAATTAATAAGAAAACTACAGACTTGAATAACACTATATGCCAAATGGACTGACCAGACATACATGAAACATTACATCCAATAGCAGTAGAATATATATTCTCAAGCACACATGGAACATTCCCTGGGATAGATTATATACTAAAAACCAGTCTTAACAATATTAAGAAGATGAAAATTATAACAAGTATCTTTTACTTGACCACAATGGTATGAAACTAGAATAACAGGAGGAAAATTGGATAATTCACAAATATATAGAAATTAAGCAACACACTCCGGAACAACCAAATAATGGGTCAAAGAAAAACTAAAAAGGGAAATCAAAAAATATCTTGAGATAAATGAAAATAAAAATAAAACATACCAAAACTTATGGGATGCAAGAAAAGTCATTCTAACAAGGAAATTTAGAGCAATAAAGGCCTAGATAAGATAAATGACAAGATCTCAAATGAACAATCTAACATTATATCTCAAGAAAAAAGAACAAAGCCCAACATTAGAAGGAAAAAGACAATAAAGATTAGAGCAGAAATAAATGAAATAGAGACTTTAAAAAATAAACAAAACTAGTTGTCTTTTTAAAAGATAAACAAAATCAATAAACCTTTAGCTAGACTAGGGAAAAAAGAGATGGCTCAAATAAATAAAATTATAAATGAAAGAGGAGACATTCCAATTGTTACCACAGAAACACAAAGGATAATAAGAGATTACTATTAAGAATTATACATATACAAATTGGATAACCTAGACAAAATGGATACATTCTTAAAAACGTATAACCTACCAAGATTGAACCATGAAGAAGCAGAAAATCTGAATAGATCAATAAGAAGTAAAGAGATTAAATCAGTAATTTTTTAAAGACTCTCCCAAAAGGAAAAGCCCGAGACCAGATGACTTCACTGGTGAATTCTACCGAAGACCTAAAGAAGAATTAACACCTATCCTCTAAAACGCTTCCAAAGAAATTGAAGAGAAGGGAAAACTTCCAAGCTCATTCTACTCATTTTCCTGATACCAAAGCCAGATGAGGATACTACAAGAAAAGAAAATTACAGGTCAGTATCTTTTATGAACACAGAAGCAGAAATCGAGAACAAAATGCTAGAAAACCAAGTTCAACAGTACATTAAAAGGATTATGCACCATAATATCAGCAAGTGAGATTTATCCCTGGGATGCAAGGATGGCTCAAGTCTACAAATAAATAAATGTGATCCACCACAATAATGGAATGAAGGATAAGAAGCATATAATTATCTCAATCTATGCAGAGAAAGTATTTGACAAAATTCAAAAGCCTTTCAGGATAAAAACTCTCAACAAATTATGTGTAGAAGGTACGTACTGCCGGTATCTAGTCATATTTTGCCGAACGGAGAGAAGTTGGAGGATGTATTGTATTCCTAGGCCCTCTGTAACAGATTACCATAAACTTGGTGGCTTAAACCAATAGAAATGTATTCTGTCACAATTCTGGAAGCTGGAAGTGTGAAACCAAGGTACTGACAGAGACTGTTATTCTGAAGACTCTGAGAGGAGAATTCTTGCTTGCCTTTTCCAGCTTCTGTTGACTGCAAGCATTGCTTGGCATCACTCCAATCTCTGCATATGTCTTCACACAGCCTTCTCCTCCAAGTCTTCTCTTCTGTCTCTTACTAGGACACTTGTCATTGGATCCAAGGCCCACCAGGTAATGCAGGGTGATGTCATCTCCAGATTCTTAACTTACACATCTACAAAGACCCTTTTTCCAAATAAAGTCCCACTCCCTGGTTCCAGCAGTTAGAAAACAAACATATCCTTTGGGGGATCACCATTCAATCCACCACAGGGGTTTTATGGGGTTTGTTCTCCCACTGCCCTAGAACACTACCTCTGCTGAAGTAATTCAGTTTCCAGATCATCTTTTCATCCTGTGCAGACTGTAACATACCAGACATGGTATACAGCTTCTATCTATAGAATTTTTAAATCATTTATTGCGGTAAAATATTCACAACATAAAGTTTACCATTTTATCTATTTTTAAGTGTTACAGTTCAGTGGCATTAAATCATTCACTTTGTTGTACAAACATCGCTGTCATTCTTCTCCACAGCTTTTCATCATCCCAAACTTAAACTTGGTACCCACTAAATGACACCTCCTCGTTCCTGTGCAACACCCTCATAAACTCTAATCTACATTTTGTCTCTGGGAATTTGACTTCTTTAGATACCTCATCTAAGTAGAATAATAAAATTTCTGTCATTTTGCATCTGGCTTATTTCATAGCATAATGTCCTCAAAGTTCATCATGTTGTAGCATACATCAGAATTTCATTCCTTTTTAAGGCTGAGTAATATTCCATTGTGTGTATATATCACATTTTGGGTTATTTCTACCTCTTTGCAACTATGAATAATGCTGCCATTATCTCCAGATTTTGACATGAAAAAGATTCACCTACAGAAAGCTATTGTATATGTAGCAGATTATACTGGGGAGACGAAGTCATTCATACTGCAAAGAATGTAAATAATCTAATTTTGACTAGCAAACTACCCTGTCCTTACAAAGTTCTTTGGCCTTTTCTACCAACTCTGTTTCTACTTCTCTGTCAGTTTTTCAGCCACTTCTCTTATCTTCCCTCTCCTCACCTCCTACTCCATTTCTCTCCTTTCCTTCCAGCCTCAAATCTCTGTTCATTATGCATCCAGGGTGATTTAGCTTCCTTTTTACACCTTATCTTCTGTCAATCTTTTTTCTCAGGTTTCAGTTTGCAGCAGCAAATAGCAATGCATTATCTTAAGCAAAGTCCACCACCTCCTGAGAGGGATTTCTGGGGCCCAGTGTTAAGATAATGTATTTCCTCCCTACTATGTTATATTTGAAGTAGCACTGGGACACAAATGTAGAAAAGCAACTAGTTGAAAATGGGAAACAGGAGGATATGAAAGAGAACAGGGTTTGAGATAAAGAACTCAGCTTTGTCTCCCCAAAGGCTGGTATTAGATGAATGAGAATAAAAATCGTCTTCAGGGAAGAGAGGAAAGAGAAGACCAGAGGACAATGACCTTTCAGAAGACAGGAGGAGGAAATGGCACCAGCAATGGAGAGAACTGTCAAGAAATCCATGAAAGGCTATAAACCTACTGGGTGACAGAAAAGGTGGCCACATCAATTACACTAGATGGCAGATGTGAAAATTTGTCATGCACAAGATTTTGAGATAACTTGACTAGCACAGGCTACTATATAAATTGTATATGTGCTTGCTTAGAATAGAAATAACAGGCATTCCTCATCTGAATTAAATTTAAAAAATACTTTGAATAGCAGTTTTCAGGTGGTAGGAGCTTATCATATATAATTTTAATTGGGAAAATTAATATGTTCCCAACTCATCCAAATACCTGTCCAATGTCCTCAAATATGAATAAAATCACTGTAAACACCTGCATAGCCATCCAAATCCAGCAAGGATTTCTGATTTATATAAATTAAGTTGTTTGAAATATCAATTACCTAATTCTTTAACACATAATGAACTGTTTGGAGAGTATGTTTGTATGCAGTACACAAAGAAACCTTCCTTATAGTATCAAATAGAAATTACATTTTCCTTTTATATGTGCAAGGAATTATGCACTGTAATTTAAATAAACAACAACATAATATGTAAGAGATACTAAAGATCCTATTTAAATTAGACACTAGTTAGAAGTGCTCCCAGGCTCTTGGCAGAAGTGAACTGAGACTCAGGAAAGGCCAAACCCTCTGGGAAAAGGATGGGGGAGGTCACAGAAGCTATGCAAACACTTTAAAACAACCTGAGCCGAGGGCTTAAGGCTGCAGCCCAGTCACACTACATAGTCTTGTCTGATCTGTACAACAATAAAAGGTTTTTGTTGGTACAGGCATGTATATTAATTATGGCGAGAGTTTGATTCAGTGAGTTTAGGGTTAAAATGTCTGCAAATCTTTAGGGCAAGTATTTGAATAATGAGAGTTTACAAACTGAAAGACACTGTATACTTTAAAAGGAAAACAGACTATAAGTAAGTCTGATTTATAAGATGATTATCTTAACTTGTCTTATATTAATTCTGAATTGAATCCAAATTTTGAATTCTGTGTCTAAGGGATTACTGTTATAGAGTTGACACCCAAGTGAGAAGGTATACTGGAAAGGCAACTAACCCTATCCCTATAACCTTAAGATTACATAAAATTTAAAATGACCCTCACATTAACTGAGTATGCTGAAGTATGAACCTGTTGTATGCAGTATGTACATTAGGTTTCCAGGTTAACAAAAAAGAGCCACATTAAAAGTAGGCTCTGTTACACTGTCATGCTGATTTGCCAGTTCAAAGCCATCCACTACAAAAAGGAAGGGAAGGAGGAAAGAAGAGAGGAAGCCAGAGAGAGAGAAAGGAAGGAAGGGGCTTGTATTGGTTCATTTTCACCCTACTCTAAAGAAATACCCAAAACTGGGTAATTTATAAAGGAAAGAAGCTTAATTGACTCACAGTTCCACATGGCTGAGGGAGGCCTCAGGAAACTTACAATCATTTGGTGGAAGGCAAAGAGGAAGCAAGGGCCTTTTTCACATGGTGGCAAGAGAGAAGAATGTGCAAAGAGGAACTTGCCACTTATAAAACCAGCAGATCTCATGAGAACTCATTCACTATCATGAGAACAGCATAAGGGAAACCACCCCCACGATCCAATCACCTCCCACAAGGTCCCTCCCTTGACACGTGGGGATTATGGGGATTACAATTTGAGATGAGACTTGGGTAGGGACACAGAGTAAAATCATATCAGGGCTGTATTAAAACAAGAATTTCCCCTACCAATTACCTGTTCAATAGACACGTTGCCACCAAGAGGAAAGGGTCCAAGGACTGGAGAGGTGTTCTGGGGTCCAGGATGGGAGAGGAAAGTTATTCTGAGAGATTTCTCTTGAAAGTTAAGATTTTAAATATTACCAGAGGGAAAGGAAATGTCTGATTTGCTTTCCACAATGTAGCTCTCTCAGCCCAGGGTGTAATAAAATACAAAATAATCTCTCTAAAATCTATCTAAATCTCTACACATCCTCACAAGAATGTGAATACTTTCCTCTATTTTTTTTAATTTAATGCAACACAGTCTTCCAGGTTTGTTTTTAGCAGCAGATACTAAGCAAAATCAATTACCATTCTCAAGAAATAGTCCCACTGAAAACTTATTTTTGAAGCCTGTCACATCTTTTACACTACCTGGCCCATAAAGTTATAAATCCTCTCCTGATGGAAATCCATTCCATCGTGGGGAAGAAGCTAAAGTTCTATGCAATCCGATCTTCTCTAGGGATCTGAAGACAATTTCACTCTCCTGTTTTTAAACATCTTGAAAAATCCTTACATTTGCTTGAAAGGGCAGATTGATGTTACCTCCACACACACAAAAAAGGAAACAAACACTGTATTTCTGGAATTTAGAGAAGCTACCAGGGCAGTTTCTCTGGCAAATATTTCAATCAAGTCTATATTTGTAAACCTTTTTTGAAGTATCTGCCTTAAAATCATGTAATCTAAAAACCAGGGTAAAGAAATCAACTTCAGTAAGCCCTGATTCTACAGGACTGTCCCCAGACCAGAGTGAAAAGGTAGCTGCCTAACCATTTTTTAAAATAACCACTGCAAATGTCCTCGATAATGTATTTCAATGTTTCAACCTATTAGCATCAAAAAGTTCACCTTGATAGCTAACCTAATTTTCTTCTATTGCAAAATAATTTCAGTCTTGGGCAGGGAGGGAGGAAATGGGCAAAGAATTCTAAGTAAGAGAATCTCGTTTCAAGGCCTGGTTGGCTACACTGGCTGTGTGTCTTCATGCTATGGATCTCTGTTTTCTAATTGTTAAAGTACTGGACTAAATCTGGTTTTTACAGATATGGCTCTCCTCTGAGAGAGAGAAACTAATAGGTCACTACAAGCCACAACAAAACAGCCACTCATGTATCTACATACATATTATTTAATCTAATAAAGAATATATTTCATTAATATTTTAGCTAGCTTTCTGTTACTCAGACTGACTAACCCTAATCTTTTTTTAACATTTCCAAAACTCTATTCGGTTTGTTTACACTTGCAGAAAATAATAATTTAACATATTAACTCATGTAGTTTCCCCCTCTATATTCCCTATTATCCCAGGATGTTCCCCTATTCCCACATTCTCAAAATCTAGGAAACAGGTAGGCACTTGGGGGCTTCTATTTCAGAGTAGACCCAAATAAGCAAATTTTTGACTTTTGCATCTAAAAACCCAAAAACCTAGCATGAGCAGTAGATTTCATGGGAAAAAATATGCTGCCTCTTAGCCTGTTTTCCATTCCTACCAAGAGACTACTATAGTTTGTATGGGGTGTCTAGTTTCCCTAGACAAGCCCAGAGGGTACCTAATGGATAAAGAAATGGCTCTAAAGGCAGTCTGGACCCTGCAGACCTTAGCATCGGAAAAAGGATAACTTGACATCAGTAATCTGTAGGGAGCAACCAATAGGGTCTAGAAAGAGGACCAGAGTGAACCCTCAGGTCTCAACATCTATAAGGTCCCTGGAAATTAGCTGGAACCAATGAGAAAGTAGACACCATGAATGGGCCGAGGAAACTCTGAATTGACAGCTATTACCTTAAATTGTCAAAAGACTTGAGATGGAAAAAATAATTAAGTTACATCCATTGAAGACGGTAAGATAGTGATCTTAATGCTATACCCCTTGTACTCTTCTGTAACTCACTTTTGGTGACTGTAAGATTGCAGTCTTAATGCTCTACCCCTTGTACTCTTCTGTAAGTCAATTCTCTGAATTTTGTGTACATTGTAAGTTTCAAACTCAATATGATGACAGAGGGACCAGCTCTAAGGAGAGTTCAAGAATAATCCCATTGTTTGCAAGTGTCATATGTTGGTTGCAAAGCAACACTGGAAACTTGATTTCAATCATCTGGGATGATTTAGTAATGACACACAAAATGAGTGCCACAGTTGCTGATCTCATTCAACCAAGTAGGCTACGAAGTAAAATTTTGCTGTAACTGAAACAGATTAAAAATAATATTTTGTACATGCTGTGCCTTCTGAGCACAGGCATGTGAATAACATTTAAAGCTAATAGGTATTAGCAGCAACAACAATTTTATTTTCAAACAGCTATACCTATCTTAGAGAGAAAATATAACACACTCAAATTTCCCTTGAGGAAAACTGGCAACACTTCATTATCTATGAACAGAATACATCATATTTGGCAGACTTCTGTTATAGGCCACCCATAGATTTCGATCCCTGGCAGAATATATCTCAATAATTAGCACCAGAGGTGTCAAATTTCAGTTCTATTTCTTCTGTAATAAATTTAAAACTAGCTTGGATAATCCTCTTCACGTCTGTGAATTACCTAGAACTAGGTGAAGAAAACAGTATTTTTTTTCCATTGATTAATAGCAAAATAGATGGAATGCATGACAACTCAGTTTGCTTTGTATTGTGATAGGATTAAGCATTTCTGATTCATCATGATGACATCTTCTATTCCCTTAATTTTCAGAAAATCAATTGTATTAGAAGAAAATTAGCACACCTCCTTGATTAATTTAATATAGTGGTCATAATTACAGAAAAAAATAAGCTCTCTTTTCATGCAAAAGAACTCTGGTCTGCAAATGCAAACAAGACTTTCAATTATAATACTGGTTTTGATGCGATATGTTTACTTTAGCATAAAGTCATTAGAACAAAGTGATCGCTTTGTCAACCTTCTTTCCTATTCAGTACACCTGTGAGATTATCTAATCTCAGTTGCAGTTCAAGAATTTGCACTATTGAATTCATATTGTATTCACAATGGTAGAAGCCAAAAAAAGAAAAAATCTTACAACTTGAATAATTACTATTTTTTCATTAATCCTAAATGTAACGGTGATGTAATTTTCCCAATGGAATGGTTAAACTCCTATGCTAAAGTTGAGACTAGCTTTTAAAAAACAGCTTTATTATCTTCCTACATTCATTTTAATTTGAACAAATTAAGATTCTCGGGGGGGCCTTTTTTAGTTTGTTTATCTTGAAGTCCACTGCTCCCAGCATAAAGGCTTATCAGAAGGAGATAAAGATATTTCCAGAATCTAGGCAGCCCCCCTTTCCACACCCCACCCCCTCAAAAAAGAAAAAGTTTCTAAGGGACTAGTTAGTACAGCTAAGTCAATTTATTTTCAAACTAAGTGAAAATAAGTAAGTCAGATAAGTCAAATATAGGTGTGATAATATTAACCAATTGAGAAGCACCCCAGGGAAAATTTAAACTCATAATTTTTTAAAGAGCATCTAATGCCTTCCAAACTATTAATTTGCATGTAAAGATGTTCATACTTAAAATAAAAGCTGTTGTGACTGAAAGCAGCTGAAAAGCCACCTCAGTCCCACCCCCAGGATGCTCACGAATTTAAATGATTGTCTAATGACACACACAGCAGCTATTAGCAGCCTTGTCAATTATTTACAACTCTGACAACTTTGTTGTTCCAAAAAGAGCAATCCAGTTTCCAAAGGACTAGTCAGCAGACTAGCATTATCAAGGTGGTTTAACAAAAAGTTTCATTAGTCAAAATAATTCAACAAATGGGATGTATCAAGCTATCTTACTAGGCTGGGCATTACTCTGAATACCTTAAGAGTATCAAAGGAGTTTAAAAATATGATTCCTGCCCTTAAGAAGCTTAAGGTCTGCTAAGAAAACAAAGAATGCTCAAGAAACAACTAGCAAATGAAAATAAAATCTTAGCACTAATATTTGCCATATAGATTTGCATTGCCCAATATGGAAGCCACTAGCTATACATGACTCGCAGCACTTCAAAGGTGTTTAGTCCAAATTGAGATGTACTACATGTGTAAATTCACACTGGATTTTGAAGACAGCGCAAAATAAACAGAACATCAAGTATCTCAATTTGTTTGTATCGATCACATGTTAAAGTGGCAATATTTTGGATGTACTGAGTTAAAAATATATTAAAGTCAATTTCAACTCTTTCTTTTTTTGTAAATAAGAAAAATTAAAATTACATACATGGTATGTGTATACCACATTTTCTTTATCTATTTATCTGTGGATGGTCATTCAGGTTCTTTCCATCTCTTGGCTACTGTGAAAAATACTGCAATGAATATGGGAGTGCCGATATCTTTTGGAGATAGTGATTTCAATTTTTTTAGAATTGAAAAGAAGCAATCCAGAGGTGAGACTGTTGGATTCTATGGTAATTCTATTTCTAAATCTTTTAGGAATCACTATACTGCTTTCCATTGTAGCTGTATCATTTTACCTTCCCACCAACAGGGAACAAGAGTTCCAATTTCTCCAGAACCTCACCAACACTCGTTATCTTCATGATTCAACCTTAAAAAAGAAAAGAAATCGTTTCATATGCCACACCATGGATCAACCTGGAAGATATTATGCTAAGCGAAATAGGCTAGTCATAGAAGGACAAATACTGTATGATTCCACTTATGTAAGGACCTAAAATAGACTTGGGTCGGGCACAGTGGCTCACGCCTGTAATCCCAGCACTTTAGGAGGTCAAGGTGGGCAGATCACTTGGGCCCAGGGGTTCAAGACCAGCCTGGGTAACATGGCAAAAACCCCATCTCTATAAAAAAGACAAAAAATTATCCAGGAGTGCACCTGTAGTCCCAGCTACCTAGGAGGCTGAGGCAGGAGGATCACCTGGACCCGGGAGGTCAAGGCTGAAGTGAGCCAAGGTGGTGGCACCATTGCACTCTACCTTGGGGGACAGAGTGAGATCTTATCTCAAAAAAAGAAAAAAAAAAAGACTCAAAAACAGAAGGTAGAATGGTGGTAGCCAGGGGCTGTTGAAAGGAGGAAATGGGAGTTGCTGTTCAACAGGCATAAAGTTTTAGTTATGCGCCCGGCCCCCACTTCTTTAACATTAGAAAATGTTACATCAGGCCAGGCGCGGTGGCTCACGCCTGTAATCTCAGCACTTTGGGAGGCCGAGGCGGGCGGATCACGAGGTCAGGAGATCGAGACCATCCTGGCTAACACGGTGAAACCCCGTCTCTGCTAAAAATACAAAAAATTAGCCGGGCATGGTGGTGGACGCCTGTGGTCCCAGCTACTCGGGAGGCTGAGGCAGAAGAATGGCGTGAACCCGGGAGGCGGAGCTTGCAGTGAGCATAGATCGCACCACTGCACTCCAGCCTTGGCGACAGAGCCAGACTCCATCTCAAAAAAAAAAAAAAAAAGAAAGAAAAAAGAAAATATTACATCATTCCTTTTCATCTTTGAGCTCATAATTCTGTTCTACTTCTACAACAAAATTTTAATCCAATGTAACATATTTTATGCTTGAAAGTCTTTTATTGATTACCTTATCACACATCTCTGCAAAAAAAAAAAAAAGTTGGTAAATTTAATTTTTATTGAATCTCCTGGGACCATAAGGTTCTAAGTGATAACATTTTTCTTCTGCATTGAGTTCTCATTAAATTACCATTAAATACAATTGATAAACCCAATGTAACATATTTTGTATTTTGACAAATATATATTAATTATATAAAACAAAATTTAGATAGAACTATTAATTTAAATGCTTTTTTTCAATTATTTCATAGGTCCATGGATAATATAACTTATTGAAAGAATGAGGCAATGTTCTACATGAATTTATTCGTGTTTTTCATTTTTATGTAAGTGCCTAGAACATTTTTTACACAAACAGGTGATAGAAATGGAAGGAGTTGTATTATAGCAATGTCACTCAATTCTTTAAACTCTTGAGTTATACGACAAAAATCAAATAGTGATCTAGCATCAAAAATTATTTTAATGATCAGCTGACAGTTCTATTAGGCGTTTCTTTCATTTTATGGAAAAGAAAAAAAAAACAGAAAGGACCTGATTTGCAAAAAGATTTATTACCCTCTCATTTAGATCATTCAGCTTCCCAATATAAATGCTATTGCTTCTGTGTAGGGCCCAGGGAGGCGATATGGCCAGTAGGAATAAGCTGCAGGTCCGCCCTTCATATGCCAGGGCATATATCAGGCCAATTGAGTCTCCCGAGATTCAGAACCAACTATCTACTTAACCTATTGGTCATTCTAACTCGTAAACACTTTCTGAATCTGTCCACTTGCCTCTATTCCTGCCCCTGGCCTTGCCTAAGAAAAAGCCTCCATACTACCTTGCCTGGAATGCATAACCACACTGTAGCTAGAAAGGTTAAAAGGATAAAATAAAACTGGATCATGTCCTGACTCTCCTTAAAATTTCCAATAGCATCCCAGGTTTAGGATAAAGTACAAGTTCCTTTATCATGGCTCATGGGCACTGCCAATGTCTTCTTAGTTCATCTCCTGGACCCATCTCTGCCACTTTTCTCTACACTCCAATCTCTCACCAGTCTGGATGTTTTTCCATTTTTCAAAGGCTCCAGAACCTACATACAGGCTCTTTCCTTTATCCTCTTTACCCAATTCCTACTTAAATAAAAGGCTTAGTTTAACTTTATTTCCTCCAGGAAGACTTCCCTCATCCCTAACTTAGCAAATGAATGTTCCTGTGGAACTTTTTAAAAAATATATACAATACATTATTATGTATTATAGCCACCATTCTTAGCAATAGAGTACTAAAGCTTATTTCTCTTGTCTAACTGAAACTTGGTACCCTTTGATCAACATCTTACTTTCCCCATCCACTCCCCTCCCCTAACCTTTGATGCTTTTAATTTCTCAATCACAGCACACATAATATGTCACTGGAGCAACCTGTCTAATGTCTCATTTCACTTTGTGACTATCAAATTTATACTGCTAGGATCTTATCTTGCTTTTGTATGCCTAGTACTGAACCTGAAATGCTGTAAGTGCTACATAAACGAATAGTTGGCAAGTTAAAAAGTTTTCTTATTAATTCATAACTAAAATTTTATTATCAGTATATTCACCACTCCCTGACCCCAAATTTGCTTGAAATACACAACTCTCCATTATCACTTGAAGGCAAATTTAGTGTTTCATTTCCAATGACTTATAAAAGCATCAAAGATTCCAAAGTGACTAAACATAGAGATCTAACCACCAAGAGTTTGCTTTTCTATTGCATTAAAGATGCTATTAAGGAAAAAGCCAGCTCTCTTGAGTGGACACTGACTGTAGCTTTTACCAGTATTCCACTTAGATAGAATCACATCAGTCACCTACATGGATTCAGGTAGGAATTTCATTGATTTAAAGGATTTCCTTCCCCCAGATGCTCCAAAGAGGCTTAAAATAGAAGTTATTAATTTCTGACAAATTTCCATATACTGTATTTGTGTCTGCCTTGCCTTTTATATATAAACTCTTTGTGTGATAATATTCATTATTTTTATCTGCATGCTCACAGTAATTGACTATTAAGTATTTCAAATTTCTTTTGTACAGTAAAAATTAGCAAAAACAAATGTGTAATTGGCTTTAATAAAACAAATGAATGCCTTGCAAAAAGCATTGTATTTGCTTAGAATACAGTTGAATTGTATTCACCAACACTGTTTGCCTTATTAAACCACCCGTTATAATTGCTTTTATGGATAGCATCTTTCATATAAAGTAGTGCAATGTGATAAGGCAACTGCTGCTAAATGATTGATTTCATTTATAGAGCCAGATGAAGGGATGCCTTTCATATTAACACTCTAAGGCATAAGACAATCATTCAGGGAATTCTTAGATAATCAATAAGCATCTGTCATGTAAATAATTAACCTTCATATGAACTATTTCCGTGGTACACATTCGCTGGGCGTATATAGATATTAATGACCTGAAAGGTGCCCAAACTTTCTCAACTTTAATTGCTTTGTGGTTTCTGTTCTGTATTCCATTCTGAGTCATTGCATGAATGCAATTTTTGAGTCAGGTTGCCTGAAGAGATTTTGTAAGGATAAGGTCTCCCATATAAGGAACAGAATACAGAACTCTGAGTATTCCTTCCTCAGTCCATATCATTGCCCTACTTCCCCATCCGTGAGAAGATACAATCATTTTGTCATTTTTCAAGGTCTAAATCTTGCTGTTTATTTTGTTTCCCCGTGTTGCACTGCCAACCCTTACCACTTATGCTGTGTCACCCAGGCACAAGATAATCATCTTACAATCTGGATCATTTTTACCCTTTCTCTTCACGTAGGCACCAAGTAGAATAAACACTTGGCAAATATTTGTCTATTCATTTGTTTCACAAATATATTGAAAGCACGCTATCGACTATGCACAAGCACTGTGCTGGGTACTGGGGTAAAACAGTGATCGGAGGGGACAACAACCTGACTTCTTGGGGCTTCCAGCCTTGCAGAGGAAACATACAATAAACACACAAATATGCATAATCCTAAGCCATGAGTCTTGTAAAGAAAACTAAAATTAAAATGGTACTGTGCTAGAGAATAATGACGAAGAAAGAATTCATTTTAATTACGAGCTTGAGGAATGCCTCTCTGAATTAACTGCATTTAATCTAAAACCTAAGAATGAGGTCGCATTTGCAAAAGACAGACAGGCACAGAATCAGACTGGGATGACAACAAAAGAGCCTTGTCGGCCATCATAAAGAGCCTATAGTTAATCTAACAGGCGAAATTGGATTTGCCTTCAAAAAAGAAAGCACTTTGGCTGACCAATGGATGAAAAGTGGCAAGACTGGGTGCAGGGAGAGTTAGTTCAAGTAAGGGATGATGTGGCTTGGCTTAGGATGTTGATGGTAGACATGGGCCTGTACTATGACAGACAGTTTTGAGATATATAGAAGGGCAAAGCCATAGATTTTGGTGACAAATTGCATGTGAGAGGTAAAAGGGACAAGCAAGGATGACCCCCCAGAGTTCTTTCCTAAACAACTAGATAGATGATAGTAGTCTTTACTGAGATAAGGAAGACTGAGAGAGGAACAGGTTTGGAGGATGGAATTCAAGGTGCCACTTTGGACATGTTAAGTTTGAGAAGCTCATAAGATAATTAACTGAAGATGTCAAGATGGCAACTGGAGATTCACAGGTAGAGAATAAGATCTATCAGAGAGAAGGTACAGGGGTAGGAGGAGTTAAAAACCAAGGCCCAGGTTTAGCTGACAGAAACACCAACATTTTGAGGCAGAACAATGAAAAGTCATCGAGTGAGATATGAAGAAAAACAAGAGGGTCTGGAGTTTAAAAAGCAAAATGCAGAATGTTTCAAGAAGGAAGTGGTCAACTAAACCCAGCACTGAGTAAAGCTTAAGACCAATAAGGACAAAGATGTGTCCACCGAATTAACCCATACAAAGCTCATTCATGACCTTGATGAGAACAGTTTCAACTGAGTGTTGGGGTTAAAAACAAGATTAGAGGTAAAGCATTAGAGACAGCACACGTAGACAATTTTTTAAAGACAGTGATCACTAAGAAAATAGGAATGGAGCAGATATAAGGGAGGAATATGAGGTCAACTATTTGAGGTTTATTTTTAAACACTGATCTGGTAATAAGGAAGAGATGAATGATGCAAAGAGAAGAAACGAGTTAGAGAAGGAAGTCCCACAGAAGGCAGAAAATCAGGAATAGAATCCAGTGGAAAATAAAAGAACTGGCTTTGATAGGAGGAAGAGGAAGGGCAATAGAAGGGGGAGGAGAAGGAAGAGAAGGAAGAGGAAGAGGAGGGATATTTTCCCTATTGTAATAAAAGGGGAGAATGATGTAGATGCATTTACAGATTTGGTTAGGAAAAAGCAAATAAACTTCATTCTGTTGGCTTCTATCTTCTCAATGGCCTAAGAGGCAAGGTCACCAGCTGATATGATTTGGCTGTGTTCCCACCCAAATCTCATCTTGAATTGTAGCTCCCATAATCCCCATGTGTTGTAGGAGGGACCCAGTGAGAGGTAAATTGAATCATGGGTGGGGTTCCCCAAGCTATTCTCCTGAGCAACTTCTCATGAGATCTGATGGTTTTATAAGGGGCTTCCCCCTTGGCTCAGTTCTCAATCTCTCTACTGCTGCCCTGTGAAGAGGTGCCTTCTCCCATAATTGTAAGTTTCCTGAGGCCTCCCCAGCCACATGGAACTGTGAGTCAATTAAACCTCTTTTCTTTATAACTTGCCCAGTCTTGGGTATTTCTTCAAAGCAGCATGAGAATGGAGTAATACACCAGCTGACAGAGAAGTGGGAAGAAGAGGTCTAAAAAGATTTGAGGAGAGCAGATGAAAGGACAGAGCCATTTCAGGAAGTGGGAAATTGAGCCTATTGGAGAAGTATAGTAGGATAGCAGTTTGGTGCTGACTGGCTATTTGAGGTTTTTGATCATGCATTTAAAATTAAATCTTGGCACCTCTTGTGTATTTCTTCTCTAGGAATATTCAGCTGCTTGAGTGCTGGCAAGGAGACAGTGAATGACAGATTCATGGCGTCAGAGTTTTTCTAGAAATAAATAACAGAAGAAGAAAGGTAAAAAAGTTGAGGGCTTTAGCAAGGGAGTTATGGGGGATAACTATGGAGTCTAAGCTGAGTATGGAGGAAAGTGAAGAGAGAGTGGCAGAGGTGAGGAATGGACAGTGAGACTGTATTGCAGGGGACAGCAGAAAAGGTGATTGTTTGAAAAGATAAGGGAACCAAGAGGCTAGGGGTTGGATGAGTGAATGGGTGTCAAAGCTGCCTGTGATGGTTAATATTAAGTGTCAACTTGATTGGATTGAAGGATGCAAGATATTGTTTCTGGGTGCGTCTGTGCGGGTGTTGCTAGAGAGGTTAACACCTGAGTCAGTGGACTGTGAGAGGCAGACCCACCCTTAATCTGGGTGGGCACCTTCCAATCAGCTAGCAGCATAACAGCATGACTAGAAAAAGCAGCCGTAAAATGAGCTGACTTGCTGAGTCTTCAGGCCATCATCTTTCTCCAGTACTGGATGCTTCCTGCCATCAAACATCGGACTCCAAGTTGTTCAGCTTTTGGACTGTTGTACTTACACCAGTGGTTTGCCAGGGACTCTCTGGCCTTTGGCCACAGGCTGAAGGCTGCACTGTTGGCTTCCGTACTTCTGAGGTTTTGGGGCTTGGATTGGCTTCCTTCCTCCTCAGCTTGCAGATGGCCTATTGTGGGACTTTACCTTGTGATCATGTAAGCCCATTCTCCTAATGAACTCCCCTCCATATATACATGTAGCCTATTAGTTCTGTCCCTCTAGAGAACCCTGACTAATACAGCCATAAAAATAATAATCTGGTTTGGGGAAGGAAATAAGACTTTGGCATCAGGAGCTAATCTTCAATTAACGAAGAGGGATGACCAGGAGATCAGTAGATGACAACTAGGATTTGGAGGTAAAGGTGTTATATCTGTTCAGGGGTTTTTGAATGGTGGTTGGGGGAGGAGATTGCTAAATCTTTAAAAAAAATAATAGAGGACAAGGAAAAAAAACAACCCATGCTACGCCCTTTTTATTTATTTTACATTTCACTGAAAACTTTTTGTTGGTATTTTAGATTTATTTGCTAGGAATGGTGATCCCATCTTACTCCCCTATGACCCATTTGTGGCTTCCTCTTTGCTGGTTCTATGTGTGGCTCCAAGCAGCCTGCATTCCGCTTTGATAAAAAACAGTTTCTGCTTGATAGGGTTGTGGGGAAGCCCACCTTCAAACATCAGTTGACTGCCTGCTCTGACTAGTTCAAATCCTTGTGGTGTGGCAGCTCAACCAGAGTACTTCTTAAAAGCTAGATTTCTAGATAATCCCCTAATATAAATTTTTTTCGACTAGCAATCATAAATAATAATGAAATATCCAGTACTCATCTATACATTTAGTCATATATATTATTTCCCCATATCATACGAACTATGGGAAACTACTTCTCTTCCTTAACTGTATATCACATTTTTCCAACAACATTAAAGATTCTTCTACAACATGGTCTTAATAAATGCATGGTATCACATTGGATAAATCAGCTGAGAGTTATTTATGCAATTTACTATTTTTATATGTCTCGGTTGTTTCCAAATTTGGGTTATTATAAATAATACTGTATGAGCAACCCTAGGCATAAATCTTTGAAGATATCTTTAGATATTATCTACAACAAATCATTTGACATAGTATTATTTAGGCATAGAAAATGGGAATTTCTAAGGTTTTTGAAACATATTATCCAACTGTCTTCAGAGGAAGTTTGTATAAGCAGCATCTAAGAGTGCCCTTGTACCTTGCCAAGCTTGGGTATATTCTTTTCATATGGTTTGGCTGTGTCCCCACCCAAAACTCATCTTGAATTGTAGCTCCCATAATTCCCACGTATCATCGGAAGGATATGGTGGGAGGTAATTGAACCATGGGGGTGGGTCTTTCCCAGGCTCTTCTCATGATAGTAAGTCTCATGAGATCTGATGGTTTTATAAAGGGGAGTTCCCCTTCACATTCTCTCTTGCCTGTTGCCATGTAAGACATGTCTTTGCTCCTCCTTTGCCTTCCACCATGATTATGAGGCCTCCCCAGCCATATGGAACTGTGAGTCTATTAAATCTCTTTTTCTTTATAAATTACCCAGTCTTGGGTATGTCTTTATTAGCAGCATGAGAACAGACTAATACATTTTGTTTTTTGTTTTTTGGTTTTTTTTGAGACAGAGTCTTGCTCTGTCACCCAGGCTAGATCTAGGCTCACTGCAGCCTCCGTCTCCTGGGTTCAAACGATTCTCTTGCCTCAGCCTCCCTAGTAGCTGGGATTACAGGCACGTGCCACCATGCCCGGCTAATTTTTGTATTTTTAGTAGAGACAGGTTTTCACCATGTTGGCCAGGCTGGTCTCAAACTCCTGACCTCAGGTGATCTGCCTGCCTCAGCCTCCCAAAGTGCTGGGATTACAGGCGTGAGCCACCATGCCTGGCTTCTTTTTCTTTCCTTTTTTTTTTTTTTAACAGATGAAAAAACAAAGACCCAAAAGAAAGAGTCTTGTTTATAAGTTGCATCCATTGCAGAACGTGGGTATGTTGATGTGCTATGGTGTGTCCCATCCAACACACAGTAAGTAAGGTAACCACATTCTTTCCCCTAAAATGCCTCTCCCTGGCTTCTTTGTGAGTCTGCATCCTGAATGCAAATTATTTCCTGCTGTAATTTTGACCATGTTGATCCTTAACACTAAATCCCCAAAAGCTCCCTGAATTATATTTAAATTCCTTCTATAAATTTTATTTCCTATTGACAGACTTGCTCCGACCACATCTCTAAACTTCAGGTACCAAGTCATTATCAGCTTGCTGCCCAACCTCTCCACATTCCCTCTTCCTATCAAGTTTAATTTCTGAGTGAAGCTCCCAGGTAAACACAAATGGCTATCATCTCATTGTTTTCTATTGTGTTTCATTATCTCCTTTATTATTCTCCCAATTTCCTTCTGTGTTTTCGGTCTTCCTCATAACTGGCTTTATCTTCATTTGTTATGTATCCTTTCCAGCCCTCATCACTGTTTCTCTTTCCATTTCAGATTTATTTTGCTGGAACTCTTCAAACTATAGTTGATTTCTTAGTTATTCCAAACCCTTTATAATAAAATGAATGTTCTATATTCATCAAGTTCAAAACCGCATTTTCCACTGGCTATTGCTTTCAATGGTACAGTAATAGCTACTACACAAAACTAAAGGAACAAAAAGAACCAATGATGCAACACTGCAATATTCTACCCATTCCATAGCCATGACAAGACTTTTGCATATAATACCTTATATAACTTCAAGAAAAAATAAATAAAAAGTCCTTTTTCTGGATGGAAATTCTACTCTTGCTAGCCTAATAGTGGTCCCACTTAGGGCAGGAAGTTAGAAATTCATTTTATTGTAATTTTTTTGTTTTCCAATTTATAGAAATATTTCCACACTACAATTAGAGAAAAACATATTATTTACACAAAATCAGTATTTTATTTTTAAAAAGGCAATGTATCAATCATGCAATAGATTCTTCTGCACTGTCATTCAAAAAGAATGCTTAACATGTTTACCAAAAGTATGAAATTAAACCTGTAGAGGTTTCTTGTTTGGTAGGCATAAAATAAGCAGACCTCTTCTTTGGCTGACCAAGGCCACATACATCATGAAACACACTAGGCCTAACCACCCAACACATCCATCCTGGGAACACGTTTGCTAATTTCTTTCCCAACATCATTTTTACCCAAGTTTCAGCCAGAACCCCTAGACCAGTCAACAAAATCTCTGTTGCTTCTCATCTTTGAGCACAGCACCAAGGGAAATCATCTTTAGGTACCGATCATTTCTCCCATGTTCATCTTCCTACTGATCTTCCCTTCCCTGGTTGCACCTGATTCCCCCACAGCCAATCCCTCTCCAGTCCTTGTCTCTGGGCTCCCTGGAAACCCTCCTGCTCATTACCACTGTCCCCCTGACACTCCCATCTGTGATTTTTCAAGCTTATCTCAGGATGCTCAGAGCTCTTCACCAACCTATTTAGATCCTGCACTTCCTAGGTACTGATTTTCCCCTTTTAGCCCTCTCTGGTGGAGACTGCACATTCTCTCACACCCAATACAGAAGCATTCTTGTTTATATTTTGTCTGCCATTTCTGGTTACTCTCCTACCTTTGTAGGACATTTCTCAGAGGCTCATGACCTCTGACTCTACTATCCCCAACACCTCCTTTTCCTTATTACTACAATCCTATGATCTTTTTCACAACCAGCGAAGCTTTCACATTTGTCTTTCTCTGATCCTCAACTCCTGCCATCCATCCCAACACCTACTTAACAACCACACTGATAGCCACTGTTGAACTGTGTCATATCTCAGGCTACCTACCTCTGCTCTAGCATCTTATACTCTGAATTCACACTCTCAGAACATAATTTCGTAACAATCCAGTTTTCTCACTCTTGCACCTTAACACCCTCTCCAGGCTATGTGCTGTACCTCTTTTCCAGATCTGGTCAATGCGGCACATTTCTTCAACTTTCCTACCACACTCCCCTTCAGAACAATGGGCTATGTGTATCCCTCTTATACCCAAGCAGACAAATGCTGCTGGAAACAAGCACACAATCCTTCACACTGGTGTCATTAACATTTTTATTTCCAACATCATAGGGAACAATAGCTTGTATTTACACTTTATGACTGGTCAGTACAGAGACTGAGGCTAGCGTCAGAAGGTTAACCCCCCTATGTACTCTATCAGCAGTCTTCATCTAACCCCACCCTTCACATAAACATATAATCTTAGTAAATACAGCGAGTATATACAAGCCAGTTCCAGAAAAACGTCCTACTTTCTTGCTACTCAAACTTTTGCGCATGGGCCTTGATATGGCTTGGGTCTGTGTCCCTGCCCAAATCTCATGTCCAATTGTAAATCCCAATGTGAGAGGTGGGGCCTGGTGGAAAGTGACTGGATCACAGGGTGGATCTCCCCTTTGGTACTGTTCTCATGATAGTGAGTTATCATGAGATCTGGTTGTTTAAATGGGTGTAGCACCTCCCCTCCCGCCTTCCTCCTGCTCTGGCCATGTAAGACACACCTGCTTCCCCTTTGCTTTCTGCCATAGTTATAAGTTTCCTGAGGCCTCCCCAACCATTCTTCATGTACAGCCTATGGAACCGTCAGCCAATTAAACTTCTATTCTTTATAAATTGCCTATTCTTAGGCACTTCTTTATAGCAGTGTGAGAATGGACTAATACAGGACTATAGTATCAGCATCACTTGGGACTTGGGAGTGTCACAAATTCAGGATTTCAAGCCCCACCCCAGACCTAATGAATCAAAATCTGCATGTTAGCAAGATTCCCACAGGATCAACAGGCACAGTAAGGATGGAGGAGCTCTGTACTGGTCCCACTTGCTTTCTTCTCCAATCCCTCCCTCAACATGCACACATTCTGGAGTTTCACTGAGGCAGCCCCTCCCTGCTTTCCTAACTGGCCACTTCCACATTACCCTTCATACCTCTCTTTCCACCTTACCCAGGGTAGGTGGTCTTACCACCTCCCATATAGACAAGATGTAGATCCAGGTGGGAGCCGCCTTAACTTCTTAATCCTCAACCACTATATTTGTCAATTTCCGCAAGTATCTTCACGTCTTTCTGTTTGTCTTGGGTTCCATTCCTATCCAAGTTAATCATTTGGATCCTAACATTTTCAGGACCCTGCCTCCTTTCTCTGCTATATCATGAACCATCTGTCTTTACTGGCCCCATCATCTCAGCCTGTGAACATGCTCAGATACTGCCCATCTTTTAGAAAGCTTCTCTTGACTTTGAGGCCCCCAAAAGCAATTTAGTTCCATTTTTGTGAGAGAAGTCTACACTCATGCCTCCACTTCCTCCATTCCCATCCAGTCCTCTCTTGGCTTCCATACTGCTCCTATGCTCCTCCCAGATATTGGTCTTCACCAAATTCCATCCTTGGACCTCCTCTTCTCCTATAACTCACCCTCCCTGACCTGTTTCCTCAGCTCCCAAGGCTTTGACTACAATTTCATGCTGAGTAACTCCCAAGTCTGCATCTCCAGACCCATATTTCATCTAGGATCTGAATAGTTACACTTGGAACCGCAAATTCAGCATCTCCAAACACTCAATTTACCTTTCCCATCAAATCAATCCAGTGATCCCTATCTGGTTGATCATCCATACAGTTGTCAAAACCAGTACCCTGAGAGTTTTCTACCCTCTCCGTTCCAAGCCTCAATGCCTTTCTAACTTTTCATCATTTCTCACATGGACCAAAATGATGGGCTCTTGTTTCCCTGCCATATCCTGTTGCCCACTCCAATCCATCTTCAACATTACACTCTAAAAGACAAAAATGAGTATATCACTACTCTTCTCAGGGTCCTTCAACAACTCACCATTACCCACAGGATAAAGTTGAAACTCCTTAATATGAAAAATCTTTCAAACTCCTAAGCTCTGATGCTCTTTTAGACTCATCTTCTGCCAATTCAACATGTTCCTCCCATGCTCTAACCTGAGTTACTTGCAATTCTTGAACATACCCCGTGCTTTCCTAACTCCGCATGTACTGTAGAGAATATTCTTCTTGGTTACTTCTTACTTGTCTTTTGAGACACAGCCTAAATGTTTCCCTCTCTGTGAATCCTTCCCTTGCCCTAACCTTCCAAGCAGAGTTAAGTGCTTCTGCCTGAATCCTCCCTTGCAATGTGCCCTTTATTTCATCATGTATCACTCTGTAATACTAAGAGCCTAAAGGGGGGGGTCTCCCCCTGAGATAGTGAACCCCTTGAAGGCTGAAATTATGTTCTCTTCTGTTATTTATATCCTCAATACCCATTTGTTATGGACTGAATGTTTGTGACCCCCAAACTTATATGTTGAAGCCCTAACTCCAAATATGATGATAACTGAAGGTGGAGCCTTTGGGAGATAATAGGGTTGGTTAGATAAGGTCATGGGGATGGAATCTTCATGGTAGCATTAATGCCCTTTTAAGAGCAGACACTAGAGGGCGGGTTTCCTGTCTTTCTCTCCACCACATGAAGACACCATGAGAAGGGAGCTATCTGTGAGCCAGGAAGAGAGCCCTCACTAGGACCAAATCCACCAGCACCTTAAGCTAGTCGTCCCAGACTCCAGAACTGTGAGAGATAAGTGCCTGTTTTTTAAGCCACCCAGAGTATGGTATTTTATTATAGCAGCCTGACCTGACTAATGCACCAGTCTAATTCTTAACTCACAGAAGGTGGTGTAATAGTGATTACCGAATGACCAAATGTACATGGAGGAATGAGAAATGGCAAGTGCTGTCTAGCACCAAAGTGATAGGCCCCAAAAATCAGAGAAAACCAAAATCAGTACCCCTCCTGGGTTTTTCAGCATAAACCATGGCATTCAAACTAAGTATATAATTAATTTCACTTTTTGGTATTTTGATGGCTATACAAAAGAGCAAAACCAGATCTTGAAATGGGGGACATTTTGGCTCCCTTATGATAACTTGAAACCCTTCCTAAATTTAAAAAGCATCTTCTGCCTTTTCTTGTCTGAGCTGCATGTACCTTAGGACCTCTGCTTCTCCATCCACACTGCTCTCCTCACACCCACGCCTACACGCACATTCCTCTGTGCAATGCTTGCTCCTTAACTCACCCTCTCCTGGTCCCTCTTCCTCCTTCTGGGGCTGGCCAGAGAATTAGTATGGTTTTTGTTTTAGCCTTTAATGACGTTCTGTTTTATTACATTGATCCGTTTTTATGTGACTGACTTTTCCTCCATCTGAATGAAAAGTTCCCTGAAGGCAGAAACAATGCTTAATTCCTTTGCACAGAGTTTCAAGAAATGCATTAAAATAAGGGGTGGCAAACAACATCCCATGGACCAACACTGGCCCATTGCCTGTATTTGTATGGCTACAGGCTAAGAACATTTTTATATTTCTAGATGGTTGCATAAAAAAATAAAGAATATTCATGACAGGCCGGGCACGGTGGTCCACACCTGTAATCCTCGCACTTTGGGAGGTCGAGACAGGCGGATCACTTGAGATCAGGAGTTTAAGACCAGCCTGGCCAACATGATGAAACCCTGTCTGTACTGAAAATACAAACATTAGCTGGGTGTGGTGGCAGCTGGCTGTAATCCCGTAATCCCAGCCACTCAGAGGCTGAAGCAGGAGAATCACTTGAACACAGGTGGCAGAGGTTGCAGTGAGCCAAGATTGTGCCAATGCACTCCAGCCTGAGTGACACAGGAAGACTCTGTCTCAGAAAAACTATATATTCATTACACATGAAAATTATATGAAATGTCAAATTTTGATAGCCATAAATAATGTTGTATTGGAACACAGCCATACCTATTCACATATGTATTATCTATGGCTGGTTTCACATCATAACAACAGTATTTAGTAGCTGCAACAGAGAATATATGGCCCACAAAGCCTGAAATATCTACTACTTGATCCTTTATTAGAAGGCTGAGGTGATAACCTTCTAAGAAAGATCAACTGAACTAAGTTCTCCGAGATTGTTAAAATATGCCCTCAACATACCTCTCCTATTCCCATGAATTTTTTAATGAATAAGTAGAGATAAAAAGAGAAATTACAAGTCCTCTCTTGGAATACCCAACCGTAGAATTGTTGATGGTATAATTTGATACTGTGAGATCATAAAGCAACTGGAATTCAAAAGAGAAGGTCAGTCCTTGTGTCATCTTGCACCAACAATCATGAAGAAGCATGCAATGAAGGCCTTCTGCACATTCTCTACCTGGACAATCTGTATTGAAATTAATATAAGAAGACATAAAAGAGCTTTGTTTCCAGCAGTTGAAACCCATGTTGTGCAGAAAAAAATATGACTCATAGATTGGAAACAATGAGGCTTCTTGTCTAATTAATCATTTTTATGCATTTGTCTCTCACTGCAGGATAGAAATCAGTTATTTAAAAAATAACCTGAAAGAGCTAAATTTTCCATAGCTACCTTTGTCTCCTGCAACCATGTGAATAAATGCAAGTTAAAGCCAGTGGTGTCACAGTACAGAGGTTCTTTGATCAAACAACGGGAGATGTAGAACTTGAAAACTTAACCAAGTTAATAAAGGGCTGCCTTTACCTCATCGTAACATCTGTACTTGTCTGACCGTGGCCATATAGGTGCCAATGCATTAACTCAATCGGCTTCCTACTTTATATCTCAGCTTAATTAGGACCATTTATCAAAATGACACCTGTTTTAGAGGCCAGATGAAATTGATTAGCATGGCTCTCAACAAGTGCTGTTAAGTATCTATTTTTAGAGCAAAAATGGGTAAATATTTATCCCAAAGTTTGTAGTAAATATAGTCTGTTGATGAGAAGAAATATATCTGATATGGGAGCCGTATTTGTACTTTTGTATGGAACGTGCAAAATATGGGATCATGTAAAACCAATATTTTAGGGCATATTTTTCCCAAGAGATTGGCCAAAAATACTTCTATCTAGTGTCAAGATAAAGGGACTAATCCTTACAACTATGGATTTTACAGGCCACAGTTTTAAATGATATAAAAATATTTATGCAGCACACTAGCCAGATAACATCACGATGGAGCACCAAGACACTACTGACTGTCTAATCAATTAATGTGAATAATGTTAAGAGTAGCTGGCTCTCATCAATAATAACCATTGTTAAAAGACTTTGCCTTGTACTTGACAAAAGATTCTTTCATATCTTGGTTTAATATTTCACTTTACCATATGTATGTGCCATAAATGTGTATTCATACCAAGATGTCTATCCTAGATTTAAAGGCCCCCAAGAATATAACTATGCCATTTTATTTACTTAAACAGAAAAATATTCACTATGTATAAGACAGAAATTGAAACACAGAATGTGTTGTTCCATTTAAATAGTATGTGTTAGAAGGTTCACATATTTTGATTAGCAAGAATATATACAACCACCACCAAAACAAAAGATATTATAATGTCTTAATTTCTTTATTATTATTATTATTATTTTTTGAGATGGAGTTTCGCTCTTGTTGCCGGGGCTGGAGTGCAATGGCACGATCTTGGCTTACCGCAACCTCCGCCTCCCAAGTTCAAGCAATTCTCCTGTCTCAGCCTTCTGAGTAGCTGGGATTACAGGAATGAGCCACCATGCATGGCTAATTTTGTATTTTTAGTAGAGACGGGGTTTCTCCATTTTGGTCAGGCTGGTCTTGAACTCCCAACCTCAGGTGATCTGCCCGCCTTGGCATCCCAAAGTGTTCAGATTACAGGCATGAGCCCCTGCGTCTGGCCAATTTCTTTATCTTAATCATAAAAATCTTCAAGGTATTTCCTCTTTGAAATGTACATAAATCTATTGGTTGGTTGTTTTTAAGTGTTCTAAATTATTTAAATTAGTATATCAAATATGTTTTTGAGAGGGCAGACCCTCTCCAAAACCAATCAGTCTACATTAAAGTGACACTTGAGGTTGTGTCTTCACTGAAACCTGATTATTCCCACCACCACTGAGGGCAACAGAAGCCCAGAGACCCAACAAAACGCACTTAACTAAGATCAGTGAGTCATTGGCAAGACCATAAACCAAATTTCCTAATACTACTATCCCAGGACTCTCCATATAAATGGTGGCATGCTTATAAGCTACTTCTCTATACTTCTATTCACTCTTTTACATTCCC
The DNA here is from genome assembly GCF_000001405.40 of Homo sapiens. NCBI lineage: Eukaryota > Metazoa > Chordata > Mammalia > Primates > Hominidae > Homo > Homo sapiens. The sequence goes on along the minus strand of NC_000013.11, from coordinate 96,225,849 downwards.
CCTTTTTTACCCAGTTGAAATTTAGTTTCGATTCTTTCTTAAATCTTGAGATACTTAACTTTCATCAATTTTAGTTGGTCACAAACAGAAAATATAGACATGAAAACCAAAAAATCTGGGTAAATAGAATTGCCAGATAAATAACACAGAATAAAAAACCCAGAATCCATTTGTAAATGTATCATTTATTAAAATAGAAAAGTAAAGTTATTAAAATAAAATGTTCTATCATAGACTGATGCAAGGTGGGATGGATGTACAAGAACACTTAGATCTATTGCTTCCCTTTTCTAGTACTACCTCCTCCATCAATAAAATAAAGAGCTGCATATTCAACATGATTATCTAAAATAATCCTAACTATGCAGTGAGGAAAATATTCCAAAGTAAGATGATTATGCCCAGTAAAAATGTTCCCCTTTGGGGAAAAAAACAATACTTAAAATATTAAAGTCTGATGTTTCCTAACTTGTGGACTTTGGAAATTATTTGGTAGTTCATTAAAAGACTTCCAAAAGGAATAAACCCCATATAGCTAATTGTTTACACCTCCTAGTGTAGGTGACTTATAGTAATGGCATAGCATTTCCACATACTTATTTACCCCAGATAATTTAATTAGGCCAAACTTGATGTGATGCACATTTACTTCTCAAATGACTTCGCATATGGGTAAACCTGTCAGGTGTGACCAATTAAGTCTACCATCTACAAAAAATGTCTCTGATCAAAATTCACATTTTAAGCTCCCAAAATACTTACGATGCTTGAAGGAAATGTTTCATTCTTAGGGACTCTCTCAATTGCCAACTTACAAGCTAATATATTGTGGTGCACAAACCATGCATTCAACTTCAGAATAGTTCAATTACCCTTTGGAAAAATTAAACACACTCCCAGTAACAATGCAAACACGCTCCACTTAAACAAACATAAAAGTCTGCCCAATTTATTTAAGAATGGCCTAAAAGAAATCAAAGTAATGGATGGTAAAGCAGACATTCATTTTTAGAGAATGTGAGATTCTTACCAGAAGAATCCTGTAGAAGGATCACTGGTCTACAGCATCATGAAACAATTAGGTGGCTCTGTAACCTTCGATGACCAAGCACTGCCTAATTCTAACTCTGTCTCCTTTTATCCTAAAACAAGACAATTTATATTCTGCCTAGAACATAATACTGTGAACATATATAAGCAAGGTTGTTTTGTTAATTTCTAAAAGGTGACATACAGATCGGCTGTGATGGCTCACGCCTATAATCCTAGCACTTTGGGAGGCCAAGGCAGGAGGATCACTGAGCCTAGGAGTTCAAGATCAGCCTGAGCAACATAGTGAGATCCTGTCTTAAATTAAAAAATTAGCCAGGCATGGTGGGGCATGCCTATGGTCCCAGCTACTCTGCAGGCTGAGGTAGGAGGTTCACTTGAGCCCAGGAGGTCGAGGCTGCCATGAATTGGTGATGGCACCACTGCACCCCAGCCTAGCAGACGGAGAGACACTTAAAAAAAAAAGTGACAAACAGCTCATCTCAAATTTCTCAAGTTAGAATTTGGTATAGGCCTTGAGACTTTACTCTTCTCTATCCAAACCAGCACTGTTAACAGTGATGGGGCTCTGGGGTCTCATTTGCAATCATTAGCCTGAAGAACCAATGGATAACTGAAAGCACCACAGAGGCTGATATCCTGACTCGGAAATTAGAACATCTCGAAAACCCATAGGTAACATGGAAAGGAGCTATGTGTGCCTCTAGGATGGACAGCTGGTTGCTATTAGGCTGAGTCATGCTCTTATACATTTACTGAATTTATACTGTGCAAAAGGAGAGGAGAGAAGAGGAGGAAAGGGGAAGGGAGGGAAAGGAAGAAGAGGGAAGGGAAGATTGAGACGGGAGGGGAGGGAAGGGAATATTTTGCTTTAGATTATATAAAGAACTAGCTGCCATCTGGAAGAAACTGCCCATGGCTTAGAGAGGGAGATTGAAGTCCCCCAACTAGATATCCAAGGAAAGCATTGTTGACCTTTTATGTTAGCAACTATCAGGGTCAGTTACATAGTCATAGCCAAAAATTGTGACATATATGTTATTACAACATCTAAGCAATCTTCTTTCTTCTTCTACCATCCCCCAAGTTAGACACAAATAAAGAAATAACCTGAAAATAAAAAACGACAAAAACTTCCCCCCCCCCATATCCATTCCAGAAAGGACATTCAAGGGGTTATTTTGTATCACCACAAAGTACAGCTATTCTATTCTGAAAGCAATTGCTCTGGTCCATCCGTGAATGTCAATGCTAGGGAAGGTTCTTGGGTTCAGGCCCAGGCTGGGGCATCAGAAAAATGCTCTGTGTATATCAACACTGCCAACACCGAAGCTGAAATTAGCTGAATGGTGTCAGTGAGGCGTTCAAGCCACTGTGCAGGCAACCACATTGCAAAGGGCATTGGAACAAGCTGTCCTGTTCCAGAGTCTGGGGGCTGTGCTGACCAACACAACAAGCACGCCTCTACATATGAGGCCACCTCATCATCAGGGCATTTGCTAAATGGCAACTATCATGTTTCGTATTGCAGAATAAAGATGCCTCCTTCCTGTCCCACTCTGCTTCCCTGCTCCAATGTCACTCATGATTTCTCCCATTCTTGTCCTCATTGGATTACACAGCTAACATACTAATACTGAAAATTCAACTGGAAAAAATTATTTTGTTCTCTCATGAAACCAAGTATTCCAAAGCAAGCATGGCTAACAATAGTAAGAGTCACTTAAAACACAAACACATCCATCCATACTAAGGCATATTATGCAGTCATATTCCATTTCCAAATCAAAATGCACATCATAAATTCTGCAGTTCCATGATATAACAATGCCACAGAAGCTCCTAACTTGACACCTTTTACCAGGTCATATCCACAAACCCCACTGAAACATATATATACACAGGCTAGAAGAAGAGTCATCCCTACTCCTTACAAAAGAGTCCTAACTTGAAACTCTATGAGCTAAAGCATGCTCCCTGATAAATGAGAAATTAATATTCAAGTGGAGAAGGATGGAAATCTAAAAAATGGCATAGAAGGCATAGAAGTCCTAAGTGTAAACTATTTAAAATTCACTAGCAGACACAATAATTCTCTGTAAACAAATTCCTTCTGATTTTTCCATTTCTGATTCAGCTGTCAGGGCGATAGGCCTGAATACAGTACTCCTATAGAAAGAGCAATGCTCTAAGAAGAAATCATCCAGCAACAAGGTAACAAAACTAAGCCCACTTACCTGGTGTTATTTCAGTGGGCAATTTTCATTAAAGAAAGTTAGAAGCTGCTGTTAGCATTTGCTGATCTTGTTACCTCGTTGCTTGGATATTGACCTTGCACCAGCTATTTTGCCTCCAGTTTTCTCTGGGCTTTACTATGTTCTTTAATTTCCTGTGGTATTAATCTTCAGCCCAGGAAAAATGAAGTTGATGCTGTACCACAAGAAATGTTGCAATCACCTTTCAATACAGACATCTGCAGCATTTTACAGGGCCTAGAAATTACTAAAGCCCATTTCAAGGCTTTTTTTTATTCTTTGTCTTATGTAGTTTGTCCCTTGTTAAGAAATAAAATCAATTTATTCCCTGTTACATCATAAAGTGTCCAAGAGGGAAGTCATATTTACTTCAGCATCTCTAGACTGTCTTATGAAGTTTTAAATAAAGAATTTGATTGATGTTTTACAGTTGCCCAAGGAAAAATATCTTTGATTTTATCTAATCACACTGTCAATTTCATCATCTGTATTTCAAAATTGGAACACTTTTTAAATCAACATGCTACAGTTTATAGTTCAGCCATCTAAAATCTATTATAAAATTTAAAATAACAGTTAATTCACCATCTTAAAAGAACATTTATTACAACTAAGGTTGATTGATTTTTTTCCATTTCAAATAGAAGATATAATATTTTTCAGTCATCCATGCTAAAGTGACAAATGACCTAATGTAAGGCTATGTCTTATTTTATATCCCAGTACTCCAGTACATAGGATCTTCTATGTTGCTTACATCATACAACCTGCTAATAAACTCTCCAACTATCTAGAATTCCAGGGGTTATGTGTCAATAGCCTTGTTCCTTCTGATATATGAGATTTTTGCAGCCAGCTCCTAGCTTGCTAGACTCTAGGGATCACCAGTTTACCCCATCACTCCTTGATATCTGTACTGTATCTGACCTCTACTGTTTGGTCAGTAGACTAAAGTCCTGTTGAATGGACTTTAGAGCACTCACCTGCATCTAACTGTTCCCCCAAATCCTACCTCCTCCCCATCCCACTGCAGTTAATTAGAATCAGATCACATTCACTCAAAAAATATTTATTGGAAGCTACCATGAGCATTGTTCTCAAGGCCTGAACACTACACTATTTAAGACAATCAGAATCCCTAGCTTGAATTCTATAGCTGGGAATACCCCACAGGCAATGAAACAATAAATAATTGAAAATGACAGAAGGGTAGGGATCACACAGCAACTTCCCAGCATCACTGCTACTTTTCCTTGACCAATAATTTGAATAATAGTCATATGTACCCCACACAAATAGGTATTTCCCAAAAACTCTCTCTGACCCTAACTGCTTTCTAATTAATCAAAAGCAGAAGTATCACAAAGTAGTTTCTCAACCAAAAAGCAGCACCTATTTTTCCTGTTAAAAAAAGAAGGTTTTCTTTTGTTTTCGTTTTTATGGTGGAGGGAGGGCAGAGGGACTATTTGAGACACTAGAAAAGGTAAATTTTCTTCTTTATTAGCTATTTCTATCCATTCATTTGACCCAAATGTATAATAATATTTAAGATGTTCAATTTTTAATTATTTTAAATTCAGTTTATGAGTCAGTATTGCAGCAGGAAATACATGGAACACTCAAATTGCGTAATTGAGTAATTTCTTAATGCAATTAATATTTTGTAGTGGACTGTCATGGTTTTAGTAACTGCAAACAGGATGCTTCAACACTGAGGCATTAAAAAAATGAGAAAATCATGACATTGTCAGACAACATTAATTTCAACAATTATAGAATTAAATTCATGAAGCCAGTGGGACAGCCTTAAAAATTTACATCATAGGGCTCAGCCATCTAATATGTGAATTTATAGAAGCCCTGGGCCAGATAAAATGTCACAGATTTATTAGGAGATATAAAGCTATTAGCAGGGAAAGAAGGTAAAACAAAGTTTCTTAAATTTTTTAAAGACAGTGTCCACATGAAACAGATCATCAAAAACAACCTGGCTAGCTCAAATAAGCTAGCTCAAATAGTTTAGAGAAAAACAGAACCTCTGTCATTGCTAATTAGAGCTATTATTTAGGTGGCAGAAGAAGGAAAAATGACTTCGGATGACTGTGAGATAACTGCTCTACCTCACACCCTTAGAGAAAAAAAGTGCCTTCCTTTACAACCCAAAAGCCAAGAAGACAAATCAGAAATTTTAAAACTTTAATGATGCTTGAAAAGTGTCTATTTATAAAGGGCTTACAAAAATATTTTCCCTCCAGATGATCTTTCCCAAAAGTCTTTCAAATACATCTAATATCAGATTTATTATCTGCATGGAAAGGATGACAAATAAGATTTATTAAGCAACTATTACATGCCAAATCCTACCACTCTCCAAGATAGACACTGTGTTCACCATCTTATAAAGGAATGTGCTCCCAGACAAAAGGGTGCAGTCTGCTTTGTCTATCTCCAATTTGCCTAAAAAACCGCCTGGTACATAGGAGGTGCTCAATGAATGTTCTTGGAATGAATGAACGAGCGAATGAAGTAATGATGCCACTAGAGTTTAAGAATCCTACCTGTGGGCTGGGAGCTGTGGCTCACACCTGTAATCCCAACACTTTGGGAGGCCGAGGTGGGCAGATCACGAGGTCAAGAGATCAAGACCATCCTGGCCAACATGGTGAAACCCCATCTCTACTAAAAATACAAAAATTAGCTGGGTGTGGTGGCACGCGCCTGTAGTCCCAGCTACTTGGGAGGCTGAGGCAGGAGACTCGCTTGAACCCCGGAAGCGGAGGTTGCAGTGAGCCAAGATCACGCCACTGCACTCCAGCCTGGATGACAGAGTGAGACTTCGTCTCAAAAAAAAAAAAGAAAGAGAATCCTGCCTGTGGTTATGTGAGTTCAGGCCTATGTTGCTCCATCGTCCACACTTTTATCAACATGCCATGTTGAAAGAATAGGGTTGAAAATACAGTCACAGGAAATCATCACCACGAAATATTATTCTTGCCAAGAAATGCAAGCTCTACCACCTACAGCAATGTGTTATTATTTAGATGGGGTTCTGCCTCTAAAATTCCTTAACAAGGATGATAAAACTATATTGGAAGGGAAAATGGGCAAACAGAAGGAAAGAAAAACACCAAGCATTTAACAAGGGAATTATGTAAGGTGACAGCTTTAGGCAGAAGGTGAAAGCAAATAACTAAGAGAGTGGATGTTAAGTATTCACACCATGAATAAATGAGAAGTAGGTGAGGTTATATACATGTTAGCTCGATATAGCAATTCCCCAATGTACACATGTTACAAAATATCAGATAGTACACCATAATTATATACAATTCTTATTAATTTAAAATTTTTTTGAAAAGAAGGTGAAAGGGAGTGAGATCATCTGTGAGCCAGGCAAGCTAGTGGAGTTAGTGTGGCTCTGGAAACATGCCTGTATGCAAGGGTCTTAATTTAGGCCGACTAGCAATGGGAAAATGTACAGGGACTGGCAGAGGTCACAGCTAGTCCCAAGGGCAACTTCGTGTGAAAAGATGCGGCCCTGTCAGGGGATGGCTTAGGAAGCCATTGGCATCATTATGGAAGGCAGAAAAAGACTCAACAGATACTCCACCACAGGCTACAACTCTAGGTTCTTAACTGAAAACTTCCACTGAGAAGTAGTGTGGGCTGGGGACTGGAGAGAAAAACAAAACTAATAGCAGAGATGATCCTTGCCAAGAGCAGTACAGGCCTCAATTGAAAAAGAATGGTACACACAGAGACTCAGTCCAGCAGCAGGAAAGCCCATCTGTTGAATGATGGACAGCAGCAAACAGCATCCACTAGATCAAGACAGAGTGCTCTGACGCTGTCTAAACCCAGCCCTTCAGCACATACCTTCACAACTTAGCCAGACCATGACACGTGTCTTCCTGGCAGTTTCCATCTCTGGCCACTTACTGGCTTATGCTTTTAAATATGGCCCTAATGTTTGTCTTCTCCCCACGTGGCTGTGAGTGACAGGGTCCTGACTCTTGGTAACTGGCATGTTCCCGGAGGAACTGTGACATCCTGGAAACAGACAGATTAGCGCACACAGCCATTCGCTGCCAGATCTCTTCCCCTGCCCCTCCAGGTCTTTCCACCCTTCTCCACCCTCCTCTCTGCCCCAGAGGCTGTCCTGTGAGGACCACAGCAAGGGGCTCCCTTGCCCCCCAGCTTCCCACTGGGTTTGGTGGTTGGGAAGTTCAGGCAGGCAACTAGAGGGAGAGAGGAGAGTGAGGCCTGACTCCCTCCCTGGGGGCCCTTCAGCTTCTGTGTCCCTTACCTGACATTCACTGGTCCTCTTGTCTGGTTTCAGTAGCCACCCACTTCTCTCTGGGGACACAGAGATGGTGAGGAGCATTGCTGATGCCATTCCTGAGTCCCAGAATCATCCCTGGGTCTTCTGGCTTGCATATTTAGAGGAGTCATTTCATAATTAAAGTCTCCTTTAAATATTTTACTTTGACATCATCTCTTTCATGTCTTTCTTATTGGGACCTGGACTCATGAAAATGTATTCATGCATTTAGAAAATACTTATTAAACACCTACTGTGTGCCAGACATTATTCTATGTGCTAGAAATACAGCAGTAAATGAGATGGGCAAAGAAATTTATCTATCTATCTATCTATCCATCCATCCATCCACCCATTCATCTATGTATTTATGTATCTAACTATACACATAAACACATACATGTATATAAATATATACACATGTATATGCATATGCATGCACACCTATATACATACATAGTCACACACACAAACATACATACTGCTTCTCTGCAGTATAACAGTTATTAACAGTATAGATTTTGAAGTTAGACTAGTTTCAAATTCCTGCCCTACTTGACTAAACTTTAAGATCCTGCCAGAATTTATTAAACGTCTCTGTGACTTAGTTTATTCATTTGTAAAATTAAAGATAGAGAGATGGATGGATGGATGGATGGACAGAGAGAGAGAGAATAACATCTACTTCGTTAGGAAGCTGCGAGGATTAAGTGAGGTAAGTAACACAAGTAAGGCCCTTAGTGATGCACACACAATATGCCCTGAACAAATGCAAACCCTGGGTATTATCTAATGGGGCTTCCATTCTGAAGGAGGGGAACCAGATGAGTAAAAATAGCCTGGGTTATACCCATGCCAAGAAATGGGCCTTGAGCACAGTATTTTAAATCTCTAAGATTCAGTTTTCTCATCCATTAAATGAGAAAAATAAACCCTCTCTTCAAGTTGGGGAAGAATTAAATTGGATTGGATATGAGAAATAGCTAGCATAATTATGTCATTCAATAAATGCTACTGTCAGACCCCCGGCTTTTCAGAATAGATATGACGTTCAAAATAGGTTGCTTCTTTCCGGACCCCTGGGAAACTTCCGTCTGGCTCCCCAATACCCAACTCCTCAACTCAGGCCTGCGAGGACAAGCCATTGGATCGAAGAAGGAGATGAGCAGGTTCCAGACCCACACCCTGGGGGTGCAGGCGGAACACAGAAAGAGAGAGAAGACAGGGTGTGGTCACAGTGACTTCTCTCTGCAGAGGGAAATCAGGAATCGGAAGGAGCAGGGAAAACGAGGCATGCAGCGACAGAAAAGCGGACTGTGCTTCTCGGGTTTTCTTTTCCTTCCCCTTGTGTGTTCCTTTTATTTTTAGTAAAATTCCCTTTGAAAACTGTAACCTGTCTTAGTGTGCTGAATGAAAATAGGAAATGGTGGATGATCTGTGCTTTGGCCAGGATAATAAAAGGCAACAGTGGCTCCCTCTAGGGCAGGAGAGAGGGACCTGAGAGGTAGCAGCCTCCAAGCTTCCTCTGGGCACCTGTTTGCAGATTATGCCTACACCCCAACCACTTCACTCGTCCCTGCCCACCCCACAACGACACAATTCTTAGCCAAAGAATGATCTGAAGTATATATGATGACACTTCAGCTTGCACTAATCCAGTTGTTGAGTCATGGGTATCTCTTACTTACACTTCTTTGTACACAGAAGGTATTGTCAAAATTAAAACTCCACCCTTAAATAATCTGAATTTTTAACAAGGACGTAAGCAAAAGAATATTTCTCCTAATATTATTTATTGGTGGGCGGGGAGCAGGAAGGAAAGAAACTTTTAGTAGTCAACATTGAGGCAACGGCTCAGTGAATCATGACACACCCATTCAGTGGAATATTAAGCAGTCATCAAAAAGACTATTTACAGCATGGGAAAGGACTTTGGTTATGTGAAAAAGTAGAATCAAAATGTATATGCAATGCAAACCATTAAAATAGGCTAGAATGTCAGCATTGATTGACCAGAAATTGTGCAACAATGGTTAACATTTACGTACTATGTGGTAGGTATTATTTTATGTTGTTCATGAACATAAACATGTATAATTCTCAGAACAATTCTATGATTGTTGGATGGATGAGGAAACTGAGAAACACAGATGTTAAAGAACTTATCCATGTTTACCCAGGAAGCAAGTGGCAGAAACGGGATTTGAGCCCAGTGGGTCAGCTCTGGAAGCATGCTCTTCACTACTATGCATTATTACCTCCCATAAATAGGTTGATAACAGCAACAACTACCAATTGTCAAGAGTAGTAATCATTTTGGTTAACCTTCACAACAACCCTGTGTGTAGATTTTATTAACCCCATTAAAAAGATGAAAAATGCAGCATTAGAAAGGGCTAAGTAAATTGTCCAACTATACAAAGCCAGGAACCACAAACTCAAACCTTACTCCATAGCCCATATCCTAACCGTGACACTATATATTAATTCTACCTTGCACTATTTTCTAAATCTTCTACAATAAGCATATATTACTTTGATAAAAAAAAATAAAGGGAAAAAAAACGAAAAAATTCAACAGAAAAAAAGCTTTTTTTAACAACAAAGAAATTGAAACTACAAAAGAATCTCACATTTTAGACTTAAAAACAAAATTTAAACTCCCACTTTATGGCTTCCCCTTAAGTCTTTTTTAATATTCATTTTCCACAGAACTATAGAAGAGTACACAGTTTTATATCACCAAGAAATAATTTTGACTGGTAACACATGGGAAAGGCAACATTTCTTTATATGATAGGTTGGATAAACCCACTGCCATCGGCATTTCATATCTAGAATTCAATTTAATGGAATGACCAATGATTTTCTCTCCAAGCTATCCAAGCTGTGTCTCGTTACCCATTAACAACCAAGAATTACTAATCACTGGGTGAACAGAAAGCCATACACAGGCACATGACACATCGCAAGGAGGGAGTCCCTGCTTCCTCGAGAACATTGCTGATATGCAGCGTCACCAGTTGGACAAAACGGGTCCATATTTTGAAGCTGCTGTTATAACACAGACACTATAACACAGAGATAAAGGGCCCGAAAAGCAAGCTGCCTTTATCACCATCCTCATCCCATGGCAAAACCTTGCTTCATTTCTAAACACCCCTGTGGTTTGACGACCCCCTCCCACTCTGGTAAAATGGGTCTCAGCGGGGAGGAAGTGGGAGGGCAGAGGTGGGGATCAGATAAAATCTGTCAAATCAACTACATACAGGCTGGCACCAAAGATGTGTCACTGCTCAGTTCACATTCTAAGCAGCACGTCTCTCTTTTTCTCAGAATTCTGTTGTATTTGAATGGTCTAAATCTCAAATTCTTAATTTTGGTCTTAACGTTATAGTGATCATCTTCATTTACTTATATAAATAATAAACTGCTTGATTTCTGTTTTTAAAATTTAGAGACAGACATTTCTACAATCTACAGGTTTCCCATTTATGCTAACTGGAGAGATATTCAGGTTACGATATGGTTACATGTGCACAGCTCCAGACTCAGTTAAATTTCTACCAACCAATTCTGGGCCCTCAGTAAGGCACATCCCATATACACCTACTATGTACCCATAAAAATTAAAAATTAAAAATAATGTACATCCACGGTATTTAGTAAACTTTCAAATACTAGTTTGGGGAACAGGTAGCTTACCCTTAGAGACTAATACAGTTAATGAGGACTTTTTAAGTAACAAAGCTTTTATTTTAAAAAATTATAATGAGATGAATTGACTAGAACTCCAGGAGTCTGGGGGAAACAGACCACCATGGCAGGGCTACTCCCCAAGAGAGAAGTAGTGGTCAGAGATGAGATGAGATTCTACCTCTTGGGGGATTCGTGGGGCTATGTAAGCAGCTGCAATTCCTTTGTACAACAGCCCCCATCCACCATATCCCCAAATGAGATTATGGGGATTATGGAGATTACAAATCAAGATGAGATTTGGGTGGGGACACAAAGCCTTATCATATCAGGCAGCATGCATGATGACACCTTTTATATATAGTTTCTAAAAATGAAAAACAAAGTTTTTGGTTAGACATACATGCATATGTAGGATAAGTATAAAAACATGTAGAAAATGATCACACCAAATTCAAGTTAGTAACTCCTTCCTGGTTATGAGACCTGAGAGGACCCGCAGAGACCTTCAACTGTAATTGTTAGGTTTTATTTCCTAAACTAGGGAATGGGTATGTAGGTGCTGTTACATTATTCTCTGTACTTTCTCATAGGTATAAATATTTCACAATAAAAACAGAGTAAAGAACTCCATTAGCCAAGGTAGATGTAACCAGTGAAATAAGGACCTAGAGATCTAGGACACACATACTCTGTAATAATATTTCAGTATCAAAATATCCAAACATATCCTTTGGGACCCATTTGCAAAGTTAATGCATTCTTCCTATCTCTGAAAATGACTAAATGTACATACCTTAAACACCTACATGCTACATCCACATACAAAACTGATTCCAGGAGTTTTCCTAGTTTTCTCTCCTTTTATAAAGAGGCACTGTTAATGTGGTTCACCATTCCCTGACATTAAAATGTCCTGCACAGAGTGAGCTGAGACCGTGCCACTGCACTCCAGCCTGGGCAAGAGAACAAGATTCCATCTAAAAAAAAAAAAAAAAAATTGTCCTACACAGAGGCAGTCGGCCATAGGCCAAAGGGTAGGAGACATGAATTTGCTTCCCTTGGTGTTCAGCTCAGCTGTCATAGTACAGGTAGGAACAAAGGAGACCTCACAAGCACAAAGTGGAATCTTTAATACTGGACAAAACAAACAGTTAAAAATATATCCCCAGCAAAATCAGAGAAAAAAGCAAAGGAACACAGGGACCACAAAAAAGGGTCATAAGTGTGGACACCACAGTGGCACAGTCCAACACTGGATCATTTCCTTTATATGGCTACATGATAGAAACTCTATGAAAACTACATATACAAGGGAACCAAAATTTTAAGGAAAACCTGGGGCCATCTTATAAAACCCCAATGGGTTAATTCAGGTTTCTTAAAGTCAATATTTGGATTTGTAAACTCCAGGATAAGCAAGTACAAAATTGCATAAAAATCCCTTGACCTAACTCACAGTTTATACATTAAGTCAAACCAAAAATAAGTTATCAGCTGCTCTGTCAGTATAGAAAAATCAATATTTTCCTATCATACCATCTGCTTTAGCATTACAAGTTAATAAATTTAGCTGGTGAAAATTTCTTCTCTTTTTGGGTTCTGGAGAGAGAAAATATATTTTCAATAGTTAATCTAGTCACTAGGAATGAAAAATGAAATACTATTATTTGAACATGTAGAGTCTGCCATGTATGATAATAGAATTCTTCAACCACTGAAGCAGCAAACCCATATCACATCTATGATTCAGTGCCCTCTATCCCTAGTCTTCCCGCTCCCCAAATTCTTACACACTTTACCCCCCAAAAAAGTATCAGCCAACCAAGAGGATAAAATAACATAAACTCTAGAAAGTAACTTAGCACTTGAGACCCATCTTCAAACCTCAAACTCCTAGCTTCAAGTGACCCTCCCACCTCAGCCACCCAAAGTGCTAGGATTACAGGCATGAGCCAAGGTGCCTGGACTTCCAACTTTCAAACCGGAATGCATTTTGTTTTTCTCTGAAAATACGTAATTGACTACATTTATGTAATTTGAACACATACATGCAAGATCTACAAGCACATAAGATTCAGAGAATTTTCCTAATTTTCTCTAATTATTTAGGAAGATGTTGCTGAGACAGGCACACACTGAAATTCATCATATACTGATAATACTTGTCTTTTGAAGACATTTAAATAATCCACAATGAAAATAGGCTTTCATGGATATTTTCAAAAGAATGAAATATATATTAAGTACCTACTATGTGCCTAACGTATATAACGCCTTCATGTTTTCTTGTGTGCGTGGCTAAAACTAAAAAACCCAGGCATTAAACCTGATGCTGGTATTTCAATTCAATTCCTCTCTCACCACATTTCAAAAATTCTACAAAAAAGCTTTCTTTTAATTTTTACCCTAGAGATATTTTCCTATTAATATGTCTGGCAGCAATTGACCAGTCAGACAAAAGCTCCTTTTGATGTAAGTGTTTAAGTTAGTGGGGCATACCTAAATTGACTCTGGTTAGAGAAATTGTGAAATTAACAGAACTTGCCTGCTTCTGGTGTGCTCTACGATGGCAAGAAAATTGCCTATCCTTTCTGTAACTTTCTTTCCAGTTCCCATTTATCTCATCCTCTGGGGTTGTTGAAAGTTAATATCTAAAAAAGGTTTTGTGTTTTCTTGACAAAAGGAGGGTAAGTGAGAGAAAAGCAGCAGTATATCATTGTAATGTGTAGACATTTCAGTGAGTTCCATACAACCTGAATGTAAAATTTTAAGTTTCCCAGAAACACAATATAAAGACAACTACCTATGGTGCCATACTTCCATGAGAGAATAGCATCCTCTTTATTGTCTTTTTTTGTCCTAGAAGAGAAGAAAATGAAGATTTTTGGAATAAGAAAATATCTAATACAATAATAGAAAACAATATATTTAAAGGCTTTGGATATTCTCATATTATAAAAGACATTTAGATAATACACAGCTCTGTGCTCTGAAAATTGGAGCAACTAATTCAGTCCTCAAAAGTACTAAGCTGAGATTCAACAAGCCTAGCAAACATCTATTTACATAAGCCAGAAAGTGCAAGCTGAACATTGTAGTCGTGGGGTTATCACTGGGGTGCACACCAGTGAGGCAACTCCAGAGGTGCCGTGGGCCATGGTTTGGAGTCAGAGTGGGTGGGTGAGGCAAGACTGGCTCCAGATGAACAGTGGTCAGGTTTCTAGAAGACCCATGGCTGGAAGTTTATCTCACCAGCTAAATAAATAATAGCCATGATAATAACCATAGAAATGATGCTGGATTATGGGCTCACATCTGTAATCTCAGTACTCTGGGAGCCCAAGGCAGATGTATCACCTGAGGTCAGGAGTTCGAGACCAGCCTAGCCAACATGGTGAAACCCCGTCTCTACCAAAAAATACAAAAATTAGCTGGGCGTAGTGGCACATGCCTATAATCCCAGTTTCTTGGGAGGCTGAGGCAGGAGAATCAATTGAACCCAGGAAGTGGAGGTTGAGTGAGCCAAAATCATACCACTGCACTCCAGCCTGGGCAACAGAGTGAGACTCTGTCTCCAAGAAAAAAAAAAAAGATAATAATCATAGAAATGATAACAACTGATAACAACACTGGCTGGGTGTGGGGACTCATGCCTGCAATCCTAGCACTTTGGGAGGCCGAAGCAGGCGGATCACTTGAGCCCAGGAGTTTGCGACCAGCCTGACCAACATGGTGAAACCTCGTCTCTACTAAAAATACAAAAATTAGCTGGGCATTATGGCACATGTCTGTAATCCCACCTACTCGAAAGGCTGAGGCAGGGGAATCACTTGAACCCAGGAAGCAGAGGTTCCAGTAAGCTGAGATTGTGCCACTGTACTCCAACCTGGGCAACAGAGTGAGTGAGACTCCATCTCAGAAGAAAGAAAAAAAAAAAAAAGAAAGAAATGATAACAACATTGACAAGGACACAAACAGGCAACTAAGTTCATGTGATCGAAACAAATACACAGAAAGATAACATTTGTTCTCCTTTAATTCTACTAAGGCTATGGGTATGTGAGCAGGAGATTGCTGAATACCCTAGAGACCCAGGGTCACACCTCAGGACCCGCCAAAGTTGGCAAAGTTGCCTGTGCCTCTACAGTGGCGAGAGGGGAGTGCGTTTCCAAGGAAGGTTCTCAGGAAAAGTCTCTTCTCTCCCTAGTTATCACAGGTTGGGTGCAGGACCGTTCAATGTTTGAAATTTTGGCAACAGGAAAATATTTTGAAATGGAAATATTTTGGCTTACATTTGTCACTTCCTTAATTCCTGGTACAAAATACTTCCTGCTTTTAAAACTTTTTCTTAAAATGCCCCAATATTAGCAGGCATATTTAATTAAACTGGATAGCAAAAAAGTACACATAGGGGGAAAAAATATCTCAACCAAGGCAGTATTCCATAGGACCATTCAGTCTTTCAATCACTCAATAATAATTCACTGAGCATCTACTCTGTTCTATAGCAGTAAACCAAACCAGGAAGATCTGTTCTCACAGAATTACAATCTGCTTGGGGAAGGCAGACAAAGAACAAACAAACTAAAATGATATTTTCAGACAGTGATAATTAGACAAAGGAAATTAAAGAGGACAATGTCATCAAGTCTGGACAGGAGGTATGGTCACCCCTACTGGATACGGAGGTCACACATGACCTCTGAAGAAGTGACATTGGAGCCAACATCTGAACACCAAGGAGACAGAAGCCGTGCTATGTATAAGGATGGCTAACAGCAGTAATAGCAAGTACAATCCCCCTAGGCTGGACTAAGGTTGAAATATTTGAGGAAATAAAAGCCTGGATGGGTGGGTGGCATGAGAGGTGGGGCAGGTGGCAGGGGTCACCACATGGGCAACCTGTAGAAGGTCCTGCTGACACTGCTATAGCCAAATGTTATTTTTTTGACTAGAAATTCTCCCAAAAAGGTATCAGCTACTTTTACTACTATCAGACCCACTATTTTTACATCCACCTATTCTCATGACTCCTTGTTCATAACAGATAATGAGCTTGAGAAAGTCTAGAGGCCAACAATAACGAAGATTTTTTTTCTCACAGGAAACCAGAAAAAAGCTGGGGAGCACCAACCATCTGTTACACTGTGGTACCCTTGTATAGCATTCACTCCATGACCTCAGACCTTCTCCACAAAATCCAGCATAGTAGGTGGCAAGAGCACTGGTGTAGGAGTTGAGACACCTTGTTCTAATATGATCCCCGCTACCGCTAACCCACAACTTCTGTAAGTTGCTCAATGGCTCATTTTCTCAATTCTCTCCCTTGTAAGATCAAGGAATTACATAGACAATCCATCTTTCCATCTATATTACTATATTGATGTCTACACTCTGTATCTCCTACTAGTCAAATCCGCATTCAAAACTTATTTACAATTGACAAGTCTATGGTAGTTCTGTATCCCAAGCCAAATTCAAAATCCGAAATTATCTGTTACATAACTTTGGAGTGTGCACAAACTCATGCAGTTAATGGGCTCAGTGAAGCAGTAATGTTAAAAACAGTATTTCTCTTCCCAAAAAAAGGTGCCTGCTAATTTTCCCCAATATTCCATATTTCCAAGAAGATATTTATACATGGGAAAAATCTGCCTTGTTATCTGAAGTATTAACAACTATTCCCAAAATAAATGAGGGTAAACAAAAAACAAAAATTCTCTTTCACCTCGTACCCTTTTAATTGAGGATATCAAAGTGTGTTATGTAAATAATATCAAAGAAGAGGACTGCTACTATTTAACACTGTCTAATATTGTGTTTCGGATAAACCATCAAATAAAAATTGCATATTATCTTTATACAGTGGTTCTTCCCAAACACAACCACACTAAATAAAAAATACAGTAACTAATTCTCAAATTCTAACAATAGTTGGCCTATGTCATGAGAAAGAAAGAAAATATTTTTTTCTAAAATACTTGGTATTAGTAAATCTCTAAAGAATCAGTTGAACCCTCGGAAATTAGGCAGGGTATTAAAATACTAAATTTACATTTCTGGCAACCCCCCATCTAATAATTCATCCTACAGAAAGAATTGCTTATGTACCTGTATATCTAGAGCCAACAATGCTCCCTACAGCATTGCTAGTAATACCAAAAATTTAGACACAGCCTAAAAATCCATCAGGACTGAAAGACCCAAGAAGGTGTGACATATACATATAACATATCCTTTGTAATCATTAAAAGAATAATTTTTAATGGAAAAATATCTACATGAAATAAAAAATGTCAGTTGAAGACCAATATATTGATCATGACTGAGTGTTGGAGGGAAATTTTTAAAAATATATGGAGGGAGTGGGAGGTGCTTTAATATTTTATGATTTTAGAATTATAATGGTAATATGTATTTTTTGAAATGTTCAAAAATATAAAGCAACAAAGGAAACTGTAGGAATGATTTTGTTTATATGATCTATTCCTTTTTTATAATTTACCAATATATGTGTATTTTTCTTCAACTTTTACTTTAAGTTCTGGTGTACATGTGCAGGATGTGCAGGTTTGTTACATAGGTAAATGTATGCCATGGTGGTTTGCTACATAGATCATCCCATCACCTAGGTATTAAGCCCAGAATCCATAAGCTATTCTTCTTGATGCTATCCCTTCCCCCATGGCACCAACTTACAGGCCCTAGTGTGTGTGTTGTTCCCCACAACCACGTGCCCATGCATTCTCATCATTCAGCTCCCACTTATAAGTGAGAACATGTGGTGTCTGATTTTCTGTTGCATTAGTTTGCTGAAGATAATGGCTTCCAATTCCATCCATGTCCCTGCAAAAGACATGGTCTCATTCCTTTTTATGGCTGCATAGTATTCCATGGTGTATGTGTACCACATTTTCTTTATCCAGTCTATTATTGATGGGCATTTAGGTTGATTCCATGTCTTTGCTATTGTGAATAGTGCTGCAATGAACATACACATGCAGGTATCTTTATAACAGAATGATTTCTATTCCTTTGGGTATATATCTAGTAATGGCATTGCTGGGTCAAATGGTATTTCTGCCTCTGCATCTCTGAGGAACTGCACGCTGTCTTCCACAATGGTTGAACTAATTTACACTCCCACCAACAAGAAAAAGGAAAATGAACAAGAAAAAGGAAAAGCATTCCTTTTTCTCTGCAACCTTAACCAGCATCTGTTGTTTTGTGACTTTTTAATAATAGCTGTTCTGACTGGCATGATACGGTATCTCACTGTGGTTTTGATTTGCATTTCCCTAATGATCAGTGATATGGAGCTTTTTTTCGTATTTGTTGGCCACATGTATGTCTTCTTTTGAGAAGTGTCCATTTATGTCCTTTGTCCACTTTTTAACAGGGTTGTTTAGGTTTTTTCTTGTAAATTTGTTTAAGTTCCTTTTAGACTCTGGATATTAGACCTCAGATGGATAGATTGCAAAAATCTTCTCCATTCTTTAGGCTGTCTGTTCACTCTCATTATAGTTTATTTGGCTGTGCAGAAGCTCTTTAGTTTAATTAGATCGCATTTGTCAATTTTTGCTTTTCTTGCAATTGCTTTTGGCCTTTTCATCATGAAATCTTTGCCCATGCCTATGTCCTGAATGGTGTTTCCTAGATTTTCTTCTAGGATTTTTATAGTTCTGGGTTTTATATTTAAGTCTTTAATCCATCTTACATTAATTTTTGTACATGTTGTAAGGAAGGGGTCCAATTTCAATTTTCTGCATATGGCTCGCCAGTTGTCCCAGCACCATTTATTAAATAGAAAGTCCTTTCCCCATTGCTTGTTTTTGTCAGATTTGCTGAAGATCAGATGGTTGTAGATGTGTGATCTTATTTCTGAGTTATCTATTCTCTTCCATTGGTCTGTGTGTCTGTTCTTGTACCAGCACCATGCTGTTTTGGTTACTGTAGCCTTGCAGTATAGTTTGAAGTTGGGTAGCATGATGCCTCCAGCTTTGTTCTTTTTGTTTAGGATTCTCTTGGCTATTCAGCCTCTTTTTTGGTTCCACATAAATTTTTAAATCATTTTGTCTAATTCTGTGAAGAATGTCAATGGTAGTTTAATGAGAATAGCATTGAATGTATAAACTACTTTGGGCAGTATGGCCATTTTCACAATACTGATTTTTCTTATACATAAGCATGAAATATTTTTCCATTTGTGCCCTCTCTGATTTCTTTGAGCAGTGGTTTGTAGCTCTCCTTGAAGAGGTTCTTCACTTCCCTAGTTAGCTGTATTCTTAGATATTTTATTCTCTTCATGGTAATTGTGAATGGAAGTACATTCATGATTTGGCTCCCTGCTTGCCTGTTGTTGGTGTTAGGAATACAAGAGATTTTTGCACATTGATTTTGTATCCTGAGACTTTGCTGAAGTTGCTTATCAGCTTAAGAAGCTTTTGGGCTGAGATGATGGGGTTTTCTAGATATAAGATCATGTTATCTGCAAAAAAAGATAATTTGACTCCTCTCTTCCTATTTGAATACCCTTTATTTCTTTCTCTTGCCTGATCTCCCTGGCCAGAACTTCCAATATTATGTTGAATAGGACTGGTGAGAGAGGGTATCCCTGTCTTTTGCCAGTTTTCAAGGGGAATGCTTCCAGCTTTTGCCCATTCAGTATGATACTGGCTGTGAGTCTGTCATATATGGCTCTTAATATTTTGAGGTATGTTCTTTCAATACCTAGTTTACTGAGAGTTTTTAACATGAAGGCATGTTGAATTTTATCAAATCTATTGGGATAATCATGTGGTTTTTGTCTTTAGTTCTGTTTATATGATGAGTCACATTTATTGATTTGCATATGTTGAACCAATCTTGCATCCCAGGGATGAAGCCAACTTGATCGTGGTGGATAAGCTTTTTGATGTGCTGCTGAATTCAATTTGTAGTATTTCATTGAAGATTTTTGTATCGATGCTCATCAAGGATATTGGCCTGAAGTTTTTTTTTGTTGTTGTATCTCTGCCAAGTTTTGGTATTAGGATAATGCTAGCCTCACAGAATGAGTCAGAGAGGAGTCCCTTCTTTTCAATTGTTTGGAATAGTTTCAGTAGAAATGGTCCCAGGTCTTCAGTGTACGTCTGGTAGAATTCAGCTGTGAATCTGGATGATCCTGGGCTTTTTTTGGTTGGTAGGCTATTTGCTACTGTCTCAATTTCAGAATTTGTTACTGGTCTATTTAGGGACTCAATTTCTTCCTGGTTCAGTCTTGGAAGGGTGTATGTGTCCAGGAATTTATCCATTTCTTCTAGATTTTCTAGTTTATGTGTGTAGAGGTGTTTATAGTATTCTCTGATGGTTGTTTGTATTTCTTGGGGTCAGTGGTAATACCCCCCTTATTTCTGATCGTGTTCATTGGATTCTTCTTTTCTTCTTTATTAGTCTAGCTAGTAGTCTATGTATTTTTTAATTTTTTCAAAAAAAACTCCTGGATTTGTTTATTTTTTGAAGAGTTTTTTGTGTCTCTATCTCCTCCAGTTCAGCTCTGATTTTGGTTATATCTTGTCTTTTGCTAGATTTCGAGTTTGTTTGTTCTTGGTTCTCTAGTTCTTTTAATTGAGATGTTAGGTTGTTAAGATCTTTCTAGCTTTTTGATGTGGGCATTCAATGCTATAAATTTCTCTCTTAACTCTGCTTTAGCTGCATCCCAGAGATTCTGGTATGTTGTCTCTGTTCTCATTAGTTTCCAATAACTTCTTGATTTCTACTTTAATTTCATTATTCACCCCAGAGTCATTTAGGAGCAGATTATTCCATTTCCATGTAGTTGTGTGGTTTATGAGTGAATTTCTTAATCTTGAGTTCTAATTTCATTGCACTGTGGTCTGAGAGACTGTTGTAATTTCAGTTCCTCTGCATTTGCTTAGGAGTGTTTTATTTCCGATTATGTGATCAATTTTAGAGTAAATGTCATGTGGCAATGAGAAGAATGTATATTCTGTTGTTTTTGGGTGGAGAGTTCTGTAGATATCTATCCACTTGACCCAGACCTGAGTTCAGGTCCTGAATATATTTTTAATTTTCTGTCTCAATGATCTGTCTAATATTGTCAGTGGGGCATTAAAATCTCCCACTATTATTTTATGGGAGTCTAAGTCTCTTTGTAAGTATCTAAGAATTTGCTTTATGAATCTGGGTGCTCCTATATTGGGTGCATATCTGTGTGGGATAGTTAGCTCTTCTTATTTAATTCAACCTTTTACCATTATGTTATGCTCTTCTTTGTCTGTTTTGATTTTTGTTGGTTTAAAGTCTGTTTTGTCAGCAACTAGGATTGCAACCCCTGCTTTTCTATGATTTGCCAATATATACATATTTTAATCAAAATTAAATTTTATGACACATATTAATCTGACATTTGATTTTAAGCTTAATACATATAAGCTTAAATATGTAATATTTTAATAGTAATCTTTTAATAGTCACATAACAGTTTATAGTATGAATGTATGAAAACATATTCAACTTGTTTCCTTTTGATGAATAGCTAGCTTGCTTCCTTTTTTGGCTTTATAATCATATGTGATATTTTAAGATAAAGATATGAATATGAATACCAAATAGATAGTAATCTTTGTGAGGGTAGAGGGATGTACAGGAACTCTGACATTTCATTTCTTTTATAATACCAAAAAGGCATGGAATTCGGAATGGTATTTCCTTACTTTTCTGTATTTTCCTGATACTTTAAATTTGAACCCACTTTGAACCCCCTTTCACTAGGAAAGTGTTTAAGATTGAATCCACTGCCAGTGTTTCCCTCTAAGTTTCATCCAAGGCATTTGGCATATGGTATTTGGCTTCTAGCATCCTTCCCACGTGAACAGTCAGCTCACAGAAAGGAGTCCAAGTAAGAAGGGGGTGTGAGGCTCTAAACTGGAAATGTTGAAAGAAGACAGTGGAAGCAAATTAATTTTAAAACAGATTAACACTAGTTTAGGATAGTCTAACAGTATGGTGTTTGCTATAGACTGAATGTTTATGTCCCCCCAGAATCCATATGTTGAAAGCTAATCTCCAATGTCATGGATTTGGAGGTGAGGCCTTTGAGGTACGATTAGAGCATAGAAGTGAAGCCTTCATGAATGGGATTAGTGACCTGATAAAAGAGACCCCAGAGGGCTTCTTTGCCCCCTCTTGCCATGTAAGGACACAGAGAGAAGGCCGCGGCTGGTAAACCAGAAAGAGGATCCTCACCAGACATTGCATCTACCTGGTATCTTCTTCCTGAACTTTCCAGCTTCCAGAACTGTCAGAAATAAATTCCTGCTGCTTATAAGCCACCCTGTCTATTGTATTCTGCTATAGCAGCGCAAACGGAGTAGGGCCGTGTTTATATCTTAAAATGGAAAGTGAGAGGTCAAGCCCAACATGCTTCTATATGGAGAAATATCGCTGGTGCCATAAGTAACAGGCAGACAGTAACATGAATGAGTAAATGAGTGAGGGAGTGAGTAAATGAGTGAGGGAGTGAGTGAATGAGTTGAAGAACTGAAAGAATGGGAAGAGGCCTTTATCATTGATGAGTCTGTTGAACCTTCTCAATAACCTAGAATAAATTTGCCTCCCTAAGTTCATCTTGGAGTTTATCACACACTGAAAAAGTCAGAGCTGCAATAACAAAGAGCAGAACTGATAATTTTCAGAAACTGGTCCCAGACTTTCCATTCTGTGAACCTGAGTCATTTCCACAGTGGGCAAGTCAGTCACAAATCCCCAGTGAATCTCAGCAGGATTGCCCTATGTAACCTGTGAGATGGGTTCCTAAAATTTTGAGAGGTGAAAAATCCTTGAGAGCTCTTGGGATGGTCAAGATGATGGAGAGAAACGAACATAAATCAGAGTGGTCTGCCTTCTCGGGCAACTCTGCCAGGAGCAGCTGCAGATGAATGAGAGCAGCTGCTCCAATTCAACTTCTTGGGGTTGCATCAGGGATGCTGAAGCACAAATGATCACAGGGCAGTGAGCAGGAAGCCACGGCATGGTGGGATGGAAGAGATGACGTGCAAAATCACTGAGAGACAGGACAGCAGTGTCAATGGTTATAGATGATTGGGGCAGGGAATAAAGGCATTTGATGAAATCAGCGCAGTTACATAAAAAGGAAGTGGAATGCAGAAGGGATAGTAGCTAGAAAGCATTAAAACCTTTGATCAGAAATTTCAACTGGATGTGAGGAGTACCTGAATAAGAAAAATACATTTCCCCTTTACCCCCTCTAATCATTTCACAGGGCATCAAGGCATTAAAATGCAGTTATCTGGTGTGATTCATTACAAAAAGTTTCATTGGTGTCAGATCAATTCATTTTTTAAAAGACATTAAAAGGAGGATTTAGGGGATAGAATAATTTTTTATAGCCACTGCAATGTATCAAAGTAGTCAGCAATATGCAGGTGTTAATCTTGGAGTGCTTATTTTAAAACAGATCTATATTAAGATGGTTTGGATATTCAAACTCATCACAATTTTAATTTTGACTAAATGTTTCATTTTATTTCACGATATGCAAATTCTTAATTTTAAGGGCCCAGTTCCTTTGAAACAAGCAACCAGTATTTGCCACAAATAATCCATTTCATATATACACACACATACAGGATACAAACAAGTATTTTCTACACTTGCAACACTAACAAGTTCAATGACTATATAGATGGAAATCTATTTTATATTGAAAAATGTAATGAAACTGTGCTACTCTTAGTACCTAATAAATATTAAATACCCATCCTCATCAATTTCACGAAAACGTATTCATATAATTCTCACATGGTACTTGCTGAACGTTCTAAAAGCAGGGGATACAGAGAATCTTCAGCTCATTCTTTAGAATTCTTCTAGGCAGATTTAAAGCTTACACTCTAAGAAGAGTGCTAACACCACATATTATATGGTTCTTAGAGCCATATACCTTGAGCACTGGAAGGAATCCAATTCAACAGGAATGAAATTTTAATGTAACATTATTCATGCAATGGCAGAAAACATAACTCTCCATGAAAAATAATGAATTTTTACTTTCGATATCAATTTTTTAATGTTGCTATTTTGTTAAATTTTTTGTGTAAAGACCAATATTAGTCACAGAAACCTGGGGTGGAAGATATCATTATCCCAACTGGCCTAATCTAGGATGGCTTCCTCCACGCAAGGAATTTAGAAATTTGAAATGGAAGCTAATTGGAAAGCAGATCAGCTCTCATCTGAAATTCTGATGATGCCATTTTGCAGGCCAAGCTTCCTTGGAGGCAAGGAATTTCACCACTTAAATCAGGCCCCAAATCGATCCGTCTATTTAGCCCCTATCGTCAGAAATTCTGAGACATGCCAGAGCTCAGAGTGAAACAGGTGCATCTGCATATAGCTGTCTGCGGGATGCACACCCACTCCCATGCACAGCTGGGATGTAGTAATAGATGCCTGGCAGGCTGTCGTTTATCAACTGTGTCTCTAATCTCAGAGATAACCAGGCAGAATACCATGGCCACCTGCCATGAACTCACAGCCGTAAGTTTTCTAGCCTGGGCTCTGTCCTGACAGGCCCAAGGGTGGCACTAGAGCACACACAAAAATGGGATGGTGGGATCAGGCTAGGAATGAAGGAGGGTTACAGTCCAGAGGCAAAGTAGGATCATGTATTAAAGAAAAGCTAAAGTGAGAGGAATTTGAAATGAGAGGCATTCTGAATACGATGTAAGGTATATTCTGTAGCCATCCACTCAAAAGTATAGCTGGGCATTGTTCTAGGTACCTGAGATACATTAGCGAGCAAAACAAAAATTCTTGCCCTCAAGTAGTTTGGGGGAAGATATCCAAAAGCAACAGATATAACAAATGGGAAAAAATAATATAGTTATAAAATGTGCCAAAATGAAATACTACAGCAGAGTAAGGAGGACTAGGTATGCCATGGTCTGGGGAGAGAAGAGGAAAGATGGCCAAGTTGCAACTTTAGATAGTATAGCCAAGGTATGCTTTATAAGAGTGCAATATTGGAGCACAAAGAGGACTTAAGGGAATTAACCATGTAAAATACCTAAGAGAGGAGCCTTCCAGGCAGAGGGAACTGCCAGTGCAAAGTCCTAAGGCAGGAGAATGCCAGGCCTGTCAAAATAGGAAAGATGATCAAGTCAAGAAAGTAGGGGAGAGTGATAAGAGATAAGTTCCAAAAAATAAGGGAGTTGAATCATGTGGGCCTCGAGAGCCATTGCAGGGTATGAGATTTTACTGTGAGTGAAATGGGCAGCCATTGCAGAGTTGACTATTAGAATTCCAATGGTTAAGCCCACTTTTTGGTTCCACCTCCAACTATGCCAGACATTTTTGAAATATTGGGGCACACAGCTGAATGATCTTTGCAAATTTCAGTTCTGATACTTTATCGTAAGGGAAGTTCATTTTAAGTGTTTGTTTAGAACTAAGTATGGCCTATAGTTCTTGAAGACATTCTATTTGGAGACTCGAAACATGGATGTAATTCATTTTCAGTGTCAGAAATATTTTTCCGCTCCTGAAAAGAGTCTAGAAGTCGGCTACCAAGGCTGGTGGCTACTCTGAGGAAGTTTAATTTTAATCTTATTCTCATTTGGCCTGCTAGAAAGCTATATAAAAAAAAAAATATGAGCCAGAATCTGCACATCCTTTGACTATGACACTAGCTAAGAGGCATTCCTAGGCTTTTCTCTAGCCAAAAAATGAATAAAATTGTAAAAGGGTTGTTTCTTGGTAGGCCTATCTTGTACAATTCAAGTCAAAATTTAAAATAAAGTATGTTACAATTTGCCAGAGCCTCGGCTTTGTCTTAGAATAATAGTCTAGATTTTAAAATTAAAAATGCAATGAAATACACAGAAGCAATGCAGAAATCAGAACCCCCAAAAAATCAATAGATATTTAATGGTCCTCATTTCTTTATAGCTAATACTCAGTTATTAAAATGAATTTAATGCTGAGTAGGCACTTGGCTACATAATAGCCTGCTAAGTTTCATCCAGCAAGTTTATAATTAATTTTTAAATTAATATAATTGAAGTCCTAGGGATAAATAAGTAACTATCAAGACGTACTCTGTGGTTGCTCCTTTTTAAAGTAAAGTAATCTAATATCATATATACAAAATCTCACCTTCACCATAATTGTTCCACAATGTACACGGAGAATACAATTGCATGTTGCCAAAGCCCTATTTTAACTCCATAAAGCACATTCACTTATATATTGTTAGTGTTTAGATGTTAATATGGTTTGGCTGTGTCCCCACTCAAATCTCAACTTGAATTGTAGCTCCCAGAATTCTCACATGTTGTGGGAGGGATCTAGGAGGAGGTAACTGCATCATGGGGACCAGTCTTTTCCACGCTATTCTCATGACAGTGAATAAGTCTCACGAGATCTGATGGGTTTATCAGGGGTTTCAGCTTTTGCTTCTCTCTCATTTTCTCTTGCCAACACCATGATTCTGAGGCCTCCCCAGGTATGTGGACCTGTAAATCTAATTAAACCTCTTTTTCTTCTAAGTCTTGGGTATGTCTTTATCAGCAGCATGAAAACAGACTAATACAGTAAATTGGTACCAGGAGAGTGGGGCATTGCTGAAAATACATCCAAAAATGTGGAAGCAACTTTGTAGCTGGATAACAGGCAGAGGTTGGAACAGTTTAGAGATCAGAAGGAGATACAAAAATGTGGGAAAGTGTGGAACTTCCTAGAAACTTGTTGAATGGCTTTGCCAAAATGCTGATAGCAATATGGACAATAAGGCCCAGGCTGAGTTGGTCTCAGATGGAGATGAGGAACTTGTTGGGAACTGCAGTAAAGGTGACTCTTGTTATGTTTTAGCAAAGAGACTGCCAGCATTTTGCCCCTGCCCTAGAGATTTATAAAACTTTGAACTCGAGAAAGATAATTTAGGGTAGCTGGCAGAAGAAATTTCTAAGTAGCAAAGCATTCAAGAGATGACTTGGGTACTGTTAAAGGCATTTAGTTTTATAAGGGCAGCAGAGCATAAAAGTTTGGAAAATTTGCAGCCTGACTATGTGATAGAAAAGAAAAACCCATTTTCTGGGGAGAAATTCAAGCCAGCTACAGAAACCTGCCTAAGTAGCAAGGAGCTTATTGTTAATCCCGAAGATCAGGGAGGAAATGACTCCAGGCCACATCAGAGACCTTCATGGCAGCCCCTCCCATCACAGGCCCAGAGGCCCAGGAGGAAAAAGCGGTTTCGTGGGCCAGGCCCAGGGTCCCCACACTATGTACAGCCCAGGCACTTGGTGCCCTGTGTCCCAGCCGTTCCAGCCATGCTGAAAGGGACTAACATGTAGCTCAGGCTGTGGCTTCAGAGGGTGTAAGCCCCGAGCCTTGGCAGCTTCCACATGGTGTTGAGCTTGTGGGTGCACAGAAGTCAAGAATTGAGGTTTGGGAACCTCTGCCTAGATTTCAGAAGATGTATGGAAGTACCTGGATGCCCAGGCAAAAGTCTGCTCCAGGGACAGGGCCCTCACAGAGAACCTCTGTTAGGCCAGTGCAGAAGAGAAATGTGGGGTCAGAGCGCCCACACAGAGTCCCTACTGGGGCACTGCCCAGTGGAGCTGTGAGAAGAGGGCCACTGTCCTCCAGTCCCCAGAATGGTAGATCCACCACGCACCTGGAAAAGCCACAGACACAAAACCCCAGCCCATGAAAGCTGGAGATCATTTAGAGCTTTAAAATTTGACTGCCCCACTGGATTTCAGACTTGCGTGGGCCCTGTAACCCCTTTGTTTTGGCCAATTTCTCCCATTTGGAAGGCTGTATTTACCTAACACCTGTACCCTCATTGTATCTAGGAAGTAGCTAGCTTGCTTCTGATTTTACAGGCTCATAGGCAGAAGGGACTTGCCTTGTCTCAGATGAGACTTTGGACTATGGACTTTTGTGTTAATGCCAAAATGAGTTAAGACTTTGGGGGACTGTTGGGAAGGCATGATTGGTTTTGAAATATGATGACATGAGATTTGGAGGGACCAGGGGCAGAATGATATGTTTTGGCTGTCCCCATTCAAATCTCAACTTGAATTGTAGCTCCCAGAATTCCCACATGTTGTGGGAGGGACCCAGGGGAAGGTAACTGCATCATGGGGGCCTGTCTTTCCTGTGCTATTCTCACGATAGTGATTAAGTCCCACAAGATCTGATGGGTTTATCAGGGGTTTCTGCTTTTGCTTCTCTCTCATTTTCTCTTGCCACTGCTATGATTCTGAGGCCTCCCCAGCCATGTGGAACTGTAAGTCCAATTAAACCTCTTTTTCTTCCCAGTCTCGGGTATGTCTTTATCAGCAGCATGAAAATGGACTAATACAGATGTACTTTGGCCCTAAAAGCTAAAGAAATTTCTATCATCTAACTATCAAATACATTTCAATCACTTGTCATGTCATTGACAATGAGCCAGTCCTCTGTGAATCACATAGATCCATCTAGAGGTCACACAGAGAAAGAATGGCAGAGCCAGAAATATAAACCACAGGATGGTGCAGAAACACTGGTAAGAAAGTTGCATTTTGGAGTAAGGAAGGCACTTCCTAACTCTGAAAAACAAAGGCTGTGAGTGGATCAGCAGATGCCATGGATGCAGCTGCAGCTGAATAAATCTCTCTGCCCTATGGCAATATCAGTAGCTAAATAGTGGGGTCTTGTAACAAAGAAAGAGAAGGACAGAAACCAACTATGTCACTGGTGAGTCTCTTCAGAAAGGTCCCTCCGTGGTTGCTGCTGCCCACCTAGCACAGCTCTCCCTCCAGTGACATCAGCATGCTGCAGGTGAGCTCTGCACACCCATGTCTTCTTAAGCCCCTGCTCTGAGCTACAGAAACAGTTACCAAAGTCACAGTCATCATCAGCATGCTCCTCAAAGCACAGCAAAGCATTCACTGGTCCCATGGCCTTGAGAAGTTACTCATTCTCTCTATGCTGTTTTGTATCAACTGTCCAAAAGAAGACTCAATACCCACGGTATAGGGCTGTTGTGGGGATTTCTGTCAACACAGTACCTTTCCCCTCCTGTCTGATTTACCTTTCAAAAAGTAGAGAGCAGAGGAGACATTCTCGGGGGAGACACTTAGGAGATGCCCGTCAAAATCCCAACAGACTATACACATGGGTTACAATCCAAGTAGGCGAGGCCAAGAGGATCAGACCAGCTACGAAACTGAAGCAACAAGGATGGCAGAGACCAGATAAGAAGATAGATTTGAGTAGGAGGGTAGAAGGTGGACGCCAGGAATCCTACGGGCTACCAGCGGTGGCTGCCTCAGCCGGTGGCAGAGAGAAAGCAGTTGATGTGCGGACCCAGTGTGACATTTCATACTAAATCACTCTTCACTTTCACTCACATCTGTGCTCTCAGGAACATACTGTAAGAGTACAAAATGATGCCTTACACTTGAGGAAAAAGCACACAAGTAAAAGCAGATCTAAAATAGAAAGAAATTGTTTGGTTCCTGGGATTTATGAACTCAAGCCTACTCTTAAGAGCAGAAAAAAAATGTTTTAAACTAACATTTATCGAGCGCATATTTTACTACATGCCAGGTACTGTTCAAGATGCTCTGGGTGCTTTATTTCATTTACTCACATAATAACTTTATGTGAGAGATATAAGAATATCCCGGTTTGGCAAACAAGGGAACTAAGGCACAAAGGGCTCTGAATTACTTTCTGCCATCTGTGAACACTTGGAGTGAATGAGAGTAGATGATAATTGACGGAAATAGCCAAGCAATGCGTCTCAGGTACTGGCTCTACAGCAAATGCTTGCTACTGAGTGCATGGTGTCGGCTACCAAGCTGAAGAGCTCACTCCCATCCTTATAACCCTAAAAGACAAAGTGCAGAGTGATCACCCAGGGCCATGTTTACATCAAGCAATAGAGTCCCACACATAGCTGTTGTTTGCAGTTATTCACGACGAGGTTGTAATTCTTTCCTGACAGAATTTATGCACACACTTGAAGATATGTAGGGCTGTGAAGAAGGATTAAGCATGCCACTGGGACCGCACTTATGCACAGAGATGAGAAGATGCTCTGGAAAGGATAAAATATTTCTGCAAAGAGTGTTTTTTTAAAAACCGTCGAAGCTATACAGTAGTTCCTTTTATCAAGCAAAAGCTCAAAGATGGCATTAAAGATTTTCTCTGTTATTCATTGCTACTTTCAGGAAGCAGGGAAGTCTGCAAAAAAACATGTTCCATCTTCCAATTTGACATCCTCAAATAATATAATTTCCTATGTGGGTCTGTTAATGCTATTTTTGTTTCCCGTTTTAGTTTTGACATTTTAAAAAAGAAAATCCTTGAAACTAGCAGACAAATCTTGAACTAGTAACAGTGAAAGCATCATTTTCCCCCCAACATATTGCTCTCTTGAAGGAGTAATGGTTTTATATCTGAAATCAATGAAGTTGCATTTTAAAATAACCATTAAAAATAATATTCACATTAATTCCATGAGCAGCACATGACCTCTAAGTCTAATCAATAACAAAATGTTAATTAAAGTTTGGAAATGGGATCAATTTACCTAATAGAAATGATAGATAACTGTTATAAGAAAGGCTAAAGGGAATTAAAAGAAATAAGAGGAACATAACAATGTGAGTCTAAAGAAGTCAAACTAATAGGAACAGAGTAGAACAGTGGTTGCCAGAGGCTTGGGGGTGAGTGAAATGGATGGCGGGGGCTTGTGGGGGAGGTGGGATTTGGTCAAAGAATACAAACTTTCAGTTACAAGATGAATAAGTTCTGGAGATCAAATGTACAGTATGGTAACTATAATTAGTAGTAATGTATACTTGAAATTTGCTAAAGTACCCTCTACTCCACACACAAAAAATAGTAACTATGTGAGGTGGCAGATGTGTTAATTAGTTTGATGATGATAATCACCTCACAATGTAGATGTATATCAAGATATCACATCATATATCTTAAACATATATAATTTTGTCAATTACACTCCAATAAAGCTGGGAGAAAATAATTTTTTTAATTAAAAAAAAATGAATTTTCTGGGTACCAAGATAAGTCTAGAAAATAGAGACCTCCATACTTCCCTGAATTTATAATTGACGATAATTTATCTAAAGGGATTATGTTTAAAAATTCAGAGGCCAGAGCTAAATATCTTCAAATGCACTCTATTTCACATATGGCTCTTTGGTTTAGCTTCCTGGCAATCAGGTTTAGGCAGACACAATGCATTTCCTACAAGCAGATTTTTGTATCCTCCTGGTTTCCCAATATTGTATATACAATGAAATGAGGATGCCAGAAAAACAGCTGCAATATGTGGAATGGCGGCAAATAAGGGAGACGAGGGCTTTGAGAATGGGCAGGGGAAAATGTCTACTCACAGGATTACTGTGCAGATTAAAAGAGAATTCCACA
Organism: Homo sapiens; assembly: GCF_000001405.40. Classification (NCBI taxonomy): domain Eukaryota; kingdom Metazoa; phylum Chordata; class Mammalia; order Primates; family Hominidae; genus Homo; species Homo sapiens. The sequence continues at coordinate 96,194,049 of NC_000013.11, read as the reverse complement.
AAGCTCAGATCACAAACGCTTAGCCCATTGTAAACGTCCAATAACTCATGTCTGTTGTTATTATTACTGAAAAGCAGCAGAATTCTTCCTAGAATGCACATCTGGAAGCTTCCTGGGTTCCTCAAGGAATTCCAGTTAATGAAGTAGCAGATTACCCAAAGTATTAATTAGCTCTGGTGGCCTGAAAGAGTTGATTCAATTTACAAAATAAAAAGATGGCTAGAAAGGGGCTTAATGAAATCCCATAAGAAACTTCACTACTCCTCTTTCTAAATGCCCTGCACGTTTATGCAATGTACATTCAAATATTATCAAAGCAACTGCCAACTCTTAAGACATAGGCTAGATCATTATTGTTTTCAGCCTACCTCTCGCTTTCTTTTTCTCCTCTCAGATTTCTTTTTAAAATCTGTAACATCTGCTCCAGTTTTGAAGAGTGTGCCCATAATCAGTATCACCCTAAATATTTAAGACATATCCACAACACAGTCTCTGACCTGTTTAAATTGATCGCTGTCTGAGAGTCCGGCATTTTTTTATCCCTAGCCTCCCCCAGCATGTTTCACAGCTCTCTTAGAGAGCTTATACCAAAGTTCCCTTCACTTTTCTTTTCCTCTGCCTTTACTCAACCACTTCTTCCCCATTTTAGTTATCTACACTACCTTAATGACATCCCCAAGTAATACGGAATCAAGTACGCAGTGGGAGCTGAAAGTGCGGATGGAATGGAATTGAACTGTCAAGCCATGTTCCTTCCTATTTCGTTCGGCTTTGAGAAGATGATGCTACTCCAGCAATAAAAACATGAGTGGTTTTGTTCAGGAACAAGATAGAGGTGGGAAAATCCCCTGGATTTAGCAGATCCCACCTAAAACCTAAGCAAAGAGATCTCTGAGCTTCAGCAACCTTGATTTCTCTCATCTCTCTTTGGACAGAAACCTGGAGCCAATGCCATCAGAAGGATGAGAGGAAGTGCTAGAGACAGGACTAGCATCAAGGAAGTCATGGACTTGGCAGCTCTGCAATTTGCCGAGAGAGGAACAGCAGCAATCAGGGAGGCTGACAGACAGTCCAAGATCTCTCAGAAGACTCTTGACTGCAATAATACTTCTCAGAGAGCTCAGAAAAACTTTTTCCTTCAACCCGTCCTTATATTGCACCATTTTTCACTTTTTCCCAAGTTTATACTCATTCTAATTTAATATATTTCTATATTAATTTACTATCCATCATGTCTTTTAAAAATTTTCATATTTGATCCAATAATCCCATTATTGAGTATCTACCCAAAGTAGAATAAACCTTTATATGAAAAAGACACTAGTACACATATATTCATCGCAGCACTGTTCACAACAGCCAAGTCATGGAACCAACCTGGAACCAACCTAAATGTCTATTAGTGGTTGACTGGATAAAGAAAATGTGATATATATATATATATATATCCATCCCATGGAATATACACAGCCATAAAAAAAAGAGTGAAAAACAGAAAACCAAATAACACAAGTTCTCACTTAAAAGGGGGAGCTAAACAATGGGTACACATGGACACAAAGATGGAAATAATAGACACAGGGGACCCCAAAAGCGGGGAGGGTGGCAGGGGCACAAAGGTTGAAAAAGCGTCTATTGGATACAATGTTCACTATTTCAGTAATGGGTACACTAGAAGTCCATCCCCACCAGCATGAAATATATCCATGTAACAAACATGCACATGTACCCATTGAATCTAAAATAAAGTAAAATAAGTATAATAGAAAAAAATTATCATATTTGGTCAACATATATCTTGAAAATATTCATATCTGAATTTGAGTACCACTAATAATAGTAATAATATTTGCCAGTCACTTTTCTAAGCACTTTTGTTATCTCCTTTAATCCTTACAGCAATCCTGCAAGGATTAGTAATTTGCCCAAGACCATAATTAGTAAATGCCAGGGTCAGATTTGAACCCAGGTCTCTGGCTCCTGAGTATGCACTGGGTAAATTACTTGGCCAAAGTCTTGCAGTGAGTAACAAGAGTCAAACTCTGGGGTTGTGTGGCTCAATGTTCTCTCCACTGCACTAAGCTGCCTATGCTCTCTGACTCGAAAGAATGCTCTTTTTCTTTCCATATGCCTGACTCTACTTAGGTTTCAAGAAACAGCTTATATTATATCCTGCCACTTTACTTAATTCAGCTAGCTTTTATACAGCATATTTTATTTACAAAGCACTGGTTGACTCATAGAGAAAAAGATCCTCTTTCTTCACATCTTTGGCCATTTGAATTACATGTATATATTCATTTGATTGACAAAAATTTTTAAACATCCACTAGTACTAGGGCACCGTTTCAGGCCTTTCAGATAGGAGAGTAAATAAGACAAACAGCTCACACCGTGATGGGAAAGACAGATAAGTAAAATATGGAGTGATGTTAAAATAGGAAGGAACAACACGAGAGGCAGTAAGTGCACATAAGAGAGGCAATTAACTCAGACTGGGTTGCTAGGGAAGAAAAACACTACTTGTGTCTAGGCCTTGAAGGAGTAATTGAAGTTATCCAGGTGCAGGAATGGAGAAGAAACAGAATGCACAAAAATTAAGCACTCCTAGTCATAAAAGTGAGAGAGACTGTGATACATTCAAAGAACTACAAGGACTGTAGCACAGTAGGACTGTGTTCTTGTGTGTATACGCAGCAAAGATGAGAGAGGTTGGAGCACAAGGGAATTGGAAGCACTGAATGTCTTTACGCTGGAATGGACTTGATCAAAGTTGCATTTTAGAAAGGTCATTCTGGCAGTGAGGTAGAGACCAGGTTGGAAGCAGGCAAGTCTAGAGGCAGAAAAAACAGTCAGAAGCTGCCATGAATGGTGATGGCATGGACTGAGGAAGTAGCAGTGATAATGTAGAGAGGTGGGTAAAACTGAGAAGTTTTTGGAAACAGAAAGTCACAGATTAATTAGACATAAGAATGGCGAAGAAACAGGAACCAAGAATGATGACCAGGCTTCTGGCTTGATGATGGAGCCACACGAACAGCTTCTCATCACACTTGAACCACATTGATTGCGGCCTTCATAGCCTATCATGTCTGGGTCCTGGCCACCTCTCCAATCCCATCTAGCCTTGTGTCACTCAGCCCCACTGGCCCTCTTCAAGCATGCCCCACCTTCTGGCATTTTCACCAGATGCTCCCTGTACCTGAAGTAGAGTTTCTCCAGGTCTTCACATTCCTGGTTTCTCCTTTCCATTCAGGTCCATACTGAAATGCCACCTCTCCTCACGAGGCCTGCCCTAACTATCCTATCTGTTATTTTATTTTTATTTCCCTGTATTCTCACTCACTATCTGTATTTAGTTCCTTTATTATTTGGTACCTGCTTAGTGCTGTCTCCCAACCTTCAAAATGTAAGCTTTAGGAAAGCAAGAAGCTTGTTTTGTTCATTGCTTTATCTCCAACACCTTGAGCAGCACCTAGCATAGGGTAAGGAGTCAGTAAATATTTGTTGAATGCCATGAATGAATGAATGAATGAATGAATAACTGATTGCATGAGCAAGTGGGGACCTCATTGGGAGAGTAGTTTGGGGAGGTGCAAGGAGTTTGATTTCAATATGAGGTACTAGAGAGGTATAAACCAATAAAAGTACATGTATCCATGTAGAAGATAGTTAATACGCAGCTCAGGACAGAGTCTGTGCCCGAGAATGGGTTCAGTCACCACCATACAGATGGTAACTGAAGCCAAGGGACTGAAGGAGAATGCCCAGGCAGAGACCCAATAAGAACGCAAAGGAGCTGGCACCTAGAACAGTACCTACAACACAGTAAACACTTCTAAGTATTTATTGTACAAATTAACAAATGAATGGATGGATATGTCGTAGTCACTTGCAAATACATATGATCCTATCAAACACTATATAAGCTTCCATTGGACATCAACTGTGGGCCATTTATCTTTTTAACATTTACAGCCTACTACATGGTTCAATAAATGCCAGGTGAGGGAATTTATAATATATTATGAATTTTTACCATCTTATTTCTTCCCTAACATGTAGGTGGATTCAGAAGATCTGAGTCAATGTGGGGTGGGCTGCACTACCGCTCACAAATATCTACTCTCCTGTCCCTGCCCTACCTCCACCCTGTGGAATTGGCCGTGTGATTGGTTTCAACCAAAGCCCTGTGAGCAAACATGATGCACCAGCTTTAAATCTGATCATGTAGTTGATTTAGTCTCTTGGGTTCACGCCCACTGCAATGAGAGGTCCCAGACAGGAGTGGCTCCTTTCAGTCTAGGTTCCAGAAATGTCTGACCCACAGTCATCCCGCAGCCTGGGCAAAAGCCACAGCCAATCCACAGCCACAAGTAACATGAGCAAGAAGCAATTTTTCTCTGGTGTAAGCCACTGGGATTTGACAGTTATTACTGCAGCAAATGTTGACTGATTCTTGGACCCCCAGAAGACACTAAATGCTTCTGGAATGGTAAGACGAAAGTGCATACCTCAAGATGAGGACCTCACAGACAAATTCCATGTCAAATAACTCTGTCGAGAGATAGCCCTACATCCTAGATCCATGCTAGAGGGAAGTCCCAGCCAAGAGAATGTCATTTTTACCTTACCTAGTGACAAGTGTCCAACTGAAAATTAATGGTTGGATAACACAGGAACTTAGATTCATTATTAAATGTAATTTAATTTGAATCTGCTATTGTTGACTCTGTTACAACCCCCATGACTTATTTCCCCATCCTGTATTCGGCCCCCACTCACGAACTCTGTTTTAAGTTTTTAAGACTACAGTTCACAAGCTTCTCTGAAAGAAAACTCAATAAAACTATAAATAAAAAGAGCATTAAAATTAAAATAATAATAAAAATAATCAATTTTCATTTATTTTAGTCTTATAATTCCTATAGATTTAATCAAGTCATGAAATTTTATTTATAGAAAATTATAGATGAAGAAAAATGAACTGAAATGTATTTTCCATTCTTGCTTAATTAAAATAATTCCCCCAAATAAAACAGTATAAATACCTGGATTTAATACCATATTCGTGCTAGCCATAGCTACATATTTTCTATGATGTGACAATATTGTTCTTAATATTTCTGTCAAAAATTAAATACGAAATAGTATATTGGGAAAAAGCTTGTATACCAGCATACAATTAACCTAGATACTCATATTCACATCTTTCAGCCAACTCTTCTAATTATGGACAATAAATATCCCCAATGCAATCATCTGATAATAATAACAATTACACATTAATAACTATATTACACATTAATAACTATAATGACAAACAAAATTCAAAGAAAATGGGTTAAAAATTACTCTGCAATGATTCCCAGTTTATAAGAAAAGAGAAATGCCATTTTGAGGACTCACATGCCAAGCACCATCCAAGGCACTTTCTATATATTCCCCTCCATTAACAATAAATGTCTAAGTGAGGAAGCATATATATTATCTCTGTTTTACTGATGGGGAAAATGACTCAAAAAGATTAAGTTGATCAAGATTTTACTTACTTTTCTAGAAAGTTTACTCTAATTTGTTTGTTTGTTTGTTTTTGTAGCGATGGGGGGGTCTCACGATGTTGCTCAGGCCGATCTTGAACTCCTGGCCTCAAGAGATTCTCCAGCTTTGGCCTACCAAAGTGCTGGGATTACAGGCATAAGCCACCATGCCCAGCCTGATTTTGAAACAAAAACAATGTTACATATAAATTAAAATTAAGACTAATATTCAACTTTATCTAAAAATCACTATAAACATCATACTTACTAAACTATAGCCAATACACCTACATATCATACTATGTCAAGTTCTCTCATGTTTGTTAAATGAAACACAGTACTTTACAGTAAACCTCACTTGTGATAGTATTTAAGTGACACCCCAGGGATGTGGGCCAGAAACAACACTCCCATGACCTGGTGCTATAGGGGGAAGAGGAACACACCAGAAAATAAACATATGTCTGTTTTGTATACCAGTATACCCTAGGTAATTATGCATATAACCAGCACCACTCTACAAATGACATGATTAGAACTTGAATGGCTAACATTTGACAAGTGCCAGAAGAGGACCAACATAGACACCAATCTCCTCTTAAGGAGATTCATTTAAAGGCATTCATTGTCAATGGAGAGAAGGAAGTTATCACTGAATTCTACCACTTGGGTAGCAAGTTCTCGGACAGCTGCTGGCCAGATAAAGAAGTTGCTAGCCAAGTCAGCAGGAGGGCAGGTAGAATGGAACACCAACACGGCATTGGCTGGCCAATCAAAGGGTGGTTCCTCGTGTCGAGTCCATGACATGTCAGGATGTTTAGGATCTGCCATAAATAATACATTTAGAGTCTTGAAAATTGGCCATAGAGTCACTGAGTCACACTTTACCAGCAGTCTACAGCCAATATTCAAGTGCCAGAACCTATTCTATAACCTAATATGAAGCCACGGGGCACTGCAGTCACATCAAGTAAAATACAGGCTTTGGAGTCATAGAGCCCTGGGCTCTAAACTGGCTCTGCCACTGACTAACTGGGAAACCTGGGGCAAACTGCTTCATATTCTAAGTCTCAATATCCTCATCTGTAAAATGAGAATAATGCCTTACCTTCCTGGCAACAAAATAAATGCAATAGCATAGGCAGGACGCATGGCACCTAGCAAGTCCTCAGTAAATGGCAGCTATCTGTTGTTAATTATTTGATCAGCTTGGAAGTGGTATTCTCAGCTGTAAAGGTATTCTTAACCAGATGTGGGACAGATATATGGTATCACAAAAGTTGCTGCAAAGTGAACAGAATGCAGACAAGTACCAAAAGTTTTACAAAGGCACACTAAAGCCCAGACTCAAAGAGTGTTCTTTTTACCTGCAAAATGCTGAGAAGCAGCCCTGCCAGTACCAAAGTAGAGGACATGTGTTTGGTGCCTCAGTTGTGGCAACAGTACTGGACAGATTGTGAAAATGAAAGCCTGGGCCCCCAGTAAATCAGGTCTGATCACAGCTAAGAGAGTCCTGAGCCATAAACCAAGAAACAGTTTTCATAGCAAATTACACTGCAGAAACTGTTAATCATACAGTGGCCTCTTCAATCACATCTGCCCTTGAGGCTAGCATCATCACTGGTGGCACCTGAAGGACAATAAAATAAATGCTCCATCAGGCCATTGTGAATAAAGGTGAAAAACCCATGCTGAGAGTTATGAGTACTCACACACAGAGCTAAGAACAGCAAAAGAGACTTATCCATCAGAGAGTCTGATTAGAAACGGATATGTGAAGGAACATTCAGGGGAAAAATGTCATAGGCTCCCTCTGAGAAGCATTCTATACAATTGCCCACAGAGTCAAAAATAATAGAAAATGGTGACCCTGATGTACACAATTTACTTGGATTTTCAAATATCTTTAGATGAGGCTTTAAGTCCTGGGGTGTTTTACACCCACACACAAAGGTCTCCTTAGTGGAAAGGCATCCACACATTACTTTGAATCACATCAAACTTTCAAGACCCATCCACAGAACAAACACTGAGTGCATAATAATGTAAAGTCAGAGTTTAAACTTGTGTCATAAGTCTCAGCAGGAGAAAGGATACCAGTGGCAGATTAAAGAAAGATTCAATCATATGCAGTCTCTTCCAGAATTTCTGCCAGTAGAGGAGACCTGGTAAGGCAAATGCTAATGAAATCCCAAGAGCTCCACCTTTCTCAGGCTGAACTGTAGATGAGGGAGCATGTATTCTTTGTGCTCTGAGCCATCTCTCCTTTCTTCTTTCATTTTTCACAAAAGGAAAACACTTTGCAAAACCTCGTCTGTTTTCATGCATATACGAATGGTGATGCCTTAAGAAAAATAGCCAGCTTGCTCATTTTCAGGGAAAAAAAATTATATATATGTTTATAATGTACATATACACGCATATACACATATATGCATATAAATGTATTTACATACATATGCATGCATATATATAGTTTATATCCACACATACATACATACACTCAGATCCATGCATACACATAAACATACAGTATATAACTTTATTTAGACCTACTCCACTTTTTTTAGCACCTCAGCACAATTTGGGAGGAGCAGATAGGTTCTGTACATGCGAATAAACGTTTCCCATTGCAAATATCCTATGGTAAATGGTCTCCCATTACCAAACGCATGACCACCTAAGGCAAGCAAACACAGAGTGAAATTCCGAACGTTGAAGTATTTCAAGTACCTTTATTTTCTCTCTCTCTAAATTCAAGTAAAATATAAAATTTTGGAATTGAACCATTGCCACTGAAAAACATGATGTGGAATGTATATGTTTGTGTGTTTTGGTATATCAGCCAAGCATTTAGACAATTAATAACAGGAGAAAATGCAGTAAACTTATATAGGTATAAACTCGTCTTGATCAAAAACCACAATGATAAGAGTGTGTGTTTTCATAGCACTTCAGAATGTTTGAAATGGTCTCTGCCCTCAGCTGTGGCACAGTGAGGAGGCAGCATTGTGCACAAGACAGAATAACAAGTGTGCAGCCAATGGGCCTTGGCTGGGGCCTCACCCTGCCACTCATTAGACGTTGGAAATGAAGTTTCTCTTCTTTAAAGGGCAGATAGTCATACCTACTTCACTTGGTCGCTATGAGGCATAAATAAGAAAGCATCTTATAAATGTTAAAGCACTCTACAAACAATAAGGAGAAAAACAAAGTCTTTATAACTACTCCAAAGTAGATGGGACAAGTGTTATTACCTCAATTTCACAGAAAAACTCAATACAGCTATGTGATGGACAAACTTAGTATTCTGTAACATCCAAATTGGTAAATGGCTGACTCTAGATTGCTTCTTTTACAGCACAATTTCTCATTTTTATTATGAGTTACTAAGATCATATATTTTAAATACCTTTGGAACAAACTACAAATACACAATTTCTTCAGATCTGTGTTTTTACAATGTCATGATGAATTCTGTAGTATGTCTAAGACTCTTAGAGAAATTATTTGTAAATTGTGAAAATGAGAAAAGTTAAATAGATATATATTTTCAGTCAATTCACTGAATATCTACCATGTTCACTACCTTGTGCCAGGGCCCTGGCGGGATAGCAGGGAAGATGATGAGATCCTTACCCTCGTGGAATTTGTATTCCCCTAGAGAAGAAAATCAATAATCAATCAAACAAGAAAAGGACATAATATGGTAAGTGTGCTATAGAATATAAATGGGGGTTGAGATTGAAAATAACTGAGGCTGGGGTGGGGGCAGGGAGGAAGGACATGTTAAAACAGAGGGCAAGAGAGGCCATATTTGAGACAGGACTTTTACAGGAAGTCCTGAAAGATGAGGGGGCCTGTCTAGTGCAATATGGAGGAAGAACATTTCAAGCAGAAAGAGAACCAGGAGAAAAGCTAGAAAGGACATGATTGAAGAACAGGCAGGTCATTGCCGCAGGGGAAAGCGCATGGCCTAGGGCCACTGTGGTAGAGACTGAGAGCAATGGATGGAGTAGAGATACATTCTGGGGGTAAAGTCACCAAGACGCAGGGATGGATTGGATGTGTGGGAAGAGAGAAAAGGATGCAAACTTTACATTCGAGTAGCTGAATGTTTTGTAAGTAATAATTAGAAAAGGTGAGATAATTGAGTTAGCGAGGAAAAAATTCCAAGTACAACAGATAGCATGACAAAAGAAGACTTAAAAAAATTTTTTTTAATTGTGGTAAAATACACATAGATAAATCTTACCATCTTAACTATTCTATTTCTCTCTCTCTCTCTTTTTTTTTTTTTTTTTTTTTTGGAGACAGAGTCTCGCTCTATTGCCAGGCTGGATGGCAGTGGTGCGATCTTGGCTCATTGCAACCTCCCCCTGCCAGGTTCAAACGATTCTCCCACCTCAGCCTCCCGAGTAGCTGAGACTACAGGCATGCACCACCACGTCCAGCTAATTTTTGTATTTTTAGTAGAGACAGGGTTTTACCATGTTGGCCAGGATGGTCTCCATCTCTTGACCTCATGATCCGCCCACCTCAGCCTCCCAAAGTGCTGGGATGACAGGCGTGAGCCACCATGCCTGGCCCATCTTAACCGTTTCTAAGTGTAAAAAATTCAGTGTCATTAATTACATTTGCATTGTTATGTATCCATCACCACCATTTATCTCCAGAACTCTCTTCATCTTGCAAAACTGAAACTTCATACCCGTTAAACACTAACTCCCCATTCTCCCTTCCCCCGGGTCCTGGAAACCACTGTTTTCTGTCTCCATGAATTTGACTATTCCAGGTACCTCATACAAGTGGAATCATTCGGTATCTGTCTTTTTGTAACTGGCTTATTTCATTCAGCATAATGTGCTCAAGGTTCATCCATACTGTAGCACAGGTAAGAACTTCCTTTAGAAGGAGATATTTTTTATGATGTGGTCATGGACAGAGTAATGGAACCCACAACAACATCTATCTGGGCCTCAAATTGAAAGGGAAAGAGTAGATGTTTTATGATAGGGTTATAATTAGAAGGGGGTGGGGGATAATTTATAACTCTTAAGTACTGGAAAGAAGAGTTGAAAAACATCTCCAGGTGCCCACAGCAATTTCCCCTAAGGCACACTGAACAAAATGAAGATCATCCCAAACTTTCTTCCACCTCGAGCATCTAAGTCTCTCCAGGTGTGGGACCCTAGTGGAAATCAACGTTTCAATTCAGTTCAGCCTCTCTTACCAAACATGAAGGTATACCTCTTAGATAACAGTAAAGGAGAAGAAAAATCAACTTTTATACGAGACTTCCCCCCCGCCAAAAAAAAGCTTTAACATAGCACTCTGTAATTTCCAAGCTTATATTTTCAATTCAGTCATTTTTCCAAGAAAATGGAGGTTATGAAAATGATTGTTATTATCCACAACATTTGGTAACAGAAAAACAACAGGGCCATGTCCCATGTTAGTTTCTACTGCCATCTAGAATCAGCTCTCAAACAATTTCTATCACTTCTTTAATTCACCCAGGAGGAGGCTACTGACAATAGCTGTCCTCCACAAAATGGAAATCCTTAATCTCCAAATACTTGGACAAAGAAAGAAATTGCAGAAGACTTTGAAAAGGAAGCTAACAGTTTAGATGTGAGTGACTAGGCTATTTTTCTGATATTTTATTTCACTTGATTCCTAATCTCACAGAGGTCTTTAGTTCAGAAGAGAGGCTTCAGAAATAAGAAGGTGAGACCAGGACATCATTTTGCAACTAAGTATTAGTACAAGGAATTTTGTTAAGGATTTTATTTGCTTATTCACAACAGGTATATTACATTTGATGCTATGTCTGCTGCCAATTGCAAAGAATGCTATGCCTTTGTTCATAACAGGTACTGAACAAGAAGAAAAGGCAAAGTAACGACAATATAGTTATTTTTAATCTGCAGCAGATACAACATCAAATGTAGTATAATTAAACTAAAATAAAATCAATACTCCTCTTCATTAACATTCTACTTCACAAACTTAAGAATATTACCCATGAATATCTAATTGCAGTTTTCCCTCATGAAGTTCTATTTTGAAACCTCTGTCAAACTGAAATTGAGCTCCCTGATCACATTAGTGAGCAGAGTTATTTTAGGAATAAAAGATTCTTGTCTTAAATCATTAAGACATCGCCTTTATGGCCCAGCATACTTTTAGCAACTGCTGGAATCACTGTGCCCCAAAAGTCAAAATGAATTGCAGGGTTCAATATTATTTTAGCAAAAGTCAAGGGTTAACAATATGGCAAAGTCTCAGAAACTCAAATTAATGTAAGAGAGGACTTTACAGAAAGTGCTATTTTGGGAATGTTTTATATGAACAGCCTGGTCTAGTCTCAAGAGGCGTGGACCAATAGTCACGAACTCTGATGTTCTGATTCCTTTGCCAACTAGTTACATCATTTCATGAGTCCCTGAACTTTTTCGAGGCTGTCATTTCTCATCTGACAAATTTCTTCTTCTAACTTACGGAGCAGATAAAACAAAACAGGGTAGGTGAATAGGCTTTTAAAGCCAGAAATTACTAAACCTCTAAGGTATTATTAAGTAAAGCTAACTACTGCGTAAAAATCATCAAGTAAATATTCTACAATATCCTGCAGTGGGGGGAGAAAAAAAAGATAAATTGCAACAAACCAGGACAGAGGTGCGGATATAAATTAAAACGCTCTTTTTAGTTTAGAGAAACAGCTTTGAAGGGCGGGGGTTCTAGCCAACTCCCAAATACGCTCAATCTAAAAGATCTCAAGAGGGTGGATTCTGTTTTAGGAGCATGTTGGGCAGTCACAGAGTTCTGAAATGGCAGCAAGCATCCTCCATCCTAGGATCAGCCTTCCGAGTCGAATGTGCCTCCTGCGCACCTCTAAGACAGAGACCCCAGCAAGAGCTCTGAAAAGCAGACCATCTGCAACTCCACCAGGCCAGGGCCCTGAGAGGCCTGCAGCACAGCTAGAGACCCAGGAAACTGCTGGCCACTGAGCTCAAACGAGGCAGAAAAAACCTCTCCTTTCCTCAGGAAAATATTCAGAGAAAAGTTTTTCCAGTCATTGCTAACTACGATAAATGCATTTGACATTTTAAGAGCACGACGCAATAGCAAAAACATGTCAATGTAAATGACTCGCAATAGGAAATATCAATGTGTATACATTTGAAGACCCATTGCTCCTTTTTTGAGGAAATGTGCCTCTGAAGTTTCTCACAGTTGAAAGTTTGGGGGAAAAAAAGGTCTGTAATATACCATGAAATTTTGAGTAGGAATAATTTTTATAATCTAGTACCAAATATCCTAGAAGATAAAATTGCTAAATTTGATTATATTGAGTAACTTATGTAATAAGATAAAGTATTTCTCTACTACATGCAGAGTAAAATTGAACAACTTAAATTAGTCAGCCACTACTGTTCACTAAATAACCAATGCATGTGATAACAGAACATTAATATTATTACCTTAAGCAGAATGTTATTTTATAAAAATTAAGTATGTTGTGGCAAATTAACTCTCCATAACTCCATACCAATGTAGTCAAACATTCTTATTCCCTATGCCTCTTTATAAGTTATCCACATTAATAAAGAAAAAAAGGAGAAGGAAAGAGGGGAGGAAGGAAAGGATGGATGGATGATGTTTGTTACTTTAATACAATTGTCTTTGGTTCAAATCTCAGACTCACCACTTGGTAGCTATGAACAACTTATTTAATGGCTTTAAGCCTCAGACTCTTAATCTGCTCTAAAATAGAAATAGCAAAGGTACCTGCCTCATAGAATTGTTGTGAGAACTAAATAAGTTATTCCATATACAACACTTGCCTCAGTGCCAGGTACATATAAGTACTCAATCATTCTTATTGTTTTGATGTCAAAATTAATTAATTAAACAATTAATCTCACTGTTTGCAAGATTCTTTTGATATCATTAAAAACGCTGAAAAGTTTAATAAATATTTATTAGCCCTTCCTTATTTATTTTGCTGTCTTTCTAGCAAAAATCTCTAAAGTTTTATGAATAAAAGCTTTTTTTCTTTTCGAAAGCAACAAGAACAACAAAAACTTGGAATTGAGGTGGAAGATTTCTAACAATAATTCCTAGGATCAGAGAAGAAAGAGAGATGTAATTTTCATTCTCTTCCTGGTAGGAAAAACTGGCTAATATGGAGGAAGGGATCAAGCTACAGGCTCAGAGAGCAAAAGTGTAGCTTTAGGCATTTGGTCATCTGTTTTAGAGCCCCTGACTAATGCACATGAGTTTAGTTGGTTGGCGTGTGTGTGTGTGTGCGTGTGTATGTCCGCATAGTTGGGAAATCACACAATTGCATCCTAAAAGCAGGAAACACAGGCTGGGTGCGGTGGGTCACGCCTGTAATCCCAACACTTTGGGAGGCTGAGGCGGGTGGATCACTTGAGGTCAGGAGTTTGAGACCAGCCTGGCCAACAAGGCGAAACCCCATCTCTACCACAAAACACAAAAGTTAGCTGGGTGTGGTGGTGCATGCCCAGCTGTAGTCCCAGTTACTCGGTAGGCTGAGGCAGGAAAATCGCTTGAACCTGGGAGGCAGAGGTTGCAGTGAGCCAAGATCCTGCCACTGCACTCTAGCCTGGTTGACAGAGTGAGACGCCATCTCTAAATAAATAAATAGAATAAAATAAAATAGCAGGAAATACAAAACATAAGTAAAGATATGAAAGGTGGGAAAAAATTACATAATAAATGATTGCTATTCCTAATCTAATGGAAGAGATAGACTCATAAGTATAATCCAAGACAGACTGTAGTGAGGAGTGTTTTAGAGATGCTAAGTAACAGGTGATAATATGCAAGAGACTGACTTAGTAATAGTCTCCCGCATGTTGGCCCAAAAGGAGAAGAAGAGGCCGTGAATGATCTTTGCAAGACTATTAACTCTGTGAATGCAGGAACTACATTTATCTTGTTCCCCACAGTGGGCCCAGCACAGAGCTTCGTAGATTCCAGGCACTGATAAATACATGGTGAATGGACGAGTAAATAAATGAATGACTCCAAGGTGATGAGCTCAAGGAGTGAAAAGATGGCATTATCAGAAACTTCAGTGGGGATTATAAAGATAATGCTGGTTTGCAGCTAAGAGACTAAAAAGGATAGCGTTTAGTTACTGATGCAGGGAGTTTGCTGATGTTTTTGCTGATGGTCAATAGTGACCTTCAGGAATGCAGTCCTATTACTGTGGTAACAGAACCTATATTAAATGGGGTCCCATCTGTTAAAAATATAGTCTGGATTTCTTTTTTTGAAGGTACCTTGGCCATGGCACACTCACACTCAACTCTCTTTTCTACCCACTATTTTGAGAGATATTCATCATTTAACTTTATACCAACCACTTCAGCATTTTACTACTTAGTGGAGTCTGGTATTTCCCAGTCTAAAAATTTCACTGTTCCAACCTGGTTCCCGATTACTTATTTAAAATTCTGAGATGCTCTGTGTTGTTTTAGTAAATGTTAGTGTTTGTGTTAGTAAATCTCTCCATTTCTTAGTATTTGGCCCAATGCCAATGTAATTCAGGTTTTGAAAATATTCTTTTATATAAAACCTGGTCAATAACTTTCAGTAATCTAAATGAAAGATCCAGCTTTCATTTTAATTTCATCAGATATGTGCTCAATGGGGCAGTGGTGTCTGTGCCCAGGGGGTGATTCCAGCCTTCCCTATTCTTTACTCCCCATCTATGAAGAAACATTCCTGTCTCCCAAAGAGCAAGGACAAAGCCATCCTATGGGCATCTGATAGGAATGATGCTTAGAAACAGAGAGATTCACTCCAACCTAAGAGATCTCAGGTAGAAAGTATCCCCAGTGCACCACAGAATGGTAATCAGGCTAACTTACAGAAAGGCTTTTTTAAGAACACTTCTCACCCTCACAGCTAGACAGACAACCAAGACATTTGCCCCAAGAGGAAGCATGAGATCTACACTGCAAAAAATTTACCAGCACAGTGTATAGTTCCAGGGTAGAAGTTGGTCCCTGAAAAGTGAAGCCCTCCTTCTTTTGGCATTTGAAAAAGCAGTGCATACCTCAAACACCCTCAAGTGAAGTTGGCCAGTTTAAAGTCCCCACCAATCAACATGGAGCCCAAAGTCAGCCCTCATCACAGAGAAGAAGGCCCACTGAATCGCCAAAGAAATCCATTCTTGCTACTCAATTTTAACCCAAACTAGTTTTTTATTTTGTATTATTTTATACTTATAAAAATATTCCAAACATATAAAAGGTTCAAAAGGATAATATAATATACTCCCATGTATCCAATATTCAGCCTCAGAAGTATTAATTCGTGGCCAATCTTGTACCCTATCCACCTCAACTTATTTCCTCAACCCACATAATTGTTTAGAAATTCCCAGATACCAAAACACTCCATCAGTAAACATATAGTTATACATCTCTAAAAGATAAGGCCTCCCCTTTGCAATGATAACCACAATACCTAAATCACAGTCCTCCCCAAATCAAAAATTTCTTGATATCATCACTCAGTGTTGAATTGTCCTATAAATGATCATTTTAAAACCACAATTGTTTATTTGAATTGGGTTCCAAAACAAGGAGCATACATTATGACTGGTTGATAAGTCTCTTGGTTTCTTATACTGTACAGATTTCCTTTCTGTATCTTTTTATTTTTTTAATTTTATTTATTTATTTATTTTTAACTTTTATTTTAGGTTCGGGGGTAGGTATGTGTCATGCAGGTTTGTTGCACATATTATTAATATTCCATCACCCAGGTATTAAGCCCAGTACCCAACAGTTATATTCTCCGATCCTCTCCCTCCTCCCACCCTCCCTACAAAACAAGACCCCCATATCTGTTGTTTCCTTCTTTGGGTTCATATCATTCTTATTATTTAGCTTATCATTCAGTTCTTATCATTTAGATAAGAACATGCAGTATTTGGTTTTCTGTTCCTGCATTAGTTTGCTAAGGATAATGGCCTCTAGCTTCATCCACGTTCCCTCAAAGGACATGATCTCATTCTTTATTATGGTGGCATAATATTACATTGTGAATATGTACCACATTTTCCTTATCCAATCTGTCATTGATGGGCATTTAGGTGGATTCCATGTCTTTGCTATTGTGAATAGTGCTGTGATGAACATTTATGTGCATGTGTCTTTATGGTAGAATGATTTACATTAATCTGAGTATATACCCAGTAATGGGACTGCTGGGTTAAATGGCAGTTCTGCTTTTGGCTCTTTGAGGAATCGCCATACTGCTTTCCACAATGGTTGAACTAATTTACACTCACACCAACACTGTAAAAGCATTCCTCTTTTCTCCACAACCTCACCCGCATCTGTTATTTTTCAACTTTTTAATAATAGCCATTCTGACTGGCATGAGATGGTATCTCATTGTGGTTTTGATTTGCATTTCTCTAATGATCAGTGATATTGAGCTTTTTTCATATGCTAGTTGGCCGCGTGTATGTCTTCTTTTCAGAAGTGTCTGCTCATGTCTTTGCCCACTTTTTAACAGGGTTGTTTGTTTTTCTCTTGTAAATTTGTTTAAGTTCTTTATAGATGCTGGATATTAGACCTTTGTCAGATGGATAGTTTGCAAATATTTTCTCCCATTCTGTAGGTTGTCTGTTTACACTGTTGACAGTTTCTTTTGCTGTGCAGAAGCTCTTAAGTGTAATTAGATCCCACTTGTCAATTTTTGCTTTGTTGCAATTGCTTCTTTCCATCTCTTTTTGCTTCCCTGCAATTTAAATTTGTTGAAGAAAACCATTTGTCCCATAGAGTTTCTCAAAGTTTGGATTTTGTGGATTGCCACCTCATGATGTCACAATACATTCCACTATTGTCCATATTTCTTGTATGTGGACAGGTTTGTTGGAAGCATGACCTGATTTGGGTTCAATTTTTTTTTTTTTGGCAAGACCACTTCAAAGATGGTGTATGTACTTCTCTTACAAGGTACCTAAGGTCTGGTTTTCCTTCTTTTTCCAAAGTTAGCAACCATTGATAATCACTGCCTAGAACAAGGTATTCATTAGGGTTCCATCAGAATTATATCCTTATTCTATCATTCCTCCATTTATTATCTAGAATACTTCTATAAACTTCCTCTCATCAAATATTTGATTATCCTTAGGTACTGTTTATATAAGAAACGCATGACACACCTCAGTTCTTTTCCTTTATTAAACAACTTTCAAAAAATGAGTGTTGTATCTTACAGAGGTAATTGATGAGTTGTGTGAGGAAAGGTTGTTTGTTTTTGGTTTTCTTTTTGGTTGAGCAAAGTTATTTGTTTTATTATAAAATCATAGATTTAAATATATTTGGCCAGGAATGGTGCCTCACTCCTGTAATCCCAGCACCTTGAGAGGCGGAGGCAGGTGGATCACCTGAGGTCAGGAGTTCAAGACCAACCTGGCCAACATGGTAAAACCCCGTCTCTACTAAAAATACAAAAAATTAGCCAGGCATGGTGGTGCACACCTGCAGTCCCAGCTACTTGGGAGGCTGAGAATCACTTGAACCCAAAAGGCAGAGGCTGCAGTGAGCTGAGATTGCACCACTGCACGCCAGCCTGGGCAACAGAGCAAGACTCCGTCTCAAAAAGAAAAAAAAAAAGAAAGAATAATTTTAAAACCTAATTCATATCCTCAGAGAGAATCAAGAGGATACTGCAGCCATAAAACAAGAATAAACCGCTTTGAAGATGTGAGAAGTAAGAGAACAAGAGGGGAAATTAGATTTTTTTTTTTTTTTTTTGCCAAATTCACTAGAAAGGCTAGAAGATTAAGTTGAAGTAATTACACAAAACATAAAATAATACACAAAAAGGTTAAAAGTATGTGAGAAAAGTTCATAGGTCTGTGGGATCCATTCAGATCCTGCAACTATCTAATAAGAATTTCAGGGAAAAAAAAGAACAAAAAAAAGGCAGAAATATTTTTTTTAAAAAAACAATCACTTCCCAGGGCTGATGATATTGAACCGAAAGGAACCAGCAAGTGTCAAACAGAAATCCAACCTGACCCAGCCTTGTGAAACTTCACATATCAAAGATAAAGAGAATATTTTAAAATCTTCAAAAGAAAAAAAAAACTGTTACAAAAGGAAAGGAGCTAGGTATCAGACTGCTCACGAACAACATCAGACGATGGGAAAGTGCACACGCTCCCGGGAAAATCAGTTCAAGCCTCTGCATTTCCACTCACCCGAACTTTCATTTCAAATCAAATATTAAATGAGAGGGCAAAATAAAGACATTTACACAAACGTAAGAACATTGGCATGTATCTTATGAGAAAATTACATAAAGGATTTCAAAAAAAGGGAGTATAGGGGATCCAAGAAACGGTAAGACTAATTAAGCAGTCATGAAAAAATTCTAGAATGACAGGCATGCAAACCCAAAAATAATAAATCCAAGAATACATTTCACTTAATAAAAGCCATAATTTTTTAAACTGGAAGATTTAATGGTATGGTAAAGAATGCTTATCTTCATTGTGTCTACAAACCTAAAGCAACACTATTAGAAACACCAGGAAAAACAGAAAGTTGTACCCAAAAGCCATGGCCTAAATTTGGTTCTGAGGAATACACATCTTTTTCAAGAGAGAGAGAAATATCTTTTGACTATAACTAAGAAGTAAGAGATCCATTCTGTAAGACTATATTCTCTGAAGGTCCAATCATACAGTGGATTCTACAGTAAATAATATTTATTTGATCATAATATTGTAAATGTTCCTTATTGGTTTTCAGTTTTTAAGCATTTAAACATAGTTTAGAAAAGAATTTAAATATATAAATCCTGATAATATGAGCAATTGAACTAAAAATGGGGAGAGAGAAAGTTGTATATAGGTATACATTTAAAGTTAGGAACCCCAACCAAAGATCCAAAAATAATATATCTACTATACCAGGCATGGTGGCATGTACCTGAAATGCCAGGTTACTTGGGAGACTGAAGTGGGAGAATTGCTTGGGCCCAGGAGTTTAAAGCCAGCCTGGGTGACATAGTAAGACCCCATCTCAATAAATAAATTAATTAAATACCTAAAAAATTTGGAGGGAAGAGGGAAAGATGTGTGAGATAAATTCCTCTTTCATGATAGGGATTCAAGAGATATTATCTGAAGTTGAAAAATCAGGGGATAAACATATAACGCATTATATAGAATATTATAAACATATAGGCAGAAAAATCTGGAAGTGATTGCCTCTGAGGAGTGGAGCTGGCATCGGGAAGCTGTATAGTCTTTATGTAATGCCATTCTGTATGCTTAGAATTTTTTCATAATAGTTGCATTGGAAATAAAATATGAGAATGAATAAAATGATGATTAGCTAGTATTTACATGCTTTCACTTATAACCTGTTTCCCAGAGCACCAAGGAACTGACAACTGTTCCTATCTGTTAAAAGCCTTCCAAAAGTAGTATTAACAGGTGATAATTTACTTTGATGCCCAAAACACAGTGTGACAAGTATGGTTTACCTACAGATTACACATGCCCTTTGGAGCTAACTCAGCCTCCTTCTGTCCATCACTCTCTTGCTCTCTTTGCCATGTAACTAACCATAATAATACAAATACATTACTATCCACACACACACACACACACAAAGAGAAATTAAGGTGCTTAATTTGGAATGCAATCCTCAATTGATTTTTTTTCTTATTTACTAGGCACCAATTAAAATGAAAATGATCTCTCTTTCTTGAACTAAGTAAATATTACTATCCTCTGGACTCCATTTTTTTTTTTTTTTTTTTTTTTTACAACCTGTGACTCTGCCTATTCAAAGAAGTCTGCTATAGCAGGTAAGTCTTGTTTGTCCTCAAAGAAATGATTTCACTTGATTACACTAGGCAATGTTTGCTTGAGTATTCGATGATTCCACCTCTCTTATAATAGGTTTTATCTCCTTGGTAAGTACGTAAATGAGACTGATCTTTCTGTAGCTCTCAAGCTCTTTATAGATGGGAGTTAATGGTAGAAATTCTCAGATGCTCAGACACAATGACATATCAATTCACACACTTAGAAAAATATGTTAATAATTTTATCCTTGAATTAGTTCAAGACTTTTGAGTAGCACCAATTCCTTGTTAGGGCAACTTGAATCCTAGGAAGGATCTTTGCTAATGGTGCTATCATGAACAAGTCACTTAATCTCTGGGAGACTCAGTTTCTTCTTCTGTAAAATGATGATAATCACACCTAGTTTACAGAGATACATCCCTGACTATCTAAAATGACATATTTATCATTCTCTTTCTCTTTTATCTGATTTATTTTCTTCATCACAGCACATATATCTATCAGCAATGACTCTGTATATCTATTCTTTTCTTTGTTTGTTGCCTGTCTCCAACACTAGATTGTACATTTCTTGAGAATAGGGTTCTACCTACTTTGTTCACATCTTTATCTGCAGCCCTTAAAACAAAATTTGGCAAATAGCAGCTGCTCAATCCATTTTCTTGAATGCATGCTTGAATGAAGAGTACTGCTGATAGGATTTAAATGAGATAACATGTAAAATTCTTGGCACTTTGGCAAAAAGCAGGCACCTACTGAGAGATAAGTATTATTATTTTTCTGTGTCTATTACATTAATACTTTTCACTATTTGCTCAATATTAAAAGACAATGTAAGCAACACCTTTAGAGGTTAAGATAAAGAATTTGTTGTGTTCTTCTGCTTTCTCCTTTTCATCCCTAACTATATCAGATCTTTTCTAACACGAGAAATAAGATGCACCTGAGCCACTTGTGGACTGAACTCTACAGTGACTGTTTTAAGGAAGTTTGGAAAATACTTATAATAGCAATTGTAAATAATAATTTATTTACAATTAAAGTGTTACACTGATAAAGTGTTACTATGTTCCTAGTACAAAGAAATAGCAAATGTTTGTTATAAAATCAAGATAGTATATCTGTTCAGAGTAAGTAACAGGAAAGTAATAAGAGGACCCAATGCTAAGTGGATTCATTAGTGATTCTCAAACTGTACACTTTAAGCCACTATGGTGAACTCACAGGGCTTTTTAATTTCTGAAGAAAGCACAGCCCTATCTGACAGACACTGCAGAAGTTACTACCTCAAGATGGTTCATGGTTTCAACACTGGACTGCATGATATACCCTTTGATGATGTCATTGCCTTGCAAAGCTGGGTTTTGGCAGTTGAAGTGATAAAAGGCAAGTATCCACATGAAGATCACTGTGGAATGAAAAATGAGGTTGAGGGCGTCCAATATGATTTCAAAGTTTGTGAGGCTGTGCAGGACTCAACAAGTACACATATTTCATTTGTGAGTAATTGTAGTTATTTATGAATTAAATACAAATATTTTTTCTTTCAATCTATGTCTATTAATTTCTCAAACAGCCATAATTATTAGAACATGAGGTTTGTGAAGTTGTGCAGGGCTCAAAAAGAAACCATATTCCCTTAGTAAGTAATTGTAGTTATTTATGAATTAAATATAAATATTTTTTCTTTCAATCTATGTCTATTAATTTCTCAAACAGCCATAATTATTAGAACACGAGGTTTGTGAAGTTGTGCAGGGCTCAACAAGAAACCATATTCCCTTAGTAAGTAATTGTAGTTATTTATGAATTAAATATAAATATTTTTTCTTTCAATCTATGTCTATTAATTTCTCAAACAGCTATAATTGCTAGGACATAACTACTCATTAAGTGCTTTGACCCTAACTACTTAATAAGCAGAACAATTAAATTTATTTGTTGAAATGAATTACTGAGAAACTCAGGGCT
The DNA here is from genome assembly GCF_000001405.40 of Homo sapiens. Lineage (NCBI taxonomy): Eukaryota > Metazoa > Chordata > Mammalia > Primates > Hominidae > Homo > Homo sapiens. Next base: position 96,171,654 of record NC_000013.11, on the reverse strand, counting down.
CCATGAACTGATGAATTCTGAGAACCTCTGCCACAGGAGTTAGAGAAAAACCACAATACTGCATGTTGAGGCCAGAAAACAAAACTTATAATTTGCTACAAAGTTCAAATATAGTATGAGATTGGCTGGGTCCCACTGGGAGAAGAATATTGTCAAAGAAAATATATCCCGATAACCCGAGAGGCCTGAGCAAGCATCCTGGACACCAAATCAAAGAATTCTGCAAAGGAAACTCTGGGAGGGCAATTCCATTCCGTAAGTACAGCCCTGCAGCTGGGCCATGCTTCCCTGTCGCCAAAGAAAGAAAAGACATTTTGACCTGAGAAACCACTCACGCAGGACAGATGCAAGGATGAGGGGTGAGAAAGGGTCGAGGAAGGTGGAAGGAGATGGTTAAAGATAAATGCATGGAAATTCAGAATTTCATGTTCATGGGTACTTTGTTCTCAACCATTCTCTCTAAGGTTTCATATTTTTAAAATAATATTCACCTTTTAATTTAACATCTGAGCATTTCCTATCATAGCTGATTCTAAAATTATGGGATTTTGTGGTCTTCACCAAAAATATAGCTTCAACATTTCTTCATAAAAAGGTATCTAACTAATCTATATGTGGATAAAGTTCCACTTATCAGCATGACCTGAGATTAAATCTTTCCCAAACATTTTTAAAATAATTTCAGTACAATCCAATTGGCCTACGTGCGTGTGTGTGTGTGCGCACGTGCGCGTGTGTTTTAAATAATATAAACCCCTTGATCTGGCATTCCTACTTCCAGAAATTCAATACAGTTTCCTCCACCACGTTTCTGTGCTACATCAAGGCCTCACTTGCTATCAATTGTCCAATTTTTCATTTTGGTTTTTGAGCTTTCACAACCCAATAGCATTTCTACCACTTCCTGTGCCTATCAGTAATGCAGTCAAATGGGTTCACTGTTTTCTCATCTCCATTTTCCTCCTCTGTAGCAATGAGTTCCCCATGACAGTTCCAGTGAGGTCTTTATCAATCTGAGTCCTAAGATTTTCCTTACTCATCAGCTTTTCTCCAGGTGTTAGCTTTTGAAAAAAAAACCCTCTCTCCCACCATTTTTAAACTTCTGGAGATCTGCAGACTTTAGAAAATTGCTTGGCTGCCTCATTGCCCCTGCAGGAAAAGCTCACTAACAGGATCACATGAAATGACTTATTTTTAGGCAAGAGGAAGAGAATGTAAGTAGGCTGTGCTACTCTGACATCAAGTTGCTATTCTCTATTTAAAGTTTTCTCTTCCATTGGCGGCAGCAGCCCAGATTCGAATCCTAGCATGACCACTTATTAACTGCGTCACCTTAAGAAGGACATCAAACTTTCCTGGTTCCTGGTGTCCTTATCTGTAAGATGCTAACAATACCTTCCCCACCTGGTGGTGCAGATTGAATATAAGTGGCTGATGGGAAAGATAGAGCACCCGGTGTCATTTATCCCTCTTCCCCTCTTGTGTTATTTACTCTTGATTGTATTAACTGCTAGTCAATTAAACACTTATATTATCAGTGTGGATTATGTGATGGTCATGAAACAACACAAATGGGAGCACTTTAAAATACAAATCAGGTGGTTTATTTTTATCATAAGCAAGTTCTGATTCTTCTTCCCATCCTTCAACAATATAACAGGCAATAATTCTAACTGGGTTGGTTAATATGGTAAATAAACAAAACAGACTGATTTAAACAAATACCCTTTCTTCTGAGCCATGTTCTCCTCACATCTGTAGCCCCTCACTGTTTAAAAAATTTTATCTTATTTTTGTTTGTTTGTTAAGACACGGGGTCTTGCTATGTTGTCCAGGCGGGAGTGCAGTGGCTATTCACAGGTGTATCCTACTACTGATCAGCACAGGAGTTTTGATCAGCTCCATTTGGCCCCAGGCCATGTCAACCCTTCTTAGGCAACCTGGTGGTCCCTGCTCCCAGGAGGTCATCCTATTGATGCTAAACTTAGTGCGGACACCCGATTGGCACAGCACACTACAGCCCAGAACTCCTGGGCTCATGCGATCCTGCCACCTCAGCCCTCTGAGTAGCTGAGACTACAGGTGCCTGGCTCCCCACACCTTTGAGGGCTCATGGTTGCAAAGACATCAGCAGCAAGCATGCACAGTATTAAAAACGCTCCTGCTGGAGCCTGAAGGCAGCGTGATGGGTTATACACTTGCTCAGGGATCCTTTCCGCTCTGTGATTCCAAACGACTCTGGGATTCTATGCCTCGTAACTCTATCAAGACAACTTCTAACATTCCAATGCTACCAAACAGTTTTCCTATAGCAGTGTTATTTAAATAAGGGACTCTGGTTTACATGGAAAAGGCAGTATTTGCCTCACTCTAATCCAGAATGAGAAAAAAAAAATGCCACACTGGACATGAGAAACTCCCAGTCAAAATCCCATTTCTCTGACCCTCAGTCACCTAATCTGTAAAAGGCGGGCAGAGCTCAGCAAAATCTTCAGTTTCATTTCAACTCTGATATGCTGATTCTAGGATAAGGTTGCAGCCCTTTGCAGTGCTAGGTACAACAGCAGGCCAGAAATAATCATGAGAGGACCATCACCTGTTCAGAAGTGCCCCATGACCATGCCTGTTTCAGCCCTGGTTATCTCTGAGAAAGGGGATGGGGTGGAGAGCAATAATCAGATCGGCTAATAATAACAATCTTCTAACTAGGAAAAAACAAAAATGGGAGAGTGAGATGGGGTGAGGGTTGAAAAATTATCTATTTGGTACAATGTTCACTATTCAGGTGATGGGTGCAGTAGAAGCCCAAACCTCACCATTACCCAACATATCTATGTACCAAATCTGCACATGTACCCTGAGTCTATCATAAAAAATTAAAAAGTAAACATAACAGACATGTATTAGAATCAATAGGTGCTTTCTGCTCTCTATTCTAAAATAGTAATTTTTTTTTTTTTTTGGTCTCACTCTGTCACCAGGCTGGAGGGCAGTAGCATGATCCCGGCTCACTACAGTCTCTACCTGGGGTCTAGCAATCCTCCTGCCTTAGCCTCCTGAGTAGCTGGGACTATAGGTACACACCACCTTCTGGCTAATTTTTTAATTTTTTGTAGAGACGAGGTCTCCCTATGTTGCCCAGGATGCTTTTGAACTCCTAGGCTGAAGGGATCCCCCTGCTCCGGCCACCCAAAGTGCTGGGATTACAGACATGAGCCACTGCACCTGACCTGAAATAGTAATTTTATCTTGGAAGTTACTCTAAGGGAGTATAGGCAACCTATATAAAACAAAAGTAAAATAGTAATTTTAAACAACTGGTCAATGATATGCCTTTGTGTACCAGAAACATTCAGGAAAGGACTCGTGTGTCTTAAAGATAATGATTCTCCCGGGGAGCTCAGACACCAAAACTGCTGGCTCCATAGCCATCCCTCCTTCTAGACAGCACATACATTTCCTCCATACATGCCCTAGAGAGTGGTTAATTAGCACCATCATGGGCCCAAAATAAATAGAGACTAGTTTTCACGGTCTAGAGGCCCAGATTATTTTAATATTCCAAGAGTAACCAAGGCAACTAGAGTTTAAGAAACACAATATTACTGCCAATAAAACTTTCGATTTGTTCAATTTTGTCAGTTATTCTTTGAAACTGAAAAAAATGGTGTTAAGTTTTAATGACACTTGGAAAAATTTTCAGTATTAGCTTCCAGCTTTATAATCTAAGCCCACAGCACAAAAATCTTAATCATCATCCAGCACTTTACACACACATATACAGAGTTTATTTATATATCAGAGATACCACATCTTTAGACATATATTTATAAATAGGCTCAAGGAGAAATTTTCATAGAAATGTTAATGATTTCCATAAAAATTCTCATATACTATATGACACTTGCATATAATATCTTAATTAATCACCTATTCATGAAACACTTGAGTACTTGCACGATTCAGCATGATTAATGCGGCATTAGTGTGAGGACATAGTAAAGATTGTCTAATAAACCTTTCCTCAAGATGCTTCATATTTGCAAAGCACCACGGCTTAGTAAATGACCCAGTGGCCTGACAGATAATGCTCCAATCTGTTCTGCACATGATCTGACCTCTTGCAGCCCTGTTTGACTTAGAGCAGATGAGTTGCATGGGAGATTCTTGGGCGATGAGGAAAGATAAACCAAGAGCACATGGCACTTTGCAGCCCCAAAAAACTAATTCAAAAATAGATGTTTGTCCTTCCTCCTGAACAAACACTGGAATTATGATTGCTGTGGAGAAATAACTCTGGCAGAGGGGAAAAAAAGATGAGTTAAAGATATCTCTTTCTTAATAATGGCTACCATTTATACGTACTTACTGTGTGCCAGCAATGTGTATCTACGAACATTATGATAAATTATCCCAACATCCCTGTAAGATATGCATGAAAATCTCCATTTTTCTGTTTGGAAAACTGGAAATAAGAGAGGTAAGTGTCAGGGATCTGATCGCTAGTCTTTGCAACTTCAAAGACTGCCCCTGTATTATTAGTCTGTTCTCACACTGCTAATAAAGACATACCCAAGACTGGGTAATTTATAAAGGAAAGAGGTTTAATTGACTCCCAGTTCAGCATGACTGGTGAGGCCTCAGGAAACTTACAATCATGTGGGAAGGGAAGCAAACATGTCCTTTTCACATGGCAGCAGCAAGGAGAAGCACTGAGCAAAAGGGGTAAAAGCCCCTTTAAAAAATGATCAGATTTAGTGAGAACTCACTCACTATCATGAGAACAGCATGGCAGAAACCACCCCCATGATTCAGTTACCTCCCACTGGTCCCTGCTATAACACGTGGGGATTATGGGAACTAGGATTCACAGTGAGATTTGGGTGGGGACACAGCCAAACCATATCAGCCCCCTTGCCTCTTCTTTGAAAGAACTAAGTTATGGCAGGGTACAGTGGCTCACGCCTATAATCCCAGCACTTTGGGAGGCCAAGGTGGGCTGATCACTTGAGGTTAGGAGTTTGAGACCAGCCTGGTCAACACAGCAAAACCCTGTCTCTACAAAAAAAAAAAAAAAAAGAAAGAAAGAAAGAAAGAAAAGCAAAAAAGAACCAAGTTATAAAATCTAGACTATATTAAAAGACTATAGACTATATTAAATTCCTAATCAATAGACCTGAGAGGTTTCAAGAGCCACACTCATCCACTCATCCCCATTCTGTGCAAAGGGCTTAGAGGAGAGAGAATGTTCTCCATGTGGTTTTGGTAGCTGAACACTCAGGAATCGGTTAGGCTGTATCAGTGAGCTGATGGGCTACAGTAGGAACCAAGGGGTCAGAGCAGTATGAGAAAGTTTACTTTTCCTTTGGATAAGATCAATTAGCAAATGATTCACCCACACCAACCTCCATCCCAACCCCATTCCAGCTCTTAAAAACTCTCTGTGGCATGTGCCTGTAGCCCCAGATATTCAGGAGGCTGAGGCAGGAGGACTGCTTGAGCCTAAAAGTTCAAGGCCACAGTGAGCTATAATTCTATAATTGCACCACTGCACTCCAGCCTGGGCAACACAGCAAGACTGTCTCAAAAATAAATAAATAAATAAATAAATAAATAAATAAATAAATAAATAACCCCTTCCACCCTTCCATCCTTTGTTTCAGCAAAGTTGAGTTCAGACTGTGTTCTGGTCTCCCTCCCCTAGGGCAACAGCCTTAAATAAAGCCTTCCTTGCTTGTTTAACTTTATCTCATGCAATTTTTGTTGTACCCTGCCAAAACACCGTACCCTGCCATAACTTAGTTCTTTCAATATTCACCACCCCTTCCTAAGGGAGGACCGTATTCTTCACCCCACTGACACAGGTTTGGCTACATACTTGCTCTGATAAATGAAAAGTGAGCAGAAGGGATATGTCTCTTCCAGGCCAGGTGCAAGCTCTGGGACCTAGCCTGTAGTTTGCTTGGTCTCTTTCCCACTACCACAGGTCTCTTTCCCAGACATGACCCACCCACCTAGGTTCACAAGTGATGACAACAGAAGCACAGCCACAGCTGACCCATTTGCACACATGTAGGAGGAACAAGAGCTACTACATCTCTGCAGTTGCAAGCCACTAAGATTTTAGGATCACTTGTTAACACAACATAACCAGCAGTCTTAACCAGTAACACATCCTTTCTGGATTTGGCACTGCAAAAGAGAAGGTCTAGAACACACCAGTTGTCTCCTAGAAGCCTGCCTTCTGTTATTGCTTTTCATAAACTAAGGAGTCCTCCAGGGCAACAGAAGTCCCCCAGGACAAAAGCCCCCAGAGAGAATACAGGGGAAGCCATGGGGCTTCTAAAGTTGCATATGTACTGCACCAAAAGAGGTAAACCTATAGAAAGAAGGAGTCAATTGAGGCCTCCAGACAATCCTAGGTGATGTTTCAAAGACTTGTTTTGGTGTTCTTCAAAATGCTCTGCTCACATTCCCCCTAAAATAACTTTTAAAAAAAGAAAATTATGTAACTCCTTACATATTCTTTGCCACTCCAAATTTTTCATTATAAGTTTTAAAGTTAATTTTTTTGTTAATAAGAGGTATGAAATAGTAAAATATAAGACAAAAAATCAGGTGAGGCTTGACTTTAACTGAAATCAATATTTCATGACATGCTTTGATAAAATGGGTTTTAACTATCTTACTGGAGAACTCCACTGAATCAGAAAGAAAGAATATGAAATATGTATCCGTGGTTTTATCTAATGTATCTTTTAAACTTTGTTAGTCCTGGAAAACACAGCTGTAATTAAAAAAAAAATCTGTATCATTAATCTACATTGCAAGGCCCAGCTTCATCCTAATTAGAAATACATGTAAGACCAGAAAGACAGGAAACCCACAGGTTTCAGTTTCCTTAATTAATCATTAAAGGAGCTAAAACTAATATTTCTAATCATCCCTTTCTTCTGTGCATGGAAAGTTTCTAATCCTAGGGCAAAGGTACCATATTAACACTTCAGATAGGTGAAGAGGAATGTGTGGAGCAGACACTTTCTCAGGCAATTTTAAAAAGAAATAAATGTAAAAGTTGATAATCTTTTTTTTTTTTTTCAGGCAGGGTCTCATTCTGTCTCCCAGGCTAGAGTGCAGTGGTGGGATCATAGCAAACTGCAGCCTCAAACTCCTGGGCTCAAGCAATACTCCTGCGTCAGCCTCCCGAGTAGCTAGGCCTACAGGCACGTCACCACGCCAGGCTAATTTTCATGTTTTTAATTTTGTATAGACGGTGTCTCACTGTTTTGTCCAGGCTGGTCTCAAACTCCTGGCCTCAAGTGATCCTCCTTCCTTGGCCAAGTCGAGAATCTTGAAAGCAGCATGTTACTGCAAACGCTTAACACTAGCCATGCATGATATCCTTGGAAAGCATGCATGCCCCTTTTTGAAGAATGCTTTATATACATGGAGACACAGTTGGCATGTATGTGACAAAGATGCAGATGGCTTATTCTCATGGGCACTTTCTGGATTTGCAAAATAAGCTTGAGCAGAAACCCTAATCCCATTTAAAGTGACTCTTCCCCCAAGATAGGGAACAAGGCCTCACTGCAATGATAGCCACAGTCCCTGAAGTAAAGCACCAGGAATCATTCCTGGGGCATCAGTGAAGATTGAGAACTATGTTTCCCAGAACTCCAATCATGTATCTTAGAATGCCAACAAGACTATAAAATGTTTCTCCAGTTTTATACATATTTAAGAACTCATGAGTAATATATCTAAAGTCTTCTACTAAAAAGACCCCTGCTAGCAACTGCACTTTGGAATAAAGAACTGTCAACACTGGCAGATTCAGAACTTCTACTGAGAAGAATTTACCACAACAGAATGATCTAAGTACATCATTTCGTGCAGTAGTACTTTAATAATGATATATTTCCATGCTGGGGGGAAAAGGGTTTTTTATTAAGCTATTGATATATTAAATATCATTATACCTATCATTATAAATTAATCCTATACTATTATGCCATTATTGATGGCATTTTTCTTCACAGAGCACTATAGTTCAACATACCACCTGGACAGGCACCAAAGAAAATTCTCTAGGCTGGTCTAGTTTTTAAAAAATGTATCACAGGGGCTGGGTGCAGTGGCTCACGCCTGTAATCCCAGCACTTTGGGAGGTCAAGGCGGGCGGATCACGAGGTCAGGAGATCGAGACCATGCTAGCTAATACGGTGAAACCCCATCTCTACTAAAAATACAAAAAATTAGCCAGGCATGGTGGTGGGCGCCTGTAGTCCCAGATACTCAGGAGGCTAAGGCAGGAGAATGTCGTGAACCCGGGGGGCGGAGCTTGCAGTGAGCCGAGATGGCACCACTGCACTCCAGCCTGGGCGACAGAGCGAGACTCCATCTCAAAAAAAAAAAAAAAAAAAAAAAAATGTATCTCAGACTTAAACACCAGAATGCACTGAAACAACACAGAAAAAATATTGTACTTACATACCCACTGCCTCATAAAAGCAGCATGTTACTCCACATACAAAAGAACAACTCTATAAAATCAGAAACTTCCCTCCTTTCTTAAGAATTCGCAGCTATGATCATTCCACCCCTTGTTAGAAGTTTGGAGTCAGGTCCTAAAATATCATATTTGTTGTTATCAGATTATTTGGGGGAACCTCTTACGTGCATCATTTAGTAGCCATCATAATTTAGTCATTGATTTTGGGAAGGGGATGGTAGAACAACAACAAAAAAAAACTAAACCACATTACTGTTTACAAGGAAAAACATTCATAATAACCAAACACAATAGTTAATTAACATATCAAATATAAACCAAACTACATAATCCAAACACAAAACACAAAACATGAAAAAGAACTCCTAGATAACATAAAATGTGTTGCCTTTCATCTTAACTGTGATAAATTTTTAATGGGGCAGACCTCATTGTATCACAGTTGACTTTGATTTAATAAAGTTAAACCACATAGTACAACAATTGTATATCAAATAGAATTCTTCACACCACCTTTTATCACATTTTCCATTCTATCATACACTTGAAATCCTTCAAGTATCGCCTCTGTGTTTTCTCTTCCCTACCTCCCTTCTGAGCTTCCAGACTTAAAGTTTCTAGTACTGGATAAAAATGTCCACAGGGATGTTTCTCCAGCACCTCCAAACCCAAAGGTCCCAAAACAAATAAACGCTTTGCCCACAAATTTTTTTCTTCCAGTATTCAGTGGCGCTGTCGCCTACCTATTTAGTCTCTCTGGATCCTCTTCAGCTCCCATTTTCACACTTGATATCTAGATATTTGACAAGTATTCCAAATGTCTCACATATTCAGCTCTTTCTTCTACATTCCCCTTATTCTACTTTCTCTTTTTCACCTTCTGCTCTTTCATTTCATTAGATGGATATTGGAGCTTATGAATCCGTCTACCACGTCACTTAAATTTTTTAAAATACATTTTTATATCCTTACTTCTGTGCTGTATTCTGGGAAAATTCCTTGATCTCCCAAATCACTGGTGTACTATTAAGCTGTTCCCAGGCTGTGATACAGCCTATCAGCTATGTTTTTCATTTTAATAATTTTATTTTTTATTTCCAAGATCTTTAAGTAGGTTCTTCATAAATGTCCATTCTTATTTTGTAAACGTTTGTTTTTGTTTATAAATGTGAAGACATTTATCACCCTAAAGATATGAAATACTTTCATTTTAAAGTATTTTTCATATTTTTCTATTTCCTTGGGAGCAAATCCTTGTGTAATAACTAATGGTGATCTCTTTCATGATGGAAGCCTTCCGCAGGTCTTTGTAATTCCTTACTGAATTCCTATTTTATGTGAGAAAAATTTCGCTTCTGCTCTTATGTGCTTCTGCTTAACCCATTTGCTTTCTTCTGTTAGCACAGATATGAATTTGTTGGTTTTATAATCATTCCTTTTAAATATTTCTCTGAGTTTTGTGTGGGAAGGGAAGATTTCAGAATAGGCTTTCTTCACTAATCTTGAACTAAACATAGCTCATCTGCACACTGAGAGGGCCTGATCATTGAGTTTAGTATTATTCTTTTACCTAAAGAGTAGTAAAATATGTTCCTAGGTCTTCCATTCCAGAAAGAACTCCATGTTAGGAATCTTAGTGGAGAATACAGTCCCATCTCATTTTTCCAACCTATTTCTCACTGCATCTCTTCACAAACTCTGCCCTCTAGCCATCCAACTACTCAAAGAATCTATGCAATTTCACGTTTCCCGCCTTTGCTGACACTACTCATTTCACTTCCACGTCCCATTCACTTGTCAAGATCCAGATAAGATCCTACTATCTCTCCTATGAAACTTTCCATCTGTTATAGACATTTCTTTAACTGGGCCTCTATAAGGTCTCCTATCTCTGTGAGTGTACTTATCTCTTTCTGCCTTAATGCATTAGAATCCTCAACTAGGTCATAACATCTTAAGGGCAAAAGTTATTTATTATTTCTTGCCATATTTCAAGCAGAACCCAGCACAATGCTCAGCATATAATAGGCACTGGATAACTTTTTTTAAAGAGATGAACCTTGCGCCAATGCCTAGAAATGCTACTTGGCAAATATGTATTTATAAAATTAATTTCAAGGAATTAAGGAGTTAAACATTAAGGAAGTACAGAATCAAACCAGGATTTCATATTATAGCTCTAAATTATAGCAAACAGGAATTACCTCTTCAAATTTTGAGCCTGTACCAGCCTCAAGTACCACCTCCCTTTGTGAGAAGCTCCCAGGGCCATCCCAGCCCTGTGGGTTCTATTGCATGCCTGCAAGCGTCTTTCACTGCATTTACTTTCCTGTAGTGTACCTGTACATCCATCTGCCCCATCAGATTGTACACCCTCTGGGAGCAGAAAATAAGTAAAAGTGTGTTGACTAAATAAATGCTTAAACACCACATTTTGCCTCATTTGTCTTCAGAATAGCCCCAAGCTATAAGGGAAGCTGTTGTTATTCTCATTTTCTAATAGGTAACCCAGAGTAAATGGAAGTTAAATGAACTCGGGGTCACGAGAAAGAAACTTGGTAGCAGCATTCAACTCTTCTTAAAATCAATCACTACCTCTGTAGACACTCCTACATAGTATATAGCATCCATGGTCAGGAATATAAGAACGGGACAGCTTGGATCTCTTTACCTAAAGGAAATAACCCTTACTATAGCATAATGAATAAAACTGACCTTTAACAATCCACAGAGTTCTGTTTCAACCATTCACTCAATTCAAAGAGCTTCTAGAACATAACTAATTAATTATAAACAAAGTATTCACCCACACACTCATCAGAACAGCATAATGATTTCTAGGTGCCCAGGGAAACCATATTAAGTCAACCTCTTCAGAAAGACTTTAGAAAGCTATAAACATAACCAGATTTAGTGTATATTAATTTCTACCATTTTCAGCATTTTCCTTACATACAATGTGCTCTATTAAAAACAAGATGCTTCTACGAAAACCTCACATAGCTATATGGATTTTAAGTTATTATTGCTATTATTCACTTTATTAGCTATTGAGTGCTTACTACATGCCTAGCATGTTGCTAAGAACACAAATTATCTCATTTCATCTTCATAAAAATATTACAAAATAGATTCTATTGTTACTGCATTTTACAAATGAGAGAACTGGGGCTCAGCGAGATGAAGTCATACATCCAAAGTCATGCAGCTAATAAGAGATCAAGCAGAGACATGTTCCCAGCCCTCTCTGGTGCCACAGTTCTGGCTTCTACCCACTGTGGACACTGCCCCTCATTAGTGTTCACTGGAAGGACACGCTTGCTCAGAAACTCCCATGTTTTTAGCCTTATTATCAGATTGAACTCCATGAAACTGCTCTTTTTGTAGCTCAAAATTAGTCAAATGGTTTGACCTCATACAATGAACATTAGATATTAATACCTGCAGCTTTTTTCTTACCAAGGTATTATTTCATTTTTGTTTTGTGTAATATATTTAGTCAATGACTGCTGAAATTATTATTACAAATTACAATATAACCAGTAGGACATAAACACCAGTCAGTCATTTCAAGTACTTCCCCAGTTCTGATCTCAGACAGTCTGGATATTGATTATATGAGAAACACATTGGAAAGATGTGACCCGGAATTCTCTCCCTTAAGAAAACCATTTCCAGATTGGCATGTGTGACAGCTATGGGTAATGATTTGTTTCTGCAAACCTGCAATGGTTTACTGGTACAGTATCCTTATTTCTTTTAAAAAACAAACAACAAGACTAACTCCAAGGAAAAAAAGAATAAAATAAAATGAATGCTATTTTTATTTACCACTGCTCCCTCAGGCAAGAGTTGAAAACGAGGGCGTACCTGCAATTCACTCTCCTCCTTTTCACCTTCATTGATCCTTGTGTCTTTCCTTCCTGTCTTGGAGGGAAACGTGTCCTGCTTCTTGAGGAACTTGCCCTCCCATTCCTGCTCTTTATCCCAGCCAGCTGCTGTCACTTCCTCTGGATACTCCTTCCCCTCTGTCTGTACCCCCAACTGCTCCCTCCTTCCTGGCTTTGCTGTCAGCACACAAACATATTCAGGGGGTCTTCTCTATCACAAATACATACACACAACCCCTTCCTTAAACTCTTTCCTTCTCTTCTCTTCCCTGCCGAAAGGATTCACTAAGTGACAGTTTCTGCCTATGTGTCCTTGCCCCCAGACCTCCTGCTCAGTCATCATCACAAAGGACCCTGGCTCTTGCTCTCCCGACTCCAGAATCACTCTCAGGAATGTCACCAGTGACCTCCTGGTTCCTGGGCTCTCAGTTCTCCTTCTACTTGGTCTCTCCCTAGCTTGTGTTAATGTTGTCTCCTCCCTGGCCCAACACTGTCCCTGGGGCTCACTAATACTAAACTTTCCCGGCTGTCTTCCTACACCTCTGACTGTTTTCCAAGGCTCTCTTCTTCTCTATTTTTTTTTTTTTTTTTTTTTTTGAGACGGAGTCTCGCTCTGTCTCCCAGGCTGGAGCACAATGGCGCGATCATGGCTCACTGCAATCTCGGCCTCCCGGGTTCAGGTGATTCCCCTGCCTCAGCCTCCCGAGTAGCTGGGACTACAGGCATGTACCACCATGCCCGGCTAATTTTTTTTGTATTTTAATAAAGACAGGGTTTCACCATGTTGGCGAGGGTCTCTCTCAGTCTTATTTGCAGGTTCCTTCTTTGGCCTTTGTTTCTAAGAGTTCTCCACCTTTTTCTTGGGGTTCCCTCTACTTTCTCTCTCCTACATACCTTGGGAGGCTCCACTTCAAATTAGCTTTTCTTCCCAATTTAGATCCATGCCATCTCCCAGCAGAAACCACCAATCATTTTTACCTCCTTCCCGCATCTCCCTCTACAGCCTCATGTCTTAGCACTCCTCCTGCACAGCCAGGCGACCCATCTAACCACACCACAGTTCTCCCCCAGGAATGGCCCACAGCCTTGATACCCTTATACAATGGTGTCCTTCCTTTACATCGCTCTTAACCTTCAGATGGCCACTCAAGTGTCACATACTTTGTGAGGCTTTCTCTCATCTTCCTAAGAAAACTCATTTCCTCCTCGATGTTCCCAAACCACTTTGTGTACACCAGTAACACAGCATTTACCATCCCGGCACCCACGGTACCTTTGTACAGTCCCGCCCCACTTCATTTCTGTTTCTGTCTTCATTGTTCCTTGAAGGAAGGGGCTGTCTTGCATTCCTCCCTGTGTCCTAGCTCACAGTGCGTCTCCAAAGATATCTGCTTCGTTGAGCTAATCCATCTGTCTGGTAAGGTTTATATAGAATCCGCATTCGAAATAACACTTATATTAAGTCACTTTTTGAGTCCTCTTGCACACTAATCATTCATTATGTAAAACCACAAAAACAGCTCAAGAGGTGATTAATATGACATTATTTTTTTCTTCCTGAAATAAGTGTTTTCACAAAATATAACCCTCTAGTTCTTATCCACTGAAAGTTACCTGCACTGAACAAATAAAAGAGTTTCTCTTGAGCACACCAGTTTCCCAAGTCAGCCAACTGCTTACTGTTGCTTTCTTGATTCCTCCTTTCAAAGTCCAAAATGACAAATTATCTCACAGGTCCCTGAGCAAATACTTCATTGCTTTCTGAAATGTCAGTGCTGTGTCTATTCCTACTCAGATTTGCCTTGCTCTGAACCAACAGAAATATCTCTTCCTGCCAGCTGACATTTTGTTTTATAAAATTCTTTTGATCCTTTCTTATTTTCCAGGATACAATTTTTTAGATGAGCTTCTCCTCATTTCTAAACTTTAGGGAATTAAAATCTCTGTAATTTCATTATCCCACTGAAAGATGGGGAGAAGAAGCTAAGCTCTGAAGAAGATGGCAATAAAACTGAAAACTGGAGAAACCAGAGCCAAAGGCTTTTCCAATGGTAACATTTACTAAATGGCAGCAAATACTAATGTAATAAGAAAGTAGGTTAGCGATTAAAGACCTTATTATCTGACTTTAATGCTCATCAGAGCCCTGCAAGGTAAATGTCATTATCCTTGTTTAATAGATCAATAAATGGAAGTTCAGAGAAGTTTGGTAATTGCCCAAGGTTACCCAGACAACAAATGCTAGCCCCTGCCACATGCTGGAGTGACCTGAAACAATTTTCTGAGGTAAAAACTGAACAGCCTGAAGGTGCTCCCTTGGCTCACTGACATATGGTTCCTGGCCAGGCACCATTATTCCCATAAGAGAATGTCAATCCTATACTCTGCCTGCATTTATGCGAGGCACTGTGCTATGAGCTCTTAATATATTTTCTCATGTAATTACTGAATGAGCTATGAATGGCCAGTATGATTTATCAAGTTATTTAATGAGTGGTAAACGGGGCAGTAATATCCTTACAGAGAAGGAAACAAATCTCAGGACCTGAAGTCAAGAAACAAACCCAAAGTCTCAAAGTTAGTGGAGTTGATAAACCAATCCTCTTCCCCACACAAAGCCCATGTCCTCAAAACTAATCCTGCTGCATCCTTTGACTGTCATGGTGGCCGACACTGCCCTAAGTCAGCAGGAATCTTGCCTAAGAATATCACCAGGAACTCAGCTCTACCATTCTGAAATTTGATGGTAAGAAGTGGTATTCAATTCTGTTAGCCTTCTAGGTCTTCTTAAACATATGCTTTTATCATGTCACCTAATCATACAGCTGCGTACCTTTCACTCTCTGGATTTCTCCTAGAAATGCCTGCCTCACTAAACCATATCTGGGTTTTCAGCATTCTCAGTGCTTCTTGTCTGCACTGTAAGAAGCAGGAGGATGCCACAGTATAGCACCGATGCTAGGAAATCAGACAGCTGAGTTCCAGTCCCAGGTCTGCCATTTACTAAGGGACTTGAGTGAGTCTGCCTCTCTGTTGTGTCTCAGTTTACTCAACTATAGAATGGGGATAATGACCCTATCTTCCTCAACGGGCTTCTATGACTCTTCACTGAATTAATACCTGTAAAGTGCTTAAAATTGTCCCAACTACATAGTAAAACTCAATAGATATTAGCTAGGTATTTTATAGATTGTTAGATGATTCTATATTGTGAGAAGAGAGAAAGAGAATGACAATCATGAGGGTGTAACTTCCTTGAAGCTAAAGGGAGAGAATGTTTCAAGCGGGAAGAAATCACGTGCCTGAGCCTTTCGAAGGTCACTGAAAAAGTGACCTTTGGGTTTGGCTAAAAATAGGTCTTCAGTAAGCTTTAAAAAAAAGTTTCATAACTCTGTGACTTATTTACCAAACAATGTCACATGTTTATGATTCCTTCCTATTCACTCAGAGAAACATCTTTGGAAAATTAAATGCAATCCAAAATTTCATATATTTTGACAGAAAAATAGTATGATAAATTGCAGATCAAGATAAACTAATCTTGCTTAAGTTGTTGGCCATGGAAGCTAGAATTACTTGGTATATACTGAAATATGTTTTCTATCATCAGGTTTTCATTATTTAAAATGCTTGCCATTCTTAGCCTTTTTTAAAAAAAAATCCTTAACCTTTTTTAAAGGAAAACTCACCAGAATAGCATAGACATGAATTTTTATTGTATAAATTATCCCAATCAAAACTTGTATTAACCTCTGATGTCTTCCTCCTTCCCTAGTGCCACATCTAGGGCTAATTAATACCTATTTAAGCATTCAGCTTTTGCCCCAGAGGCCAAGATAAATTTGTCCACAAGGCAAGAATATATTTGCCCAAAAGTAAATCTCAATGAGAAAAGCTGTTTTTTTTGTTATTTTATTTAGAATTTTGTTGTAAAACTATAGCAAAGAAAATTTAAAGAATGTAGAAAGAGGAAATAGAATCATGATACCACCTCTGTTAGGTAATCACTACTATTATTTGGGCTTTTAAGGTTTTTTCCATACATATTTTTATAAAACTTTAATTATGGTATACATGTAATGTTATATTGTAGTTCTCAATACAACTATCAACATTTTTCAAGTGGGTACATGGTCTTACATGTATTGTAATACACGTGTATTGACTGAACAATATATAACTGAATGATTAACTTAACCATTTCCATAGTGCTGAGCATTAATACTGCTTCTATCTAGTCTGCATAATTTTAGATAACATTGTGATGAACACTTTGTTGCAAATATATTGTTCTACATTTGTATTATATTCTTAGCTTTAATTTCCAAAGACAGAATTGGGAGTCTACAGGTATAAATATTTATGTCATTCTTGATACATATTCCCAAACTGTCTCTAAAAGTATTGCACCAATTTCACTGCCATCAATATTCTAGGTGAGTAATCAATGTCACTAGATCCTGACTCTTTATTAAAAAGTTTTCCTATTACAATAGGCTAGAAAGAGAAAAAATACATACTTCATTGTGTTAATTTTTACTTCCCTTATTACAGAGAATGGTTATTTCTCATGGTTATTTTATACTTTTCCTTTGTGAGTCATCTGTTCATTATCTTTATCTGTTCATCTATTAAAGCTTCTTTTTTATTGATTTGTAAGAGGCGATCTCTTTTACTCATAAAATTATTTAATACTAAGAGTAAGAATATTAGAATTATCCTTGACATTTTACTGATGTTACACTAAGCTGAATAGTGAAATCACCATCATTAATAGATGAAAATTAAAATATTGTAGAAACACTTCACCATTAAGTTCTGACATTACTTAAGGGACAATTTGGAGGCTTTAAAAGTCTTTACTTTCCCTGAAACTTACCTATCTGTTATAATTACAGTTATCATTCAAAATTAAAAGCTTTCTTTAAATACAGCATGCCAGCCAATTAAAGATAAATTAATTATCTTATTCCCTATCTCTCCCTTGACCTTTAAAAGCACTGTTGAAACAGTTCAATGAATACAAATAAAACTGATGAGTCTGCCACTCTAAAACTGATGCTTACACTAAATCTCAAATTATCTGATATTTAATATTAACATTATAATTAATATTAATATTAATCACCTCATTTCACTGAAAAATCACTAAGTGCCCGATAGTGTGCTGTTTTATATAAAATATCTCATTTTATTCTCATAACAAACCTCTGAGGTAGGTATTAGCTTTCCCATATTACAACTGAGAAAACGTGGGTCTGGAATGGCTAACTACCTGGGCAAAGCCAATCAGCTAGCAATGGGGTGGAATGAAAATTCAGGGCCTGTGTCCCTCACCGCTAAGCATCTGGCCTTATATTAATGCACTGTATACTAATACTGATTCCAAGAAATTTAGAAAAGGACATTTTAGCAAGTGCATTTAGCATAAATATTCTGGTTGGAAATTCCTCAACTGATACCTCCATTAATAAAGGTTGACATCACTGATTACATTTTTAAAGTTTAGCCTATGTAATTTACTATAATTTGAAACATAATTTTTCATACTGGTAGTTTTAATAGAAGAAATCACATTTAGGTAGATAATATAAAATTCTCAAGTTAAATACTTTGCTCACTTTTGTGATATTTGCATATAGAACATGAGATTGATTCAGATAAACTATGTGTCCTGGAAATTGATCCAACGGCCACATCTTCTAACCATTTTCAGAGGAGCTACAACCTAACCTTTCACATAGCGGGGATGAAATGGGGCAGGATAAATAAAAGAACCCTGGCTCAGAGGGGGAAGAGACACCCTGAGAGGAAAGCCAAGGTATCATTCCCTACAGCAGCTGCAGAATTCTTCCCCCGGAAATACCCCCGCATTGCACAGATTTAATAAGTTATTTCTCGCATTTGGTTATCTGCACTCTGATTCCTATTGATTGAGCTCGTGCTTCTGAACTCTACATCACTCTCTTGTGTGCTCTAATCAGTAACAACTCAACGCCTGTAATGAGGGCTCACAGATTCAAGGCAGCATCCTAGGCCACTGTGGGAAATGTTAAGATAGACAAGACACACACGCTGTCTTCAAGGGCTTTACAGTTTAGGGGTTGGAGATGTAGGTGTGTGTGTCCATATGCTTACGTGTGCACCTGGGAGTTCAAATAAAGGTGACAGAGCATCCAAATGAAGGAACTGGTAAAAGCTCTGGGAGGAGATTGTATTTCAGGTGCTACTGAAGAGTGGTAACTAGTTTAACAGGTAGGGAGGGGAAATGGGGAAGGCATTTCAATGAATGCGAACAGCGTGCATTAAACTAAGGATATAGAAAAGTGTACAGCAATTTTGGAAAATCACAAGCAGTCAGGCTAGATTAGAGCACAGAATTTGTGTATGAGAATTGTGAGAACTAAGACTGGATAAAAAGGAGAGAGTCAAATCATGGATGACCTTGACTGCCAAAGAAGTAAGCTTTAGAAATTTCATTCAGAGAAGCCATTGGAGGTTTTGGGGAAAGGGAACAATAAGATTAGAAATGCACCTTAGAAATTGAATGGATTGCATAGGGAATCATATAGAAGCATATAAAAAAGACTGCTGATAGTATTAAAAAAAGAGGAGCCAGGCGCGGTGGCTCAGGCCTGTAATCCCAGCACTTTGGGAGGTCAAGGCGGGCGGATCGCAAGGTCAGGAGATGGAGACCATCCTGGCTAACACGGTGAAACCCCGACTCTACTAAAAGTACAAAAAATTAGCCGGGCGTGGTGGCGGGCGCCTGTAGTCCCAGCTACTCAGGAGGCTGAGGCAGGAGAATGGCGAGAACCCGGGAGGCGGAGCTTGCAGTGAGCTGAGATCGCTCCACTGCACTCCAGCCTGGGGGACAGAGCGAGACTCCGTCTCAAAACAACAACAACAACAACAAAAAAAAAAAAAAAAAAAGGAAAGGGGCCAGTTGGAAATATACTTTAGTATCTCAGCTAGAAACAGTCTCAACTGGGGAGTGGCAATAATAGCAGAGGGGACATTTAAGAAATGTTGTATCCCAGAAAATCTCAATAATGTGGGACTCCATGGATACAGGGGAAAAGGAAGAGTCGATGTAACTTTATATCTTGAGAGACAGAAAAGAAAGTATTCAAGAGCAGATTATTTTCAACATAGATTATTGGATAAATTTGGAATATGGGGATTGCTATGAGGTGAACTGTGTCCCCCCACCCAAAAAAGATACATTGAAGTCCTAACCCCTAGTATCTCAGAATGTAACCTTACTTGGAAATAAGGTGGTTTTGCAGATGTAATTAGTTAAAGCAAGGTTATACTGAATTAGGGCAGGCCCTTAATCCACTACGAGAAGTATCCTCATAAGAAGAGAGAGACATGCAGGAAAGAGGGGTGCCATGTGGAGACACAGACATGCAGAGGGAAGACTACCATGGATGGTGGAGGCTTACTGAGGTGCTGCAGCTGAACACCAAGGAGCATCCAAGATTGCCGGCCAACACCAGCAGCTACAAGAGGCAAGGCAGGATGCTTTCATACACGTTTCAGAGGCACATGGCCCTGCCGACACCTTGGTTTAGGACTTCTGACCACTAGAGCTGTGAGACAATAAATTTGTTGCTTTAAGCCACCCAATGTGTAGCACTTTGTTACAGCAGCACTGAGAAATTACTACAGTAATGTTTTTCTATTTATAAAACAGTCAACTATAATCTCTCCACCAAAAGATAACCACTGTTGACACTGTGCGTATATCCATCTAGACTTCATGGTGTAATTGTTTTTTAATGGAACTTGCATTGTTTGTACTATTTTGTATCCAGACAGTCTCTTTTTTTTTTTTTTTTCCAAGATGGAGTCTTGCTCTGCCGCCCAGGCTGGAGTGCAGTCGCGGGATCTCAGCTCACTGCAACCTCCACCTCCCAGGTTCAAACAATTCTCCTGCCTCAGCTTCCCAAGTAGTCATGATTACATGTGCACGTCACCACACCCAGCTAATTTTTGTATTTATAGTAGGGATGGGGTTTCACCATGTTGTCCAGGCTGATCTCAAACTCCTGACCTCAGGTGATCTACCCACCTTGGCTTCCCAAAGTGCCATCATTACAGGCATGAGCCCTGGTGCCCAGCGTGTATCCAGGTAGTCTTTTTTTAGTGGACTGGCTAGAATTATTTCACATGGATGTCCCGCCATCAATTTCCTGTTGGTAGGCATATCTGCTGTCTATGAAGCATGTCCTTAGAAATGTTTTCAAACAACCTACATGCCAGAAGGAAATAGTAATAGATTTGCCATCCACATTTCCTCACTCAAGTTCCCCTTAAGAATATAGACATATATGTTTATTCACATTATATATTATGTTATACATTATATACAGTTATATAGTTTAGTACATTTAGATCTTTTACTTAGGAATTTTATCAAAAACTTTCTTCTTATTCAAAATACAGTATAGAATCAGAGTGCCCAAGAGGGTCCTTCATGGACATCTAGTCTAGGGTAACACAAGAACCAGAAAATTGGGGCATCCTGCTCAAAGTCACAGGGGACCTACGGCGACAGGAATCCAGTCTCATTTCCAATGTTATTACTGCTTGATGTGCTGTCATAAAAATGACAGAAGAATCATTTTAAAAATAGGTGTAGATCTTCCTCTCAAGATTTGTGGTAAAATGTAGACCTTCGCTGGAAATCTATCTCCATTTAACTATTTTTTTAAACTGTAAATATTCTGTCAATATTCTACTGATATGAAAGGAGACAGACAAATTCCTACGCAGACAGGGACAGGTCCCTGGTGAGACCCAACCTTCAAACCAAGGAAAGTCTAAAGCCTAAAAACCAAGCTGCCAGTTCCCGATAGAGTCCATGACCAGAGTGAGAACTTCTATCCCTGGCTTACCCACTCTAATGATTGGTTCACTCTGAATGATGCCTCTTAACCAATCGAATTGTGCTTTTCCCAAGACCACCCATGGACCAATTAGCACACACTCCCCCATTCTAAGCCCATAAAAAGTCCAGACTCAGCCTCAAAGAGGGCTACCAGCTTTCAGGGTCCCCTCTTGCCACTGAGAGCTTTCCTTCTGTTGCTCAATAAAATTCTTCTCTGCCTCACTCACTCTCCGGTGTCCACGTACCTTATTCCTCTTGTTGTGGGACAAGAACCTGGAACTCGCCAAGCTGCGGATGGCAGGAACAAAACAGGCATATCCTGTTTGCCAAGCTGCAGGTGGCAGAAACAAAAGAGCTGTAACCCTCCGTCCCGCTCACCAACCTATGAGAACAAAGATGCCGTAACACCACCACTAGCAATTTCACTGCTAGTAAAGCTAGTTGTCTTCAGATAACATTTTATTCTCTATAGAATTAATTGAGTCATTCTCAGATATCTTAAGAAAATACATATATTAAATTCCAAATACAGGCATTATTCAGCTGCTAATGAATGACTGTTGTAGCTCTTCATGAAAGTTTTCCAGGTTCTTCAAATCCTTTGGCTGTAAAATAGAAAGTTGTACCTTGTATTTCTGTCATGGACATAAAATTTTCAAACTGCCATTATAGGGGAGGATTGTGTAAATTTTTTAAAAATATGCATTATATTTTCTTTAATTGATCCAAATAAAATGTTTACTTTTTAAAAATAAGATGATGGTGCATCATGAATTCATGTTTTGGTTTACTCTTCTCTGATGCCCTGAGTCACTGGCAGCTTTGGGACAAACAACTTGGCTTTTCTCACTTGAGAGGGATCTATAATTCTTATTGTGAATGCATGTCACTTTAATAAGAGGTGAGCATTTTCTCTCAAAACAGGAAAATGGGAGGTCACACTATTGTGGCTATAAAGAAAAATGAAAAATGCTATAAAAATGAAGACATTACAAAAATGATCATGAGCTACTCTCATAATAAAAAATAAACTTTCATTTTGTGTCCTTTGACACACAGCATAACGAAGCAGGCACTAACAGTTCAGAGTGATCGAAAAATCACCAAGAATAGTTTTCTACTGTATCAAAAAGGTGTTATTTTTAGCACCTGGAGCCCGAATCATCAATAATTGGCGTTCTAATGTGAAAGTTATCAAGACCTGTTTATTTAAATGATCTTTGATCAATTCCCTGCCAAGTCTAGTTTGTTTCCCTGTCCTTCAACCACATTGTTTCCTATTCCATTTTCTAAATGAGACGCTATATTTTACTACGAAGGCAAAAATTTTCTTTAAAGACAACTGAATTTTGTTTTGGAACCAATCCTCTTTTCCTTTGCATCTAATAAACAGGATGTGTTTTCTCAGTCTTGTTTTCCTCTCATACATAAAGACTATTTTGTCCCTTAGTGTATTTCACCTTGCAGTCACCATATGTTTCCTGGTTTTATCTTTTCATGCCATCATTGATATGCCTTATTTCTGGTTTAATGCTTACTCTAATTCCGAATCTTTACTCTTGGACATTTCCAATGTGCAGCTCTGTGTAGCTACCTGGGTTTCATCCTGTTCTCTTCATCCTCTTGCCATCCTTATAACTATTGTTGCTTTAAGAAATAATCTAATTTTCATGGGTCCTTCCACTTACAGGTCATTTTCTTATATTTAAATTACTAAAGTTGACTTTCCTAAAATTCATTATCTTTAGGTTGCTGTTTCCACTTCTTTGGTAGTCTTTGTGTAAACATCAATCTTTAAGTGCATTTTCTTAATTAACTTAAGTGTTCACTTAATAAATAGCTCTAGTCTGCAGGTCCGAAGTCAGAAGTAGCTAAATACTAGCACAATCTCACCTCCCTTTTTGCTCTGTCTCTATTTTTGTCTCTCTCCACAGACCCTATTCACAGGTATTTCTGCCTGACCATGTTCAGGATATACTCTCCCACCTTTGAATTAATTGACTGTGAGATATATTTAATCTCTCATTGAATATATAGCTTTGTCCAATATGCACTTAACAGTAAGTCCTCAATGTCATCAGTAGGTTCTTGGAAACTGTGACTTTAAGCAAAACGCTGTGTAACAAAACCAATTTTACCATAGACTAGTTATTATATAAACAAGAGTTAAGTTGCTATGGTATGTTTATGGTCACAAAAACAACACCAAATTTCTAAATAAAGAACCAAAACACTTCTAATACTAAACACTGAAATAAATGTGAGCTATACATACATTTAAGAAAGATTAATACAGACAAGGAAGATAATTATTTACCCAATTTTTGGGTCATCAGTGAGTGACACAGTCACAGTGGTGGTGGTGAAATCAGTGAATAAATGTTTGCAATTTGAAAATTGTCCAGAGCACCTCCTACGACCACACAGTTCAAAAACAAGCAATAACACATATGGTAGGCTTGCTGAGTGCTTTCACACTACATTGTTTATTGTTATGCATTTTTATGATTGTATATGTTACAAATTTTCATTTGCAATCATTTGTATTCATTCATTCATTCATTCATTCATTCATTTTCCAAATTGTTTATTCCAGTTAAGGGTGGCAGATGGCCAGAGTCTCTCCCTGCAGCTCAGGGTGCAAGGTGGGAACCAGCCCTGGACAGGACACCATCTCATCCCATCACAGGGTGCACTCACACTCACTCAGACTGGGACTGTGTAGACATGCCAATTCACCCAATGGGCACAGCTTTGAGCTGTGGAGGGAAACCAGAGTACTTGGAGAAAACCCATGCAGCCAGGGGTTGGGGAACAAGCAGATGTGCAAACTCCCAGAAGACAGTGGCCCCAGCCAGGAATCAATTTATTTTTTCTCAACAATGTTATAATGAAGCAACATTGAACAAAACAACTTATTGCAGGACCTGCTGCAGAATGATGGTTAGTGACTCTTCAGTTTCATTACGACTTCTTATCGTGACAACCAAAACCAGGGAACCTCTGTAAGAGACAGTTAATGAGGTGGTCAAAGGGCAAGTTAGCTGTGATTTGAGTGATTTGGGGTAACCTGAAAAATACAGGATAAAGTGGGAAATATACACAGCCTTAATTTATTAATGAAAGTGGATTTTTTATGAATGATACTCACTCCAATGATTAATAATTGAGCTAATCCTTTATTATGTGCTCTGCTGATCACTATCAAGAATAACAAAACACGTTTGCTCTGTTTTCAATTAAAATGTGTGGAAGTACAGAAATTTGAGAAAATGAAAGTTTGACTTTTAAAAGGTCCTTCAACCATGCTTAATCACTTTGCTGACTTTTCTTCATCTTTCTGCATCTCAGTTCCTTACCTGGAAAATACAATAAACTTTCCTGTGTTTATTGATAGATGGTATAACAACCTTCTTTTGCAGCTGAATTCTCCAAGTCAATACCACCTTCTGCCTCATCCATGGTTCAACTCCATTTGACAGTTCAAAACTAGCTAATACAATTGTTTCCTTATTAAATGTACTAACCCCTGAATTCTCTGAATTTCTTTAAATAACTTTAAAGAAATCATAAAGTACTCAATAAACAATTTTTCCAAGAAATGTATTCTCAAAGTGACCATACCTACATACGAATTCATTAATAAAACTGCTTTTCTTACAGGCTGACATAAGAGTCCAAGAAAACAGGGTCAGGCAGGAATGAGAAGAAGAGACATCATCTTTATGACATGATTGATAACTGTATCTTGAATAAATCCAAATACATATTAGGAGGCATCTATCAGAAGTTTCTGTGTAATGTCTTTGAACATCAGGGTTTTCTAATATATTCAAATATTCTTTTTTAAAATCAATGTGCAAAAATCACAAGCATTCTTATACATCAATAACAGACAAACGGAGAGCCAAATCATGAGTGCACTCCCATTCACAATTGCTTCAAAGAGAATAAAATACCTAGGAATACAACTTACAAGGGATGTGAAGGACCTCTTCAAGGAAAACTACAAACCACTGCTCAAGGAAATAAAAGAGGATACAAACAAACGGAAAAACATTCCATGCTCATGGGTAGGAAGAATCAATATCGTGAAAATGGCCATACTGCCCTAGGTAATTTAGAGATTCAGTGCCATCCCCATCAAGCTACCAATGACTTTCTTAACAGAATTGGAAAAAAACTACTTTAAAGTTCATATGGAACCAAAAAAGAGCCTGCATTGCCAAGACAATCCTAAGCCAAAAGAACAAAGCTGGAGGCATCATGCTACCTGACTTCAAACTATACTACAAGCCTACAGCAATCAAAACAGCATGGTACTGGTACCAAAACAGAGATATAGACCAATGGAACAGAACAGAGCCCTCAGAAATAATGCCACGTATCTACAACTATCTGATCTTTGACAAACCTGACAAAAACAAGAAATGGGGAAAGGATTCCCTATTTAATAAATGGTGCTGGGGAAACTGGCTAGCCATATGTAGAAAGCTGAAACTGGATCCCTTCCTTACACCTTATACATAAATTAATTCAAGATGGATTAAAGACTTATATGTTAGACCTAAAACCATAAAAACCCTAGAAGAAAACCTAGGCAATACCATACAGGACATAGGCATGGGCAAGGACTTCATGTCTAAAACACCAAAAGCAATGGCAACAAAAGACAAAATTGACAAATGGGATCTAATTAAACTAAAGAGCTTCTGCACAGCAAAAGAAACCACCATCAGAGTGAAAAGGCAACCTACAGAATGGGAGAAAATTTTTGCAACCTACTCATCTGACAAAGGGCTAATATCCAGAATCTACAATGAACTCAAACAAATTTACAAGAAAAAAACAAACAACCCCATCAAAAACTGGGCGAAGGATATAACAGACACTTCTCAAAAGAAGACATTTATGCAGCCAAAAGACACATGAAAAAATGCTCATCATCACTGGCCATCAGAGAAATGCAAATCAAAACCACAATGAGATACCATCTCACACCAGTTAGAATGGCAATCATTAAAAAGTCAGGAAACAACAGGTGCTGGAGAGGATGTGGAGAAATAGGAACACTTTTACACTGTTGGTGGGACTGTAAACTAGTTCAACCATTGTGGAAGTCAATGTGGCAATTCCTCAGGGATCTAGAACTAGAAATACCATTTGACCCAGCCATCCCATTACTGGGTATATACCCAAAGGATTATAAATCATGCTGCTATAAAGACACATGCACACGCACACGTATGTTTACTGCGGCACTATTCACAATAGCAAAGACTTGGAACCAACCCAAATGTCCAACAATGATAGACTGGATTAAGAAAATGTGGCACATATACACCACAGAATACTATGTAGCCATAAAAAATGATGAGTTCATGTCCTTTGTAGGAACATAGAGGAAGCTGGAAACCATCATTCTCAGCAAACTATCGCAAGGACAAAAAACCAAACACCTCATGTTCTCACTCATAGATGGGAATTGAACAATAAGAACACATGGACACAGGAAGGGGAACATCACACACTGGGGCCTGTTGTGTGGTGGGGGGAGGGGGGAGGGGGGAGGGAGAGCATTAGGTGATATACCTAATGCTAAATGACGAGTTAATGGGTGCGCACACCAACATGGCACATGTATACATATGTAACAAACCTGCAGGTTGTGCACATGTACCCTAAAACTTAAAGTATAATAATAATAAAAATTAATTAAATAAAATAAAATAATTTTATTTATAAGCAACTTCAAGATCACATCTAGTCCATAAACTGCATAAGATGAGGTATTTTTATACATGATTATTTGATAGTGAACACAACCTGAAAAAGAACTTGGATCTCTCACATTTCCACTTTCAACCCTCTCAGGATTAAGGTTTATCTCCTAATTCTGATGGAAATCTCCTATGCATTGAATAAAAGTGGTGAGTGTTTTTCTCTGTGCTGGGATACTAACTTCATAGAATTATGTTAGTAATGAGTTATTACATTTATGCATCAAAAGTTTGGAAGCTGACATTTCTAATAACTATTTTTTACAGTATACTTAGTAATCTTAATATAATCAAGGAATTGCCTCTGATATTAAATACATTCTAGTAAACTATAAAACACTCAGGTGAAAATTACTAATATGTTCTATACTAGATTTTTAACATAAATGATTATTAATTCTCATAACTCTGCCAAACAGATATTTTATCCTCCTTAAACTGATGAAGAAATAGCTCTTGCCAAAATCATATGGTTAAGCAACAGCAGGGGTAGATTTTGGACCCCACTGTGTCTGATTTCAAAGCTTTTCACTGTATCATGCTGCCTTTATTTTGAATTAAGTTTAGGATTCCCCCAAGTTAATGAGAAACACACATACCATAAATTAAAATCAACAGTACATTGAAAGCCTGATTTTAACTAACAGCTTTTGGGCAAAACATTTTCCTAATGTTAATAAGAAAAACATTGACTCATCTAACTTGCTTCTTCCATTGCTCCCCCTCTATCATCCAACCCCATTAGGATGCTGCTAAGCCCTGATATGAACAGAAGGTAGACAGTAGCCAGAGAAAGAAAAGAAACAGAGGGCCTGAATTATCTACAAACTGTGTAACCAGCTCCCAAACAATCAGAAGTGAACTTAATTAAATGGTTTGTTTAGAGTGTGTCTAGAAAGGGAAATAATTCATTTTTAATTAGGACAGTCTATTTTTTTGGTAAATGGTAATCATTTTAAAAATAGAAATGATCTCAAGGACTTAAATCATAGTATTATTTTTAGACATCTCCTCACTTTAAATAATTTAGAAATTCAATTATAATCATTTGCAATAAACCACTTACAAATACTTAAGGTTCTTCTTGAAACTGCCTTGTCTGCTTAAAATATATATTATATATTTATATAAACATATATTTATATATTTGCTTAAGAAAATTATATTTATATATTAGTATATTATGTTTATATATTTTTTAACAGACAAGGTAGTTTCAAGAATATATATCAGATAATCAGCCTAAATACAAAATGGTTAAGAGACATTACTGTGTCACTATTTTTACTCAAAGTTTTTGTTTTGATCTGTCAAAAAGTTTTGGGGAGCTCCGTGGATTTTTAGAGTTCATTTTCTTATTTCATAGTGATATTAGCTTCATTATACAATGATAGTGAGGCATTTGATGGCTGCTATCAATAGGATCTGTGTTCATCCACAGAGACATTTCAAATGAAGTGAAAAACACTTGCTGATTACATTATGTTATGATAGTGAATGATCTTAAAAGATGTCAAGTTCTGCTTAAGGAGTTTTATATGAAATAGCATTTACATTAGAGGAAGGTTTGGGGGAGGTAAAATATGTAAGTCATCAGAATTTCATTTATTTTTAAATACAATTAAGCTCTCGGAAAGCATCAGCACTTTAACTCTGAAATATCTTTTTTTAAAGACATTACTGAATTATCATTATTACTGTTTCTTTATTTTCTAATACATCCCTGAAAATGGGTTCACTTTAATAAGTAGAAGGATTTGTGAAGAAAAATAGGCTATAAGCACACGAGAAGGATAAAATATTTAATTGCACTAATTATTCATGTGTATTCATGATACACCATTGTTTCTGACATATATGTTTACCACATTTCTAAACTTCTATAATAATACTATGGTAAGAGATGTTCCCGTGTATCATAACTACCCATAGCCACAGTTCACACACCTTTTTGCCACAGGAAAATTAGAGTACAATATATTCCCTTCCAATCATACAAAGTATAATGCATGTACTTGTGAACATTATATTACTACTAGATTGAATATGATAGCATCCATTTACACTTTGGTGGAGAGCTGAGACACCTGCCTTAGGAGTCACTGACTCGGTACCAGATTCTTTTCAGTCTTATTTCAACTTCACTAATATTGGATCTTGGATGCAAGATAATTAATTGTTAGTTCTTTGGGAAAAGTGTTTTCCAGGAGAATGACTTATCCAAAAAATACAAAAGGACAATGCCACTAAAAATAAGTGAGAAAAAATGTACAATTACCTTTAAATATTTTTAGAGAATACTTTGTTTTGTTAACAATTACACAAACTCTAATTTTAATGGAAATTGATAACTATATTGATTGATGCTGTCACTTTCATTTCCTTTTAGTATACTAATGGATGAAAATAAGTATTGAAAATATTCATTTCTTCAGGCTCAAAATATATTTGACCCTTGATTAGCTCTTGAATTTCTCCACGATGCCCATTTTGAAAACATTCACCTCCCTTGGCCAGCTTTTTTTTTTTTTTTTTTTTTTGCCATGACCACAATCACTTTCATGATTTCTTGATTGGCTCTGTCATAAATCTGGCAAAGTCATGCATATCTGGACACGGTTTTCTTCAGCAGGAATTTAGTGGTTTCAGGCTTGATGGCATTTACAACTTTATAACAGTGATGGCATTTTCAAAGATGTCACCCTTCTAGACTTTCATGACGTTCTCTCTCTCAGGGTTTTCTTCCATAGTGTTGACAATTCTTTCCATAGAGTACTGTGTGTAATGAGCCTTAAAGGTCCTTAAGACCCCCCTGATCTAAAGGCTGAATTAGAGACACTGAGTATGGGAGCAAGTCGATCACTTTGGAACCTTCAGTGTTGAACTCATGCATTTTGGGTAGCCAGGGGCACTGCCCAATATCAAAAGAAATTTAAAAGACAGTCACTAGGCCAGGCATGGTAGCTCACATCTTAATCCCAACACTGGGAGGCTGAGGCAGGCGGATCACTTGAGGCCAGGAGTTCGAGACCACCTTCTGCAAAAATGAAAAAAAATTAGCTGGGCATGATGGCGCACACCTGTCTCAGCTACTTGGGAGGCTGAGGTGGGAGGATCACTTCAGCCCAGGAGTTTGAGGATGCAGTGAGCCATGATCATGCCACTGCACTCCAGCCTGGGCAACAGGGTAACAGAGCAAGACCCTGTTTCTTAAAAGAGAAAAAAAAAGTCCTTTACTGGCAAGATACTTTCTGACTTTAGGAATAAAGCATCTTTGGAACCAATCCTGAAATAGAGTTCTTATTGTCCAGGCATTCTTGTTGTACAACTAAAAGACTGCCATCTGGTGTTAACTTTTTCCTTCAAGGTTTCGAGCTTAGCAGCTTTGTAAATTCGGTCCTCATCACAAACCCGACTGCATTTGCACAGAACAGTAGAGTTAGCCTGTCTTTTCCTGTCTTAAATCCCTTCTCTTCCTAATACATATCTTTTGTGACATTCTTTTGTCCAGAATAGGACACTTTTGTCTTCATTAAAAACCTGTTCTGGTAGATATCCTTTCTCCTTGATGATTTTCTTCGGAAAATCTGGAAACTTGTCAGGAAAAGCTGCTTCTCCTGTTATGTTGACATTTTTTAAGCCAAACCTCTTTCTAAAATTATTAAACCATCCTTTGCTGATAGTAAATTCTCCAGCTTTGATCCTTCCCCTTCCTTTTTCTTTAAGTTGTCACGTAATGATCTCAATTTTTCTTCAATCAATAGTAGAATCTGTAGGTATGCCTTTCTTACAGTAATCCTGCACCACATAAAAGCTGCATTTTTGATATGAGATAAAAAGGATTTCATAAGAAGTACAAGGTTTTCTCACCTTCTAGTGTAACTGCAGCAATGGCTTCACGGTTTCCTTTTTCTTTTACAATGGTCTTTATGCAAAATTCATTTATTTTGAAATAGCAGGAAACCATATCTGCAGACCTCTGTCAATGGTACATATCAAGCAATTAAACTTTTTCTTGTAATGTCATGACATCTCTCTGCTTCTTGGGACCACTTCCAGCATCACTAGTGCCATTACATTGGGGTCCCATGGTGTTAGTCAAGGTTTACAATGTTGCACTACATACTATGAAAAATATACCAGAACCGAGAGAGATCAGTTTTCACTGCAATAAGCAATTTACCAGAGAGATGAACAGCTGTCTAGTAAACTGAATTAGTGTCACACAGTGTTTTAAGCCTATACAATGCTTGAGCTCACTGCAATAGCCATAGAAGGTGGTTACAAAATTATTACAGTAATACAATATATATACAGTTAATTTCATGCAGTTATGATTTAATACTGCACCTTTATGTTTGTTTACATTTTGGCAGTATGTATGGTATGTGTTTGTTTGCATACGTTTTGATATATTTTAACTTTTTATAATAGATCTGTGTATATTTTATGGTTAGCGTATAATAAAATAGACTGGTATCTATCTGTATTTTATATATTCATCACCTATCTAACTTTTTCTTAATTTTTTGAAATTTCTAGGCTACACGGCTCATCTGTGAGTTTTTTCAAATTGTCCCACATCTCAAAAAAACTTTCCAATATATTTATTGAAAACAATCTGCATATAATTAGACCCTTGCAGTTCAAACCCATGTTGTTTAAGGGTAGACTGTGGATACTTGGTTTTAGGCCCAAGTACTGCACCCAAATAATGCACTAAACTTTATGTGTCTTGAGAACAGAGATACCACTCTTTGCTTTTTAAAAATCTTTTTCCTAGAGGCCTACTAACACAAGGTAGGCAATTACTATTTTGTTGAAGTAAGTAAAAATAAATATATAAACTTTGTAATCATTGCTATGTTTCATACACTGTAGTCCTATGCAAAACTCATGAAGAAAAATTACTCTTCATCTCTTCATGATGTACACTTCACCATGAATTATAATTTTATAAGAATTATAATTTCCTTATATATATACCAAATTAACTTATACATGGATTTTTTTTTTTTTTTTTTTTTTTTTTCTGAATCTTACAGTATTTCAGGAAAAGGGTTTCATTCCCAACTGACAACAGGGAAGATCAGCTCATCCTTAATTCATTAAATGCCATTTTTTACCCGCTTACACTCATCAAATTACAGGATTCATTATAACAGGGATGTAGGGTTATGGCTTTATCTCTTTTTGTTCTAATCCTTTTTTCATGTATTCTTTCCTTTGATTTGCGACCTTCATTACCAAGAGAGCTCACATAATGCGTTCAGTTCAGTTCCAGAAGGCTAAGCAGTCAGCTACTGCAGGAATTATTTCACATACCATAGTTATTAACATGATTACTCAGAAAAATTATATTAATATCCAAAGCGTTCCAGCACTTCCAGAAAAAAAACGGTGCTTCTTTATCACAACTTTTCCTTTCGCTTAGAGAATACATTCTTAACTATTTACAGCTGAAATCTTCAAGTGACAATTCCTCAGCCAAGTGGAAATGCATTATAAAACGTTTGCTGTATACTTAGATCGCCTAATTCAAGGCTTGCTTTACTTTTTTTTCTGATTATAAAATAATGTATTCTGATTTTACTA
Organism: Homo sapiens; assembly: GCF_000001405.40. Lineage (NCBI taxonomy): Eukaryota > Metazoa > Chordata > Mammalia > Primates > Hominidae > Homo > Homo sapiens. The sequence goes on along the minus strand of NC_000013.11, from coordinate 96,138,978 downwards.
AATTTAGAAAATATAAAATAGTATAAATTAAATAAACCACCCATAATCATGCATACCCAGAAATAACCATATTTTAAGATGTTTCCTTCATTTTTTTCTATACATGTTAATGGCATTTTGTGTGTGCCAATTTAAAATCAGTCTGTACTTATAATTTTATATCATTTTTTCCACATAACACTGTATCTCACGTAAGTACTTCCCATGTAATTATTTTTCAAAAGCATTATTTTAATTTTAACACAATGTAGACAGGCCATAATTTATTTTACTATCCACTTAACCAAGCTCTACAAATGCAAACTAATACATATTGGCAGAAATCTGATTTGTGGTTGATGGGACTGGGTGAAAGCTAGGACAGGAGAGAAAAATTTTAAAGTGACGCAAGGAAACTTTTAGAAATGATGGATGTATTCATCATCTTGGTTGTGGTGACGGTTTTATGGTACAAACATGTGAAAATGTATCAAATTTTATTAACTGTAAATATATATATTTATAAACTGTATATATGTATTTATAAACTATATATTTATAAACTGTAAATATATATTTATAAACTGTAAATATATATTTATAAACTGTAAACATATATATTTATATATGTTATATATCAACCATACCTCAATAAAGCTGATAAAATAAGTTTTTTCAGCTCTCTTATTATTGCACAGTAGGTTAGTTTCAATCTTTAGCTAGTATAAAGTGATAACAAATATAATTCACTACTTTATTTCAAAAAGAATATAACTTTGAACATGTAAAGCTATTCATAAATTTGAGGAAGTGACATTTCAATTCCTGTGCTATTCATAACAGATTTTGTAAATTACTTTTAAATTTGCTGAAACTCAATTTACTAAAACCTCCACTAAACTTTCACAGATTTCCAGGGCATTCAACTTTACCCTACTGGTCTAAAAGTATTGGGGGCAAAATTAGGTAAACTGTTAATTGCTATCATTACAGCTCTCACATTCACTGAAGACTTTCCAGGAACTAGACACTTACTTATCAGCATTTTACACTGCACGTCAATTGTCTTACTTGTTTCTTTCAATAAAAATAGGCACAATGATGTAAAAACATGACAATATTAAGTAATGAGGTCAGAAAGAAGCTTGCCTAAAGAATTCAACATTCTTTAAAAATGTTCAGGATAGTCCCTGCAACTTCCTTATCTGCTTCCCTGGGCGGCCTGAAACAGGGATGGGCCTTGTAGGGTCAAATGCTGACATGGTGGCCCACGGCGGCAGAAAGGCCAGGCCTGTAATCCCAGTACTTTGGGAGGCCAACGTGGGTGGATCATGGGTCAGGAGTTCAAGATCAGCCTGGCCAACATGGTGAAACCCCCTCTCTCCTAAAAATACAAAAATTAGCCAGGTGTGGTGGCACATGCCTGTAGTCCCAGCTACTCGGGAAGCTGAGGCAGGATAAGTGCTTGAACCCGGGAGGCAGAGGTTGCAGTGAGCTAAGATCGCACCACTGTACTCCAGCCTGGGTGACAGAGCGAGACTCTGTCTCAAAAAAAAAAAAAAATGTTCAGGATTGTTCCTCTAGGGAGCAAGAAACAAAATCTCCAGAGGGTAGAATGGAAAAATGATGTATTCATACCATGAAATGCAATAAAAATAAACAAACTATTCATACCTGCAATAACATAGATGATGAGCCTCTAAAACATGCTGGGTGGAGAAAGTCAGACACAAATTAGTACATGTGGTATGATTCCACGCATATGAAGCCCAAGGACAGGCAAAATTAATCAATGGTTACAGAAGTCAGAAAGTGGTTATTAAATGGGGGTGGGGGTGGGGGTGGAGGAAGAAATCAATTAAAAGGGGGCATGAAAGAACATCCAGGAAGTAGCTGCAAGGTATATACAATGGCCAAAACATACTACATATTTGAGATTGTGCATTTCATCATATATTAGTTATATTTCATTAAGGAAAACTGGGATAAAATAAGTCTCTAGAAAGCTAAGGGTTTAGCTCTAAAATGATTCCAATTCAATGCACAGACCTTTTGTCTAGCATGACCCTTTCACACCACAAAGTCTACAGGATATGAGGAAAACCATCAATACCTAGATGGTATCTAACCAAGGATGATGCTGAGGAGAAAGGATTTCTTCTATCAAAATAAGTAAAAGTAGATGAAGAAACTCATTGCAAATGCAAATATCCTATTTTGAAATAGGCTAATCAAATCATTTGTATATGTTAATTTGTTTCACTGTAGTAACCATTTTACTATATATATATATATATATATATATATATATATATATGTTTCATAACATCATGCTGTATACCTTAAATATACATGATATGGTTTGGATTTTTGTCCCCACCAAATCTCGAACTATAATCCCCAGTGTTGGAGATGGGGCCTGGTGGGAGGCGACTGGTTCACGGCGGTGGAGTTCTCATAAATGGTTTAACACCATCCCTCCAACCTTGGTACTGTATAGTGATAGACTCCTCACAAGATGTGATTGTTTAAAAGCGTGCAGCACCTCCCCCTTCTCTCTCTTGGTCCTGGTCCTACCATGTAAGACGCCTGTTCCTGCTCTGCCTTGCACCACGCGTAAAAGCTCCCTGAGGCCTCCCCAGAAGCAGATGGTGCCACGCTTCCATATAGCCCGTGGAAGCCAATGAGCCAATTAAACCTCTTTTCTTTATAAATTACCCAGTCTCAAGTATTGTTTTATAGAAGAATAAACTAATACAATACACAATAAAATTTATTTTCTTTAAAAATCCAATTTAAGGCCAGAGGTAAAATGAACACAAGGTCAAAGAATCACAGAAACTTCTAACCTCCTATAGGGTAAACAAACCTGTGTATTGTAGGTGCACCTGACGGTGATAACTTACCTTAAGCATACCCTCAGAATGACCCTATACGGCAGACACACCTGAATGTGTGTTGGGAGTTCCAAGTGTGGCCAATCAGAAGATTCATTCCTTATCTATGAGAAATATCTGAGCCCACCGGTGGAATGCAGGCTGCACAGGGGAGAGAGGCCCTTTCTTTTGGGGTAAGTGAAGGTTGCCAGGTGTAGTTTGTTGGTGGGGGTGGAGGTGCTCAGTGAAAATGCTATATAAACTGCATGCTTTTTATAAGTGGTAGTGGTTCTTCTGTCCTGCTACCACTGAGCCATCCCTGTAAGTCCTCAATAAAACTCTATGCCTAATTCACTGGCTGTGGGTCTCTGGCCTCTTGAACCGGGCACCATCCCTGCTGAAGTTAATAGGCACAACACCTCCCTAACAACGGCCCTATTAGCCCATCTTGGTCCGCTCTGAAGCAGTATGCCGTGTGGTTTAACAGTTTTCACATTTGAATTGTTTTTCTCCATAAACACAGAAAAACTTGGATCCCTGTAAATTCCACCCATTGCATCTAGTTCTGCCCTAGTTAGCAAACTCCTCTTCCATGACAGCCCTAGGGATACCGCCAATAGCAAACAAATTTTCTTTAAATTCCTCTTATAATTAGACTCAATATTCCTTCAACTGTTCCTCATATGACATGATTTTTAAGTTACCTCACCATTCTATTTTTAAAGTATATGTCTAAGACCAGACTTATGATTCACTGTGTGTTCTTACCATAACAGAGAGCAGTAGAGTTCTACTTTTATTTGTCCAAGTTTGTATTTTCTTTAAAAAAGGAAAGAAAGTCCACGGTGATAACTGCAGCCCACGTGTTCCTGGGACACATGGGAATGAAGGAAGAAGATCAACACACCCAGCAGTCTCCCATAAACCTGCTAAGAAGGGTGGCAGGTCCAACTCAACATGCAAGGCAGGGTGAGGTAGAACAGATTTCAGGAGCATGACTGTGATCTCACTATACAGCCTCCTTCCAGAATGGTCTTTTAGAAGTTTCTTCAGCAATGCCAGGTCTCAGGAGCAGCCTTCCCCTCTGACCTCTTCTTTCAGTAATGTGGCGCAGTGCTGAGAAACTTGCAGGTCCCAATGACTGTGTCAGACAGAATGGATGTGAGACTGTGCAGAGTCTAATATACAACTGACCAATATGGGATGCAAGAAAAGAAAAACTCTAATTCTAATATAAAATATGCCCCTTCCATAAAGAAAACTATTATTCTTGGATCAAAAATGTGTCACATGCAATTCTAGGGGTATCCATGATGATTTCATTTTACCTGGAGAATTCACACTAGGCATATGGAGAGAGATTCTGCAAACCCAAAAGAGCAACTGTGAGAGACGGTCAGGACAAAAACATCCAAGACTACAGAGGCAAGAATGTCCTTGTAATTTTCATCACCAACAAAATGCTTGTGTGTCTTTAATTTTAAGAAATAATAAAGAAATGGAATATATCAGGAAAACAATAGATAAATAAATAAACATGAAAGGGTTTTGAATATTACAATGCAAATAGCTAGTAAAAGTAAAGTCTATACAATAGTTACCAAGAGCTTAGAAATAAAAAGAAAAAATTATGACACTGTTAAAATGGAAATAGGTAAAAAATAAAAATCAGAAAAAGAGCAAAATAAAAAATATTAAATACAGAAAATGAAAAGAAGATAAATAAAGGTAAAACCATGACACCAAAAAAGAGGGGGTAAAAAAATAACACAAGTGAAAAATTACCATATAAAGTATTAAAAGTATTAGAAAAAGATATTAAAATACATAAAGCCATAAGCTGAGACATTTAAGAGTGTAACTGTAATAAGACAAATATAAAAAAAGTTTCAACTTTTCTAAAATTCATAAGATAAAGAAATAAAAGAACAACAAAAGTAAATGGCAATCAAAACAGCAAGGGGCTGGCAAAAAAACAGACACACAGACCAATGGAACAGAATAGAGAGCCCAGAAATAAATCCATGAACTTACAGTCAACTGGATTTCAACAAAGATGCCAAAAATAAACAATGGGGAAAGGACAGTCTCTTCATTAAATGATGTTGAGAAAACAGGATATCTGTATGCAGAAGAATGAAATTGGACCTTTGCCTCACATCATACAAAAATCAACTCAAAATGGATTACATGTTTTAATCCATTTAATCAACTCAAAATGGATTAAAGACTTAAATGTAAGACCTGAAACTGTAAAACTACTAAAAAAAAAAAAAAAAACATAAAAGCTCAAAGAGTTGCTCTGGACAATGATTTTTTTTGTCTATGATCACAAAAGCACAGGCAACAAAAGTAAAAATAGACAAATGAGATTACTCCAAACTAAAAAGCTTCTGCACAGGGCCAGGCAGAGTGGCTCACACCTGTAATCCCAGCACTTTGGGAGGCCAAGGCGGGCAAATCACCTGAGGTCAGGAGTTCGAGTCCAGCCTGGCCAACATGGCGAAACCCCGATTCTACTAAAAATACAAAAATCAGCCAGCCATGGTGGTGCACACCTGTAGTCCCACCTACTCTGGCGGCTGTGGCAGGAGAATCCTTTGAACCCAGGAGGCAGAGGTTCCAGTGAGCCAAGATTGCACCACTGCACTCCTGCCTGGGCAACAGAGTGAGACTCCATCTCAAAAAAAAGATAATAGGTCAGGTGCAGTGGCTCACGCCTGTAATTCCAGCACTTTGGGAGACCGAGGCGGGCGGATCACGAGGTCAGGAGTTCAAGACCAGCCTGGCCAACATAGTAAAACTCCATCTCTGCAAAAAATACAAAAATTATCCAGGCATGGTGGTGGGCACCTGTAATCCCAGCTACTCGGAGGCTGACGCAGGAGAATCACTTGAAACCGGAAGGCGGAGGTTGCAGTGAGCTGAGATTGGGCCACTGCATTCCAGCCTGGGCAAAAAAGCGAAACTCCATCTCAAAAAATAATAATAATTAATTAATTAATTAAAAAGCTTCTACACAGCAAAGGAAACAATAAGGTCAAGAGACAATCCACAGAATGGGAGAAAATATTTGAGAACCATGTATATTATGAGTTAATATCCAAATATAAAAGGCACTCAAAAGATTCAATAGCAAGAAAACAAATAACCCGATTAAAAAAAAATGGGCAAATAAACATGTCTGAAGAGGCATTTCTCAAAAAACATACAAGTAGCCAACATGTATATAAAATAATGCTCCACATTACTAATCGTCAGGGAAATGCAAATTAAAGCCACAATGAGATATTACCTCACACCTGTTATAATGGCTACTAACAAAAAGACAAAAGATAACAAGGGTTAGTGAGAATGTGGAGAAAAAGGGACACCTGTACACTATTGATGGGGAGTATAAATTAATACAGCCATTAGCTGGGGGGTGCAGTGGCTCATACCTGCAATCCCAGCACTTTGGGAGGCTGAGGTGGGAGGATCACTTGAGGCCAGGAATTCAAGACCAGCCTGGGCAACATAGTGGGACCCCATCTCTACAAAAAACTTAAAAATTAGACAGGCATAGTGGCATACGCCTGTGGTCCCAGCCACTCAAGAGGCTGAGCTGAAAGACTGCTTGGGCCTGTAAGGTCGAGGCTGTAGTGAGCTGTGATTGTGTGCCACTGCACTCCAGCCTGGGTGACAGAGCAAGACCCTGTCTTAAAAAAAAAAAAGAAAAAGAAAAAATTCAGCCATTTTAGAAAACAGTATGGAGGTTCCTCAAAAATTAAAAATAGAACTACCATATGATCTCACAATCCCATTACTGGGGCTATATCCAAAAGAAAGGAAATCAATATATTGAAAATATATCTGCACTCCCATGTTCCTTGTAGAACTATTCGTAATAGCTAAGATACAGAATTAACCCACATGTCTATCAACAGATGAATGGAAAAAGAAAATGCGCTCTGTGTGTGTGTGTGTGTGTGTGTGTGTGTGTGTGTGTGTGTGTGTGTGTGTACTGGAATACTATTCAGTCTGAAAAACGGAAGGAAATCTTGTCATTTGCAAAAACATGGATGAACCTAGAGGACATTATGTTATATAAAATAAGCCAGACACACAAAGACAAGTACCACATGATCTCATTTATATGTGGAATCTAAAAAAATTGAACTCAGAGTGTAATGTTTTATAAAAAGTAGAGTACCATATAAAAGTTTTTACCTTTTTTTTTATCTTTTCCATGATATAAGGCTTAGTGAAAACTTCCTAACAATTTTGTGACGTTTGTCAGGTTACAAATTTAAAAATAATTAGATGGTCTCCACGCCATTATCTATCTTAGACATTTTATTTTCTAGGTAATAAATGATATGTGATTAAAAAAAAAAAAGAGTAGAATAGTGGTTACCAGGAGTTAGGGGAGGGAGAGGAGACTAGGGAGATGTTGATCTGATCAAAGGATACAAAATTTCAATTAGATGGGAGGAATAAGGTCAAGAAACTTAACTTAGTGACTATAGTTAATAACAATGTATTATATACTTGAAAATTGCTAGAAAAGTAGATTTTAGGCATTCTCACTACAAATAAATGATAAGCATGTATGGTAATACATAATGTTAATTAGATTTATTTAGTCATTCCACAACATACATATTTCAAAACGTCATGAGTACATCATAAATACATACAATTGTGTCAATTTTTTTAAGTTTTTTTAAAAAAAGTAAACCTCAATAAAATGTTTAACTTCAACCAGTAAGATTTTTTTTAATTTGTTTAAAAGAAAAAATATCCTAAGCCTTAAGTAGACTAATAAACAAAGAAAAACATTCTAAAGAATAAATGGAAGCAGTTTCAATGAATAGAAGAGTTTCTTTAGTAAAGTAAAATATACTCTTCTCTTACATGTAGTTAATGACTTGTTTTGAGTTCAGCTCAAAGGCAGCAGATGTGAAGATTTGACCTTCCAAGACTTACAGTTTCTGGCAAAGGATTTCAAGGCAGTTTTAATGGAAAGCTGAGGGCAGTGAGCTGAGGAAAGCCTAGAAAGATCAGAAACAGTACACTTGCCATGGCAGTCGCTCACGCAGTCCCTGACACCCCCTGGCCCTCAAATACTCTGCTTGGTAGTGGGAGGGAACAGCGTTAAGAATGCAGGTAGCTGAGCAGGGCTGCAGGGCCAGCAGAGGGTATCTTAGGGTTTGGCAAAATGGGTAAGGCTTGGACATTTCTAATAACTGCAAGGAATGAGCCATCAGAGAAGAAGAGGTTGAAAATCTGAAAGCAGCAATAATTGAAGGAGGAAGTTCCAGACTAGGAAGGATAGGATAAAGAGCTCAGAGAAAGCTGCACAGAAATTCATTAAATGCAAATCCTTTTATAAGCAGTTTTTAATGCAATACTAGAGAGCTGACTGAAAAGCCCAAGGCTTAACCAATAGGGCCAATAATGAATGCAGATTTGGGGATATAGGTGCTCCTGGCATTACCTCAAGAAAAAGGAATTAAGGAAAGACAAGTTCACAATGATTGGTTAGGTATGTTATTTTTTCCCCATGGTATTCACCCCATGTCTTGAGATCCTAAAAGCTTCCTCAAATACTATCTGGTCAACCATCTCAAATGACAGATGTAATTAATCTCTTTTCCAGAAATCATGTTTTGCCTATAGGACAATATTACTCATTTTAATGATAACAAATCCTGATCCCTGCAGAGTCTAATTAACCCTTCAGGCACAGTTCCTTCTAGGTCAACTCAGAATAGTTGCCAACAATATTCCCACTGTCTCTTAAAGGGTTAAGGTTCCAGGACACCTCAGGGGAGGGTGACAGCCACCAATGCCCTCCCAGCACCACACGCATGCCCTTTCAACCAAAGCAAAGCCATTCTGCTAGTGTGTCCTTTAACACTCTTCTAAAAAACAAAAAAGATTCCCTACCAAGTAAAGTTTGAAAACCCTAGTATAAATTAATGTATATACCAAAAAGTTAGCATCCTTCTCCCCAAAATTACATATTCTCATTTTTGGTGGGAATATCTTTCAAACTCTTTGCTATTATCTTCCCCTCTCTAAATACAGAGCTGAATTATTTAGTCTAATTCTGCACCAGGAATGAGACACACTACACTAGTTTGCTAATTTGTTTCCTAGGGCTGGCATGACAAAGTACCATCATCATGGTGGCTTCATCAACAGAAATATGTTATTACCTCACAGTTCTGGAGGTAAGAAGTCCAAAATCAAGCAATCTACAGAGTTGGTGCTTCTAAGGGGTATGAGAGAACAATTTATTTCAGGCCCATCTCCCTCTATGTGAGTCTGTCTTCAAATTTCCCCTTTTTGTAAGGTCACCAGTCATACTGGATTCAGGTCCAGCCTAAAATAACCTCATTTTAACTTGGTAAAGACTCTGTCTTCAAATAAGGCCACACTCTGAGGTACTGGGGATTAGGAGGACAACATATAAATTTGGGGAAACACAATTCAAATCATCACACAAAACACCATTACTATTACTCAAGATAAGTCAGATTAATTTTTTAAGATAAGATAAGCTCCAAATTAACTTTGATTCCTGGTTCCCAATCATTCTTGGTTTCATACAAACTAACAGATAGAGATCCCAGGGACATGAAATGACTTTATTGTACCAGAACCACAAGAACCAGAACAGAAGATGTTTCAATAAACTCCAATCCCAAATTACCTAAACCAAAACTATGCTGCAGGTTCCACCCTCTGTAACTTACTCCATATGCCTTAATACAGTTATCAGGTTACCTGGATGCATGTTTACTTCCCATGGCATCCTTCCTCAGAAGTACAAAACGATCTTCTTGCAGAACCATGGCCAGAATAAACCACTCAGGCTGTTGCCTATATCACCACCAACATTTTCATGTTTAAGAAACAGCTTTGATTGAGACACTTTAGAAAGTGAGACAGAGAAAATTTTATTGCCAGAATTGCTCTTAAGGGGAGCTGGGCATGGTGGCTCACAGCTATAATCCCAGCACTTTGGGAGGGAGGCTGAAGCAGACGGATCACCTGAGGTCAGGAGTTGGAGATGAGGCTGGCCAACATGGTGAAACCCTGTCTCTAATAAAAATACAAAAAATTAGCCAGGTGTGGTGGTGAGCACTTGTAATCCCAGCTACTAGGGAGGCTGACGCAGGAGAATCACTTGAACCCAGGAGGCAGAGGTTGCAGTGAGCTGAGATTGCCCCAATGCACTCCAGTCTGGCAACAAGAGCAAAACTCCGCCAAAAAAAAAAAGCACAGGGGAAAAAAAAATACTTTGATAAACCTCTTGGGATGAAGGGAAAGATCTCCCAGGCACATTCACATTTTTAAATGGTAGTTATCAAGCTCTCTGCATCAAACAAAGAAGGGAAGGTGTCTAGTTTTTGGAAGAGAGAGAATGTGATTGAGGGGAAGAGAAAGAAGACAGAAAAGCCAGGAAAGGGGTGAACCAGGAGATGCAGAGAGACTGCAGATATCAAATGCAATTCCCGCATGAGCCCCAAATCTCCAGTAAACTAACAGATGAAAATGGAGGCCCTGGGAACTTGAAGGGAGATGAGCTTTGCACCAAAGTAGGGCAAAACCATGCAGCACCTTCCTGAGGAGCCAACTAAGGAGGAGAGCCTCAGCCGACATCCAGCTTGCAACTTCTTCCACTTAGTTATCTTGGAATGCACTTTAAAGCCAACCCATGCTGGACCCATCCTGACACAGCACAGCTCAATGTCAGCAGCTGTCCAGAGAGGATATCCATGGGACAAACAATCGGCAAATCTTTGCCTTCTAAATATTCTGGGCCACCACACTGCTATGCCTCACAGGACAGAACCAAACACTACGTCAACTCTATTAGTTATAAGCACATTCAGAGCTGCTTTTAGAAGAAAGTTTTGATCCCACCCGTAGGTCATCCTGCAGTCAGGAAACTTAATAACTGGAGAAAACAGATAAGGGTTTTAAATTTCCATAACAAAACACTGGCTTTCTAACTTAGCCCAGTACTTAACATACAGTAATCACTCGATAAGTGTACAACAGAAGCAATTCACGAAGCCTTTGACAATACAGATTCCCAAGCCCCATTCCAATCACACTGACTCAGAAATTCAGGGATAGGGTTGGGTATATATACTTAAGTGATTCTGTTGCAGTGGGTATGGGGATCTTATTTCAAAACCTTTGGGAATATGCTAGCTGTTACCTCTTCCTACTTCTCTACATTCTAATATTTAAGCAGTTCAAATAACCAGAATGTTACAGTTCTAGATGACTTCACTCTGATTCCTAAGCAACCAATGAGCACACAAGGGGTAGATGAAATTACAGAAATGTGTGAGATCCTGCAAGTACCGTACCTAGAATAAGAGCAGAACTAAGGACATATATCTAAATAACACCAGCATTTGAAGGGCATTGGTAGGATAAAAGAGAATTTTAGAAAGACAGAAAAGGCAATAGTGAGAGAGATACAAGGAGAACCAAGAAAGCCTGATAACAGACGGCTCCAACCAGAAATTAATCACATAGAGCAGGGGTCCCAACCCCAAGGCCACAGACCAATACCAGTCCGTCGCCTGTTAGGAACCAGGTGGCACAGCAGGAGGTGAGTGGCAGGCAAGCGAGCAACACCACCTGAGCTCTGCCTCCTGCCAGATCAGCAGCAGCATTAGATTCTCATAGGAGCACAAACCCTATTGTAAACTGCACATGCAAGAAATCAAGGTTAGATGCTCATTATGAAAATCTAATGCCTGATGATTTGAGGTGGGGCAGTTTAATCCCAAAACCATCCCCCGACCTCCAACCACTCCCGGTCCATGGAAACACCACAAAACCCATCCCTAGTACCAAAAATGTTGGGAACCACTGACATAGAAGAATGGCAAGTATCCATTGGAATTAGCATAGTAGCCAACATTAGCATATGAGGCTCCACCCCCATGACCTCATCTCCTAATACTATCACATTGTTTGGTAGGGCTTCAACAGATGAATTTTGTGGGGACATAAACATTCAGTCCATTACAGGTATGAAATAGAGTGCCAAACACTTCATTGTCTTTGATTGGAAAAAACAATAAAGATGGCCGAAATGGTAGCTAAATTTTCAGGTGGAAGTCAGAAGAAGTAGGGATCACCTTTATAGGCCCAGTTTTCTTGATGCAGCAGCAAACAAAGGCCATCTACTGAGAATGAGAGCTGGGGGTAGAGGAAAGGAGGTGAAGGAGAAGACTAAAGAGAGAGGTGAAAAACTGAAGGCATAGAGGCCCAGATGAGCCAGGACCCCTTGATGATGTCATGGCAACAGGCTGAACATTTGCGTGGTTTCCTCCAACAGGGTTGTGGAGCCCTAATAAGATAAATAAACAACAGTGATGAAAGAGTCGCAGATTGGGGAGTACAATTGTTCCAAGAGATAGCCAATCACAGACAACCCGCTGGCCCAACATCCTGTTCCCAAATACCGTACATAACCCCAGCAGCACAACCTTATCTGCACACCTTATGTGCATGGAGCCCCAGCAGCACGACCCTATGGACTTCCCTCCAGCCCCTGCCTCTTTGCAGACAGCCCCTTTTCTGCTATGCTGCCCATTGCACCCTTGCAATGTATCTTCCTACTTTCTCTAATAACTCTGCCTTTCTTTACCTACAACTGTCTTAGTAAATTCCTTTACCATCCATGAGGCCAGCCCCAGCTAGTTGCACCTGTGACAAGGGTTCAACGACTAAGGTCATGTGGAGAGGAAGCAGCAAACTGTAGCATCAATCCTGATTCCACATTTTGCAGAGTGGGGTGCTGGAGGAGACCAAGCGTAGCACAGTTAAAAATGCTGGTGAAAGAGTAGTTAGGATGATAAACCACATGGCCCCTACTAGGTTGGAAAAGAATAGAAGTCAAGAAGGGGGCTGACTAGCAGATGTGGAAAAGGAGAGGACTAAGGGATTAATGGTCTATATGAGGTCAGCAAGCAGGTCTGGGAGAAGTATAATTATGAGAGATCAGGAGGAAAGGAAGCACATGCGTTTACGGAATTAAAATTAAATAGCCACAGTCACTGGCTAAAATGTTCTAGCAGAATCTTGACCACCTGCCGTTACTTGTAAAACTTTTTCAAGAGTCAATTATAGGAAGGGGAACATCACACTCTGGGGACTGTTGTGGGGTAGGGGGAGTGGGGAGGGATAGCTTTAGGAGATATACCTAATGCTAAATGACGAGTTAATGGGTGCAGCACACCAGCATGGCACATGTATACATATGTAACTAACCTGCACATTGTGCACATGTACCCTAAAACTTAAAGTATAATAATAATAAAAAAATAAAAAATAAAAAAATGGAAGAAAAAAGAAATAAGAAATGTCATCATTTAGCATAACTTTTAATAAATTTATATATTTTATAACAAAAAAGAGTCAATTATAAATGACCCCATTAAATGATTATGCATATTGTATAAAAACTGTAATTAAAGACCCTACTCATCATGGTACTTATTTTTATTTTGTTTATACTGTGCCTTATGCTATGTAGGATTTTGGTGGCTTACAAAGATATGAAGATATAGTATGATAGAATAAATTTAAAATAAGTGAGACAGACGAGGTTAATAAAGTTAAATAAGTAAGATAGAACTGGAAATGAGGTTGGTTTATGAAGCTTAATGCACCTAAAGTTAAGATCAATGCAATAAATTCTTGTTAGAATTTTGTGCCAGTTAAAAGTTTTCTCCTAACACACCAGTATATTTTTCATTATTAAACAAGGAAAGTTATTTAACTCATTCCATTTTCATTTGGATCTTGACTCCAGGAAACTTGGAAGTAAATATTTCCCCCAGTTGTAATTACTACCTTAACCCAGGATATTCTATTAAAACCACCCCCCTGCTTCACTATTTATATCTCACTCTTTATCTTTGATTTAACGGCAATTTGGTGGTTTTAATTTCACGCCACCTCAGATACCCTTGCAGTATGTACAACATAAATTAGAAATAAATATTCAAAAATCTCATTCTTAATTGCAATCCAAATAGCCAGTGCTTTACTTTAAATCACTGGCTGCACACTAAATTTCAACATCTAAAAATCATTTCTCAAGTTATCATACTCTAATATCTTTTTTCTTACTTTTCTAGATACAGCAGAATGTCACACAGTAAAATATCCTCCAAGAGTATGGTATATCTCTATAGCTATCAGTCTATATTCAGGGGTGGCGTATCATTGGTAGCATACCATACCTTAAACGTCTAATAAGTCGTATTGCTTATCAGTACTTGATCTTACCTGCGCTGTCTACATGTATCATCAAAAGCAAGAATCTTTAATAGCAGGTAGCAAGCCACATGTGGTGAGGTCAGAAAACTGCTTAGTTAAACCAGGTCTTAATGTGGATGACTCCTTACATCAGCAAAATATTCTTTACCTGGTTATGCCCTCAGCATGTAACCCAGGCATGTCTGGCTCAAAAGTAGAAATCCAACACTAACCCCAAACACCATACCAAAGAATCATCCATCCTCGCTGCTGTTACATGTTTACAGGTTTTTCAGGTCAAAGTTGTTTACACACTCCATTACTGAATGGGAATAAAACAATATCTACTTATTTTTTTCCTTCATTTATCTTATTTTAGTTATTTATTTGATATCTATTCCATTAAATAAGAAAGGAGATGTGTCACAGTAAGGAAGCAGACTGGTGGGGCCCATCCACCAAAGAAGCATGGCTAAATGATTTTGTCCACAAGGACCTTTAATGCCTGGAATCAGTTCTCCCATTCAAGTCCCTGGTGGTCTCCTTGTCCTAAAGGATAGCCCTCCTGAGATGGTTAATAACTTCACACCTAGCATCGCTATTCCTGGCAATTCAGTAGAACAACAGGCTAGAAATTGCCATCAAGAGAGTAATAAGCCCCAGTTCTAAAAACTATTGAGGAAAGCTCCTGAACATTTTACTTTCTCTTCTTTTTAATATCTGGGATAATTCAGTCCCCATATGAAAAAATATGAGCGCTAAAATGCATGATCTTCAACAGGCTTAACCCTGATGCCACTGGTCAAACCTCCTAAACTGCCCATGCATACGATTAACATTCCAATAAGCTCTGCATTTTTAATTTTCTGTAACAACCAGGTGGTCCTTTTCTATAATACTTCTAAGAGGATTCTTAACTGTAGTATTGCAAACCCTCAGCAAAGTAGCTTTTCTGGAAGAAGCTTCAAAAGGATTTTTGCATCCCATAAATCCTTTACCTGCATCCTCCACTCATTGTGAAAATTAAGGTATAGATGAGTTATAAAGGCAATCGTAGCTGGAAAAGGTTTACCCTTTTCACAAAAGATATCATGCCAAAACTCCGCTGAGAATAAACCCTAGTTTATTCCAGGCTGCTTTAAGGGAAGAGAATTCATATCTACTCTGGTCATATTCAACGCCAGACTTCTGGGAATGGTTTTCCTCAGTAATGGAAACCAGTTGAGAAAATTCTTAACATTTGTGTTGCTCTCTAAGAGTGACAGAAAGGTCTCATGAGTTGACATAAGACAAAGGAAATCAAACTAACCAGTATAAAGAACCTGAGCATTGGCTCCAACTCGCCTTTTCCAAAAGCTTTTCTGATACCTCAACCAAAGAAACCCACCCATTCATAATACCATTTGTCCAATCCTCACTTGAGCACTGAATTTAAAACTCTATTTAATCTGGATACTTTTTACTCATCAGTTGATGGTAAGAAAGGAAATCTATTGCACTTGAATAATATGTATTTCCTCCATTATTTAAGAATACTCCATTCTTCTAAAAAAATATAAGCAAAACAAACGGCATGGATAAAACTCAAGGATTGTTAAGCATTGGTAATAAGTTAACAGCTTAAGAGAAGAGGCAAAATTCATAGGGAATATTAAGTAGAGATAGCAAGTAGCTTGTGAAACATGGTGACATCACAATGTGTTAAATATGGATAGTAAGTTCAACTTATAAGGCATGTTGAAGACAGAATAGATGGGGTATATAATGGAATAAATAAGAGCATTGCTCAATGACTGGAGGTTTGAAAAGACCAAGTCCTAGGGTAAAACTATGCCAGTCTGGGCTGACAACTATCCTTAAATCAGCTATCTAACCCAGTTCAATTCTGCCCCTACATGCTCTCTGCCAAAAAAAATACAGACAAAACCCAAAGCTATTTGGCAATCTAACTGGCACACTAAAGCTGTTAGTAGGTGTGCTTGTCCTTGTATTTCTCGGATAGAGCAGGTCTGTCCCCCAGAAGCCTTCTATTTGTTTGTTAGGGCCCCTTTCCTCAAACCTCATTCTCATCCTCATAACCACAGCCCCAGTTCGAAACGCTGATGTAGCAAAGAGACAGATATATGAACATTGTATAACCCAGCATTCAGGTTGTCTAGTCACCCCACTTGTATACTATCCTAAGTGCATTAACCTATTGTATCTTCTCCCCCTTGATTTTCATTATATGTTTTAAATTGACTTAATAAAGCATGTGATTAAAGTGTCTTAATTTTGTGTGTGTCTTTCTGTTCAGTGATCTCTGGTAGTGTATTCGAAAGCTAACATTGCATCAGTGTAATTTCCTATACAACAATGTGAGCAGAGAAATATATTAGGCTAAACAGAAAATACATGTATTTAGTTAGGGGGTTTGCAAAAGTATAATCATGAGATTATGTTAATTAAAATATGAGTACAATATTCTATAATAATAGATTTAGAAGAACATGTCTTTGTATGTTGTCTTGTGACAACTGAAGATAACAGAATCAAAGCCATAGCTGGAAAGAAGTAAATATATATAGCTAAGCATGCAGGCTTTTGAGTCAGAACTCCTGATATCAAATCCTGGTTCCACTACTTTCTATCTTTGTGACTTTGGGCAAATTACTTCTCCGTGCCTCAATTTACTCAGCTGTAAAATAGCAAATAATAATAATAGTAATAATAATAATAATAATAATAATACCTGAAAGGGTTATTTTGATGATTAAAGGAAGTACTAGCATGTAAATCTCTTGCATTAGCCAGCTCAGAGGAATTGCGTCTAAATTCTTAGCTATTGAAAAAGTAAGAGTAAATGAGTATGACCAAAGGGAATAAAGTGTTTTGGGGCAATGGGTTTCACAAACGTTACTCCTCATTGCCATGGTAATGATAACCCTTTTCTCATGTTAATGCCAGTATATGAGTAAAAATTACAGTATATAAAGCAATAATTAGTAACCAACATGGAGTAACATGTAATATTGTGAGTTTCTCTTCAAGATTGGGATGAATTTCATGGAGTCATTGGGTGGTAAATGAGAAATGATTCAGGGAGTCCCCCAGCTGGAAAACTCTGGGAGCCCAGGACCAGCTGCTCCTCCAAATGGAGTCACCATAGCCAATAAAAATAAACCAAGATTTCACGATCTGTAATGTCCTACTTATAACCACTGCTACCAGGAAGAAACCATGGACTGGAGGAGAGTTGGCCTCACTCCTATGGTTGCTGTTATGAACTGGTTCGGGCTATTAGCAATTGTGGCCATCTACTGCTTCATTTGTTTTCTCCATTGTTTGATAGCATCAAAGAAGTTCCACCTGCCCAAAGGGAAGGAGGGTGCCCACAAGATGTCAACGTATGTTGTAAATGAATAATAGCAATAAGTGTATGCCTCTTCTGCAGATAGCGCTAGTCCACACCTCTCAGGTGACCCTCATCTCTAATCATTCTAGCCTTACTCTACCTTTGCTTGGCTCCTTAATGAGCCTCTAATAAACTTCACCAAGAAACCCATAAAACCTACTTGGTCGAATATAGCGCAATTCAGCTAAATTAAATATATCTTAATTCAAAGTATTAGTAAATCAGTAACTCAGAAATTACATACTTTTAAAACCAGAAAGGGAAAGGAAGGCATTTCTAAAACCTTAGGATGGATGGAAATACACTTATAAATCACTTAAAATATTTTTCAGATAGGTATGCAAATAAACTTAAGTCCTCTGTGACCCATTCTAACAGTTTCTGTTTTAGGTCTCGGACTTGGAAATGAAACCTTTGTGCCCAAGTTTAATTAGGCACTTTTCCTATCCAGCCCAGGCCAGGCCCTATGGCTATTCATCACTTCAGAACCCGCTATATTCATCCCAAACTTTATCCAGTCTCCAGATGAGACTGACCTGTAATGACCTAATATACAACGTTCCACTGCTTTTGTAATACATGTCCTTTAGATATGTCAGCCTCCTCAATTTTATACATTTTAACTGATTTGTCACTGTTTGGCTTCTTGTATGTCAGAGCGGATAACGGTTCTGCCAAGCTCCATACACAGAAATTTACACTGAAAAACAAAAGTTTATAATTGTGTTTTTTATTAGGTGACATAGATGCCTAAATCACAGCAGAAAAAACCAAGTAAAATACATTGTTCTTCAAAAAAAATTCATAGATTTGTATCTCCTTATAAAATTTGAATAATTCAGGAAAATATAATAAAGGAAATAAAGTTCAATATGCTACTAATTAGAAAAAAAACTTGTTTTAACTCTATGATGTATAGGAAATAAATTGAAGGAATATACGTATATACATTTAGGTATTTTTTAGATAATAGGACAGAGCATATAGAATGTCTTATAACCTGCTCTTCAGTTATTAATATATTGTAAGCAGTTTTTCTTGCCTTAAAATAGTCAAGAACATGCTTTAAATTACTGCAAAAGCTGCACAGTCCCTTTATTAGTGTCCTAGGATTGCCTAGTACTGTTAATACAAACTGGGTAGCTTAAAACCACAGAAATATATAGTCTACCAGTTCTAGAAACCAGGAATCTGAAACCAGGGCCCCAGCCCCTCTGCAACCTGCAGGGAACCCTTCCTTGCCTCTTCCTAGCTTCTGGGGCTGCCAGGAATCTTTGCCATTTCTTGGCTTATAGCTGCATAACTCCAACCTCTGCCTTCCCTCTCACAGGGCATTCTTCCTGTGTCTCTCTCTTCTTAGAAGGACGCCAGTTATATTGAATTAGGGGCCTGCCCTAATCTAATATGATCTATTCTTAACTAAATTACATCTGCAACCATCTTATTTCCAAATAAGGTCACATTCTGAAGTACTAGGGGTTAGAACTTCAACTGATTTTCTGGAAGAGGGGACACAATTCCATCCTGAATAATCCCCTAGGGTAGAGCACAGTTTCCTTTTTTTTTTTTTCCTATTATATTTAATGCTGCAATAGTCTGTGAAAGTAATTTTAATCGTAAGGCAATATTTTAGGACTCATTAGTCCTCACACAACAACCCTATCTCCACTGTACAGAGTGAAAACTGGGGGAGCAGAAATGTATTAAATAACTGCCCAAGGACACTCAGATAATAGACAGAGGAGCCTCCAGGCCCTCTGGCTCACAGTCTTCAAGATTAATTATACTCTACAGTAGGAAGTGGGATAGATCCGATGCAAATTTCACTTAATCAGGAGGTCAAAATGATTGATCACTGAGCAATCAGGCATTTTTTATTTATCTCAATCCTTAAGTAGTTCAGACCATCTTAAAATCTATTATCCGCCCAAATTTGTCCTGAGTCTCAATTTTGCTATCCTGAACTCTAATAATAAAACAATATTTAGCATCAAATCTTACTTCATAATTTACAAAGTAAATCAATATCTATTATTAAATTATACTTAATAAAGAGATACTATAATCATCAGTGTACTTAGAAAGCATTTGAGTAAAACATCACTCTGTTTTTTCCAATTTAAAAAAATCATCTCCTGTTATTTTAAATTCCCTTAAATGGCTTTCATACTCTGCATTAAATTAATTGAAATTATTTAATGTTATTTATACTATTTATGAGATTAATTTATATTTTATATGTATATGAAGCACTAGAGACTACAGATTTATCCTATATGCTGTAATTGTGCTAAACTCTTATTACTATAAAGGTTTTAAGTTGATTTGTTAGGCTTTCTAAACACACAGTCATTTGCATGCATTTAGTAACATAAGCTATTCATCTTGTCCTTTATATTTTTTCCACTCATAATTCTCCAGCAAATATCTTTAATGTGGCCGGGCGCGGTGGCTCACGCCTGTAATCCCAGCACTTTGGGAGGCCGAGGCGGGTGGATCATGAGGTCAGGAGATCAAGACCATCCTGGCTAACAAGGTGAAACCCCGTCTCTACTAAAAATACAAAAAATTAGCCGGGCGCGGTGGCGGGCGCCTGTAGTCCCAGCTACTCGGGAGGCTGAGGCAGGAGAATGGCGTGAACCCGGGAAGCGGAGCTTGCAGTGAGCCGAGATTGCGCCACTGCAGTCCGCAGTCCGGCCTGGGCGACAGAGCGAGACTCCGTCTCAAAAAAAAAAAAAAAAAAAAAAAAAAAAAAAAATATATATATATATATATATATATATATATATATATATATATATCTTTAATGTTCTTAATTAGTATTGATAGAACACATTTCAACATTTTTCCTATCTCTCCTTTCACAAGTTCTTCTTTTCCAAATCAGAGGAAGTTTCTACTTCCTTCATATGGTTTCATGGAAATTGTCCATCATTTTCTTTTGGCATCTGTATCAGTTTGCTAGGGTTGCCATTACAAAGCACTACAAACTTGGTAGCTTAAGCAACAGAAATTTAATCTCCCACAGTTCTAGAGGCTGGAAGTCCAAGATCAAAATGTTGGCATGACTGGTTTCATGCTGTAGCCTTCCTTTTTGGCTTGTAGATGGCGACTTTATCTCTGTCTTCACATGATCTTCCCTCTGCGTGTGTCTGTATCCTAATCTCTACTTCTTATAAGGACACCAGTCATATCGAATTAGGACCCACCCCAATGACCTCATTTAGCCTTACTTATTTTTTCAAAGGTTCTACCTCCAAATAAAGTCACATTCTGGCTGGGCGTGGTGGCTCACACTTGTAATCCCAGAGTTTTTGGAGGCCAATGTGGGTGGATCACTTGAGGTCAGGAGTTTGAGACCAGCCTGGCCAACATAGTAAAACCCCATCTCTACTTAAAAAATACAAAAATTAGCTGGGCGTGGTGGTACACACCTGTAATCCCAGCTACTCAGGAGGCTGAGGCAGTTGAATTGTTTGAACCCAGGAGGAGGAGGCTACAGTGAGCCGAGATCAGGCCACCGCACTCCAGCCTGGGTGACAGAGGGAGACTCCATCTCGAAAAAAAAAAAAAAGTCACATTCTAAGGTACACGTGAGTGAGGACTTCAACCATAAATTTGGGGGCAGGAGACATGATTCAGCCCATAACAATGTCCCTGTTAGGCACAGATTTATCTCAATCCATTTTCTAGATTCATGCAGTCTATTACATATTTTTAATTCAATCACTTAACATTATAGTTTACAACTAACATAAAGCTTCACTTCAGTGCTCTAAGCCTACCCCTCCTTGCCTGCCTTATTTTTTGGCATTTCTGCAGCATTTCCATGTGCTGCAGTCATTCATCATCACTGCATATTTTCATAGATATTATGTTTTCTTTTCTATCTTCTCCAGTGAATATCATCATTCAATCTTATCTCTTTCTGATTCTTGATATTTGTTTTCCACCTCAACCAATGTAAATGCCTGGTCCTGAAAATGTGTTCTTCCTCTTTGGTGTTAAAATACTTTCGCAATTACAACTGGTTTTCTTTATTTTAAATGTGCAATTATTGTTTTTAAAGGTTATTTTCCCTTTGTGATACTTATTATGATTTTTGTTATTCTTCTGCTTTATTTTGATGTGTTTAGACCATAGGGGGCATCTTACAATGTTAATCTTGTTAGTGTTTTCCTGAAAGTTCTTCTCTTATGAAATATTCAGACCAAAATATTCTCTTTCATGCTACAGAAATAAGGACTCCTAGGACTCCATTCAAAATAACTCTCAAACCATTTAAGGAAGTACAAAGCAAGGAGAGTGAAAGGGAAGAGAATTAAATTACTTATACCAGAAATTTTATTTCACAATCTTAAATGTGCAATCCTAAAAACTAGGCTAAATTATTTATCTCATTTTACAGATGAGTAAATTGGAGATCACAGGGCTTAGTGACTTTCTGAAGTTTATATATGTAGTCAATGATAAAGCTCAACATCAAAATGAATGTGTATCCTCCAAAACCCCAGCTTTTCCCCTTACTTCATATAAATGTTCATCTCTCCTTAAGCATATTTTTACCTACTTCGAGTTTCCCTGAGCCTCTCTGAATAAGTGGAATGGCAAGAACACAAGTCAGGTGCCAACATAATCACAACAAAACAGTGGTTTGGCTCCATGCACCTCTCTCTCTAGTCCTCCTCTCTCATCAACAATTTAAAATAGCAATGTTCAGGCATTCATTGGAAATTTACTGCAATTTATCACTTGCTATAATGAGTGAACTATCAGGTATCTGAAAGTTCAGTTCAATAGTGCATACTGAGCACCTTCTGCATGCCAGACACCACCCTGATTGCTTAGAATTCATGGATGAATAATACGCTTATCTGCTGCTGAAACCTCATGGTTTGGGAATGGAGTGGGGATGGGAGATTTCACTGCACGTTAAACGCATTTTGGGGGTGTCTGCCATGCTGTTGTTTCTTTCTCAAAGAGCCTGCCTCAGGGAAAATCTCTGCTGATTAGGGGAGACCACATGTGTACATCATCACCAGCATATTCCCTCCTGCCACTCCCACCCCACAGTTGGGTCAGGGCAGACACCTGACTATAGCTGATTGGCAATCCATGGGACCTCACAAAAAGGTGAGGTGGGCCAGTCAGATTTCTCTGCCAAAAATATATAATCAGGCCTATGAGTAGCAATTCAGGTAGTAGCAGTGTAAAAGAAGCCAGTAAGTGAACAGACTATGCACTCGAGTCGTTGAAGGAGAGCTAATTCCTGCGGCCGAGTTCCCGGAAGCTGACCAGGTTCTTATGACTCTTCCTGTCACCTGTTGTTCTATTGTCTTGTTTTCCAGAGATGCTGCTGTGTTGCCCCAGCATCCTTAAAAATAAACACCACTTTTAAAAGAAGACATTTATGCGGCCAATAAATATATGAATAAAAGCTCAACATCACTGATCATTAGAGGAATGCAAATCAAAACCACAATGAGATACCATCTCATGCCAGTCAGAGAATGGTGATTATTAAAAAGTCAAGAAACAATTGATGCTGGCGAGGATGTGGAGAAACAGGAAAACTTTTACACTGTTGGTGGGAATGTAAATTAGTTCAACCGTTGTGGAAGACAGTATGGCGATTCCTCAAGGATCCAGAACCAGAAATACCATTTGACCCAACAATCCCATTATGGGGTATATACCCAAAGGAATATAAATCATTCTACTATAAAGATACTTGCATGTGTATGTTCACTGCAGCACTATTTACAATAGCAAAGTCATGGAACCAACCCGAATGCCCAATGATAGACTGGATAAAGAAAATGTGACACATATACACCATGGAATACTATGCAGCCACAAAAAGGAATGAGATCATGCCCTTTGCAGGGACACAGATGAAGCTGGAAGCCATCATCCTCAGCAAACTAACACAGGAAAAGAAAACCAAACACCGCATGTTCTCACTCATAAGTGGGAGTTGAACAATGAAAGCCCTGGACACAGGGTGGGGAACAACACATACCAGGGCCTGTTGGGGGATGGGGTGTGAGGGGAGGAAACTTAGAGAATGGGTCAATAGGTGCAGCAAACCACCATGGTACACGTACACCTATGTAACAAACCTGTACATTCTGTACGTGTATCCCGAAACTTAAAGTAAAACAAACAAATAAAAACACCACTTTTAATATGGCCTAGTTAGATTGATTTCTGCCACTTGGAAGTATGTCAGCTCCAACTAATGCAAAAATGTAATATAATGTGACAACAGACATTATCAACAGGGTTCCATGTCTGTGCCAAGAAAAAGTCCCTGACCCCTTCAACAGAATGACCCCTTAACCATGTCCTGTAAAACTAGTAGCAAGCACACAGAAATGGAGGCAGGAACATGGGGCCAAAGGTCAGCACAAGGTCAAGGAAGAACAATTCCTATGGTTACCTAAACTTGGACTAACTATTAAACCCAGTAATCAAAAAGTCACACCTCTAGAAATTCAGTCAAAAACTGATTGCCTACCATGACCCAGAATGTTAATACAAACAGGTAGAGTCCTTGCACTAAAGAAGTCATGGTCCAGTGTCAATAGCTTCGCTCCCAACACAAAGACTTATTTATGAGAAGTCAATGTCTATTTACTAGGCCTGGGGGCATGGTGTTTTGTGACAAGAGCAGTGTTTTATTTATTTGGGGGTTTTTACACCCATCTATATCTTATGAAAAGCAACAGTATACTAATAGCTAATACTGGCACAGGGCCTTATATACACCAGACACTTTTCTAAGCACTTTGCAAACACTAGCTCATGTAATCCTCAAAACTCTATAAGGTAGGCCCTATTATTATCCCTGTTTCGTAGATGAGCAAACAGAGGCACAAAAAATGGTAAGTTACCTTCCCCAGTCACACAGCTGGTAAGTAGCAGAACTGGGATACAAATCCACAATCTTAACCACTACTTCATGCTGCTTTTAATAGTAATAAAGAAAAGAAAGGGCCAGGAACGGTGGGTCATCCCTGTAATCACAGTACTTTAGGAGGCCAAGGGAGAAGGATTACTTGAGGCCAGGAGTTTGAGACCATCCTGGGCAACACAGCGATATCCCATCGCATCAAAAAATGAAAAAATTAGCCAGGCACGGTGACAACCTTGTAGCCCAAGCTACTCAGGTGACTGAGGCAGGAGGATCACTTGGGCCCAGGAGTTTGAGGCTGCAGTGAGCTATGATCACATAATTGCAGTCCAGCCTGGGTGACAGAGACTGATCCTGTCACTAGAAAAGAAAAAAAAAAGAATTATTATATTAATAAAGAAAATAGAAAAGAAATTAAAATTACCCACATTTTCACAACTTTTTTCATTTTATTATGTTTCTTTGTAGAACCTGACCATAAGTATAGAAAGCTGATCACTAAATAGATACTATTTTGTGTCTTCTTTAATTTAACAGTGCCTCAAACATATCCTAATACGCGGCTCTTCATAATTATCATTTTAATGGGGGCATAATATTACATCAATTTGTTGTACCATAGTTTAACCATTCCCCTACTATCCAAATTCCTAGTTGTTCCACTTTTCCAACTTTTTGCCATTATAAATAATGGTAAAATGAATATATTAGTGCATATACTTTCTGTCTTTTCTTCTCTTGAATTATTTCCTTAGGATAAATTTCCAGAGGTGAGATTCCTGGTACAAACATCCATGGGCAGGTTTTTGATTCCTAATATATAGTCAGACTCCTTTCCAAAAACCAGCAATGGAAGGTTCCAAATTTACAAATGAACCCATTTCACCATAATTTCATGAGAACCGAATATTATATCTATGCTTTTTAATGTTTACTCATTTAGTAAGTGTAAGCTATGTTATTTTCTTAATTTATATTTTACTTGCATTGCTTACAGATGAGGTTAATATTTTTCTAGTTATTTATTTACTAAGGTTCTTAATGAAACAACTGTACATAAGCTTTGCCCAATTATCTATTAAGAATGTAATAATGTTTTCCACCAGTTTGAATGCCTTTAAGAAAGTCAATAATCCTTTCCTGTCATACTCTGTCAATCTGTTAATGGGGGGCAGGGGTGTGCTTTCCAAACTTCTAGAAAACAAGTCACTGAGCTCCTGCTCAGAGATACCTGGCCTCAGCTCTGAGTCTGGCTTCTCCCCATAGATAGTCTGTGACCTTGAGGAGGCTAAGTTTGGCTCAAGAACAGGAGAGCTTGATTATTGTAAACACCTCCTTAAATTTAAGTGAATCCGTGTTTGTGTGACTCATCCTTGGATGGTGATTTAAGCCCTGAGCATAAACAGGCTTGAGGTCTAGCACCACCTGATCTCCTCGGATCTGGAGGAACACCACACACACCATGAGGGCAGTGCCCATTGCAGCAGCCCTACACCCTTACCAAACTAGAAGTCCCCAAGACAGAAGAGAGCTGTTGGAATTCACTACATCTGCTCCTGCTCTATGTGACCTCCCCACTCCAATAAAACCCTGCATCCCTGACTAAATAAACTAGGAATATCATCTAATCTTACCATGGAATGTGTGTCTGTGGTATTCCTGCCAACACAAACCCACAGATACCCTCCACCAGTCCTCTTCTTCTTCATTTTATTTAAGTTATGTTGTCTTCACTATACATGTTTCACTGTTTGTTTGTTTGTTGAAACAGAGTCTTGTTCTGTCCCCCAGGCTGGATGCAGTGGTGTGATCTCAGCTCACTGCAACCTCCAACTCATGGGATCAAGTGATCCTTCTGCCTCAGCCTCCGGAGTAGCTGGGACCACAGGTGTACACCACCAGCCGGGCATATATATATATATATATATATATATATATATATATATATATATTTATTTATTTTAGAGATGGGGTTTTATCATGTTGCCCAACCTGGTCTCAAACTCCTGGATTCAAGCATTCCACCCGCCTCAGTCTCCCAAAGTGCTGGGATTACAGGTGTGGGCCACCACATCTGACCTGTTTCACCATTTAAATATAGATAAATCTTTCATGTTTTCCCTTGTGCTTCCTTTTATCCCTTAACACACTAGAAAGATTCATTCTTTCCAAGGAACATAAATATGCCCAATTTTACATTATCCCAAAGCTTATATTATTTTCTTTAACTATTAAATTCATCTGGGATGCAGGTTGTTACATAATTATGCAATACAGATCTAAAAGAGTTTGCTGTGTTTCTAAATATTGTGGGAAACTGGTTATTAAATGAGCATTCTTTTCCCTACCATTCTGTAAGGACTACTATATCACACATTCAACTCATAAATATAATTGTATCTATTTCTGGGGCTTTCTGTCCTATTTATGTATACTTCGAGCTATGCATCCAGAGATGTAGTTTTAATTTTGTTTCCAACATGGTTTATATCTGGGACTAACTCTACCTCATCACTTTTCTTCTTCAGGAATACTTAGGGTATCCTAACTTTTTTCAAACCATTTTAGAATGATTTTGTCAAAAAAGGACTAGTAATTTCTTTTCTTAAATTTATAAATTGTAAATTTTTATAATATGGTTTCTTCCATTCAGAAAACATTTGTCTATTCATTCAAGCCTCAATTTATCTCCAATGAAATCTGCAGTTCTCTTTATGTAGGTCACAGTCATCCTTAACGAAGCTTATTCCCTTATATTTTATATCTTTGTCACTACAGTGAATGAGATATTTTCATTATATTGTCTAGTTGCTTATTGCTGATATACCAAAATCTCTGTTTCATAGAGTGGATGTGAAAAACAGTCTTTTGAAGAATATTCCTGTGTCTTCTGCAAAACTATTGTGGAAACACGGTTCAGGATGTCATCCCATGTCCCTTTAAGCAAAAAATTCCTTCCAGAGGTCAGAAAAAAAGGAATTTTTTTTTCTGAGACAAACTTAACCCAATGACAAGGGCTCTCTGTTTTATTTATTTGCCTTAGCAGCCAAGATATTAAAAGCTTAAGTTCCTGTTTAACTGCAAAAATGAATTATACCTAGATGTCTGGCACACACATTATTCTGTTCCTTTTCATTGGTTTTAGTTTTACTCATATTTTTAATTGTCCTATTTTAATTCTGCAAGCCACCTCAAATTGTCTTTGGAAGTAGGCAGTTAGCCTTAGAAGGTTATGTGCCTTAATATGCACATTCAGAAGTAATTAAGCTATATGATAATTGAATAGTATTGTTCATCTGTTCTTAATTATATATGCTAAAAATGGAGTAATCAACCTTTTTCCTTTAGGACACATTGTAAATCTACCCCCTTTGTATCTCACTCAAGAAAGCATTACAGAACATGGGAGTGATCCTGCACAGTCAACTAGAATTTTAATTTTATTTTTTAAAATAAGCATTTTTCATAAACCATGGTACTTCTAATATTTTTAATAATAAATCACCTATGGTATATCTTTATACTAGTCAATGTGTAGCAAACAGCATGTCATCAAGACACATCAGGACACAAATGGGGGAAGAATGGTGAGAAAATGATCTGGGAAAAGTTCCTTGGAAAGGTAAGTAAGTTGTGCACAGTGCCTGAATTACTGCTTCTGAAGTCTTCACCACACCCCTCAAGGAAAATTAACCACTCTTTATTCTGAATTCTGATGACCCTTTATAATTCAACCATTTCCTCCAAAAAGGTTGATACAGTTTGGATATTTGTCCCCTCCAAATCTCATGTTGAAATGTGATCCCCGGCCAGGCGTGGTGGCTCACGCCTGTAATCCCAACACTTTGGGAGGCCGAGGCGGGGGGATCAGGAGGTCAGGAGATTGAGGCCATGGTGAAACCCCATCTCTACTAAAAATACAAAAAATTAGCCGGGCATGGTGGTGGGCACCTCTAGTCCCAGCTACTCAGGAGGCTGAGGCAGGAGAATGGTGTGAACCTGGGAGGCGGAGCTTGCAGTGAGCCAAGATGGTGCCACTGCACTCCAGCCTGGGCGACAGAGTGAGACACCGTCTCAAAAAAAAAAAACACACACACACAAATTAAAAAAGAAAAGAAATGTGATCCCCTATGTTCAAGGTGAGGCCTGGAGGGGGGTGTTTGGGTCATGGGGGTGGGTCCCTCATGAAGGGCTTGGTGTCCTCCACATGATCACAAGTGAGTCTCACTCTGTTAGTTTACAAGAGAGCTGGTTGTTTAAAGGAGCTTGGCACCTCCTCCTCTTTCTCTTGCTCCCTCTCTTGCCATGTGATGTGCCTGCTCCTCCTTTGCCTTCTTCCATAATTGTAAGCTTCCTGAGGCCTCACCAGAAGCCAAGCAGAAGCTAGTGCCATGCTTATATAGCCAGCAGAACTGTGAGCCAAATAAACTTCTCTTCTTTAAAATTACCCAGCCTCACGTATTCCTTTATAGCAACACAAAATGGACTAATTCAGAAGCCTCTCCCACTCTGGCTATGCTCTGCCTCTGTGCTTTGCAGCTCTGTGCCCACACCACAGCACATCCCTCACTGCATACTGGTGGCTGCCCACTGTAATTTCATTGAGAAAAAAGAAAATATCTGATTCACCTTTTTATTTCCAATGCCCAGCCCAGTACCCGGCACTTCCAACCTGCTCACATCATAACTTAGATAGTGGTTCACATTGCCCAGGACATGCCATATTACTGAACACTAGATGTAAGGACTTAATAAACAACTGACTGAGGTGCATAGCTCACCATCTGCACCCTCCTATCCCAGCTATCTTGGGCCACTTTTGGATCTTCATTTCTAGGCCTTTCCTTCATCCCCTTTGACTTCCCTGATACCTCAAAGTCACTAACACCAGTGCAACTTATTTTACTTTCTCTAACACTTCTCCAGAACAGAACAAACAGATATCAGATTCTGATAAATGTAAGTAGCTTTCTAAATGTGGAGAGAATCAAGCTTTAGACAAAACACAGGCCAATCTGTGAATGAGTTCCCTTGCACACATAAGCAATGCATAACCTTTTGGAAACTGTAATAATTATCCTCTAATGCATCCTTCTTCCAGCCCATCTCATCAAAACCACAAGTGGTTTCAAATAGTCTAACCCATTTTTATGAACGTGAGTTGCCTCCTCAAGAAACCTCTATTTCCCAGAGACCTATCCACTCACACACTGACATACGATCTGCTGAGTCACAGTTGGTTTCCAGACACTAGGGCCCAGCTCACATCCAATAGTCAGACTCTATTCTCTGTGAGGTCATCTGTCTACCGGAAAATCTCATGTATCGGGCAATGCTTGTGACAAACCTGTCCCTCACCAAAGATTAAAATGTAAAAATGCCTTTAGATAGCCAACTTTACAAATACTGTTCATGCTTCTGCTTTCTCCCCCATAAAGAATGAATGCTGAACAATTTTTAACCATTTCTTGCTAACTATGATAGAGTTAAACATAAACATAGTTACAATATAAAGATCCAGATGATAGAGGGATAGAGATAGAGATAGAGATAGAGATAGAGATAGAGATAGAGATAGGAGTGGTTGTCACAGATTTAACCTTTCATGGAATGCTGCCCTGTGACCTCCTTACTGTCCTGGAGTTCCCATGCACCTGATGGGATACTGAAGGATGAGGAGCTTTTTACCCTTCTCTACAGAGCAGGATTCAGGTTCTTCCAATGCTTTCTTTAACTTCCTGTGGCTACTTCTTTTCTATCTTTCCTATTTTTTATTTTCTGCTCTCTTCTCTGTCCTTTACCTCTTTCCTTCCTATCGGGGAACCAGCCCCCAATATTTTAACATGGGTTCTTTTCTATTTTCCCTAAGTGTCGGCTGGTCTGAGAATAAAGGGAAAGAGTACAAAAGAGAGAAATTTTAAAGCTGGGTGTCCGGGGAAGACATCACATGTTGGCAGGTTCCATGATGCCCCCGAGCCACAAAACCAGCAAGTTTTTATTAGTGATTTTCAAAGGGGAGGGAGTGTACGAATAAAGTGTGGGTCACAGAGATCACATGCTTCAAGGGCAATAAAATATCACAAGGCAAATGGGCAGGGCAAGGTCACAAGGCCAGGGCAAAACTAGAATTGCTGATGAAGTTTCATGTCCCACTGTGCACGCATCGTCACTGATAAACATCTTAACAGAGTTCAAGAGCAGAAAACCGGTCTGACTAGAATTCGCCAGGCTGGAATTTCCTAATCCTAGCAAGCCTGGGGGCGCTACAGGAGACTAGGGTGTGTTTCATCCCTATCTACAACTGCATAAGGCAGACACTCCCAGAGCAGCCATTTTTGAGGCCTCCCCCTGGGAATGCATTCTTTTTCCAGGACTGTTAATTATTAATATTCCTTACTAGGGAAATAATTCAGCGATATTTCTCTTACCCGTTTTCGGCAATAAGAGAAATATGAGTCTGTCCTGCCCGGCTCCCAGGCAGTCAGACCTAATGGTTACCTCCCTTGTTCCCTGAACATTGCTGTTATCCTGTTCTTTTTTCAAGGTGCCCAGATTTCATATTGTTCAAATACACATGCTTTACGAACAATTTGTGCAGTTAATGCAATCATCACAGGGTCCTGAGGCAACATATATC
Source organism: Homo sapiens (assembly GCF_000001405.40). NCBI lineage: Eukaryota > Metazoa > Chordata > Mammalia > Primates > Hominidae > Homo > Homo sapiens. Next base: position 96,107,893 of record NC_000013.11, on the reverse strand, counting down.
CTCAGCTTACGAAGATGATGGGATTAAGAGATTAAATTAAAGACAGGCATAGGAAATTATAAGAGTATTGATTGGGGAAGTGATAAATGTCCACAAAATCTTCATAATTTATGTTCAGAAACCGCAGTAAAGACAGGCGTAAGAAATTATAAATGTATTAATTTGGGGAACTAATAAATGTCCATGAAATCTTCACAATTTATGTTCTTCTGCCATGGCTTCAGCCAGTCCCTCTATTTGGGGTCCCTGACTTCCTGCAACACTTCCCACAGTCCTGCAATACTGAACAGCTGAGAAGTCTGACTTGCAGAGGAAAGAATAATTATATTCCCACAGTCTTCTGGAGCACATGTCATATCATTGTCACCCTTCACCCCTGGGGCTAGCACTGTGGACCTCCTGACCTACAGCACCAGGAGGTCCAACTCTACATTCCTCTCCAACTCTACTTTTATCATCATTTTTGACATCAATATTCTCATGGATAACCCATCCAACACCTTGTCCCGACCATTCTTTCACCTTCTTAGCACCAATGATCACTCATTGCCCCATCTTAGGCAGCCATTTACAGAGACCATACAAGGAATAGTCTCCACTCCAGCATCTCAATTTCAAATGCCCTTTTCTTTGACCATTATCTCCTACAGTCCAGCACACTTACACCAACTCTCCAGCACTCCTACTCCTACAACCCCCATACTATCATCAACCTTAACATATAATATTGACCCTACCACTTTTCTTATTGTGTATCACCCAACCTCATATCCTTGCTTATATCCCAACAAATGACAAGATCTGGCACTAAAATGTTCCCTTGCAAATATCCATAACTCCCTTGCTACTCACTGGGTAAAACTCCAGTGCTGGTTAAACCCAATTGTGTAATTTTGCCTCTATCCGAACAGTTAAATGTTACTGAAGAAAATTACAGAACCATTCTAACTGGACTGATTTCAAATGTATAATCACAGATCTCAAAACAGAACTCAATACTGCCAGACAACTTACTTCCCTAGGAAATGTGTTTTCCCAACTTCTAAGATAATTATTCACATCTCTGCTCTTCTCAAATTTCCGACATTCCTTCCCTTTCCTCACGACTCTCAGCTAATGACCTTGCTTTGTACTTCATAGAGAAAAGAGATGCAATCAGATTAGAACTATCCCATCTTTCAACTGTCAATTCCACCAACCATCCTGTATCTGTACTCAAATACGCTGCCTTCATTTTGGTTAAAAAGGGAAGAAGATAGATGAGATACTTCCTGTGCTCTGTGATCAGATTGTCTCTTATCTTCTTAAAAATATCACCCTACTCTGTTTTTTCATTTTTGTTAGTGTTCATATCTGGCTCAGGGTCTCTCACAAGGCTGCTGTCTGTAAAGAGCTGACTGGGGCTGAAGGATCCTTTTCCAAGCTCACTCACACTGCTGTTGGAAGGAGGTTTCAACTTCTTGCCAAGTAGGCTTCTCTATAGTGCTGCTGAGAACACAGCTTCCCCCAGAGTAAGTGGAGAGAGAGAGAGAGAGCAAGAGACAGACAGAGAGCATGTACACTGAAACAAAAGCCACAGTCCTTTTATAACCTAAACTCAGAAGGGGCATCTCATCTCCTCTTCGGTTGTACTCTATTAATTAGAATCAAGTCATTAAAGCCAATACAGGGCATGAAGGGATGCATTAAGCTTCACATCTTCAAGGAAAGAGTATCAGAGAATTTATTGGACGTTAATACTTTAACAACTACTACTACTTAAGAGTTTTAAGTAATTCTAAATTTTATATTGAATCAAAAATAATTTCCTCAGCCTAGCATATTTTCAGAACCCTCTATATACAGCTCTACAACCAATCCAATATCACCCCATCACTTCAGTCAATATAAACCCTTCACTGCCTGCCTTGTTCATTACTGCAAATGCCTTCTTCAGCAATTTTATAAATAGTTCTGATTACAATACCAGGAATTAACTAAAATGTTGTGATGTAAATATTTCCAAGTCATTTTGTCCATGAGTTACATAATGATGATTTCATTCTTTGCAAGCCAGGACCAAGTATTCTACTCAATTTGTATTCTTCACAGGGTCTGGTATTGGGCTATGTACAAGCATGAATGAACCAATCAATCTAGTTAGCAATAGAAAGAAAATAATTTCAAAATTAAACATTATTATATCTCTCTTGCTAACCATTCAATGTTTTATAACATTACTTTTTTATTTTTATTTTTATTTTTGAGACAGAAATTCACTCTGTCACCCAGGCTGGAGTGCAGTGGCGCGATTTCAGCTCACTGCAACTTCCGCCTCCCGGGCTCAAATGATTATCCTGGCTCAGCCTCCAAGCAGCTGGGACTACAGGCACCCACCACCATGCCTGGATAATTTTTGTATTTTTAGTAGAGACAGGTTTTCACCATGTTGGCCAGGCTGGTCTCAAACTCCTGACCTCAAGTGATCCACCTGCCTCAGCCTCCCAAAGTGCCGGGATTATAGGTGTGAGCCATTGTGCCTGGCCTATAATATTACTTAAATTATAAGGAATTGTCTGTGTCAGGTTTTGCTGGGTTTCACAGCTGTAAACCCTTCCCTTCTCTCCCTCCCTCCTCCTACTTCCATGTCTTTCCACAGCTTAGAACCATGTGACTTGGAGACTTGATCCGACTCCAATCTCTCAAATCAATCCACATCCATGTCACATCATGGGTGTGACAGCACAAATTAGTCTGATCCTATGTCTAGTCTCAATCTGACTTTGCACCTGTACTCTGATCACTGGCTTCTGCACTTTTCTTCTTTCTTTTTCTTTTTTTTTTTTTTCCATCTTTATGCCTTTGGTTAATTACATTATTTGTCCTGTGCAAATAATTACATTATTTGCCCTGTACATTATTGTGTCCTTTCCAATCTTGATAACTGTTTTAAGGATACCCAGGCTTTGTTTTAGGCAAGTACAGTAAGACAAGCAGACACATAAACAACCATCATGAAAAAGAAGGATTTTATGCTCCCTGGGAGATCCCTGGAAATAAGAAGCAGGCCACACCACACCGGGCCACAAAGGGAAGCACAGGGGTCAGTCAGGAAGCCAAGGGAGAGGGGAAAACACGGCCAAGAGCCTTTATTGTGGTATCCATGGAAAGAAACCAGTGAGACAGGGTAAGCAGGTTTAGGACTGGCCAGTTTGAATCATTTCAGCAGGCCCTGGGGCAGTTGTCTGGTGTCTGGCCCTGGAGTGATTAAAGCAGTGGGATAGTGGACTATATTGCAAGAGCCCACTAAAGCAAGTAGTTAGGGGTGTGGGCTCTAGATAGGTTGGTTTGCATACAAAAAGTGTGCTGGAAGGTGAGTCATTTACTAACTCTAGGAATTAGCTAACCCTAGGAGAGGCAGTTCCTTCAGGGTCAGCAAGTCCACAAATGTCAAAGCGTGAAAATCACAGTGTGAATCTTAGGGTTTTCTATCAGCTTATTGACCTTCCTCCAAGACCTACTCCAGCCCAGAAGTTCCATGTATTCCAGGTCTCAAGCCATGGAAATCTGTCATATCCTGGAGTTGATCAGTACTAGGCTTCACATATGAAAATCAGCTCATTAAGAAGCAAAAATTATTCTGCCAGTAGATCTTATTGCAATGCAAACTTTAGATTCTGGAAGATTTTATTTTCTATTCTAAAGTAACTTCGTGCTTTCTTTGTAATTAACTGCAAAACCAAGTATGAATAGAACAATTCAACAGTCTTCTCAAATCAGAAATTTTCTTCATTTTCTTAAATGAAGAAAAATTACATTCTCAGGTCACTTTCAGGACATATTAACCTGTAGCTATAATTTATCTCTATCATATACAGTCATGAACACAAAATTTAAAATATTAATTTCATGATAATTTTCTCAAAAGGGTAAAGCAATGGGAAAAAAAAAAAAAAAAAAACACCTCAAACCTTGATCTATGCCAAATCCCTAGGAGGAAAAAAGGTTTCCTGATGGTCTAAGCGAAAGACTTATGCACTTAGATAAGTCATTTATGATATAGAATGTCCTGTTTTAAAAGGAACTGCTCATTACTCTAACAAGTCGTTGAGCTAAATGTGTATTTTGAATATTTTCAACTTCATCTTTGTCATTCCGGTGTTTTGAAATGCTCTATAAAAGCTGAATTACATATTCATTGCATTTTCAAAATCCAACTTTCCTTCCTTTTCCATTTTATATCAAAAGCCTTCTTACGTCAATATAAATTTAAATTTGTATAGCACAGTACTGTATAATTTACGAAGTGCCTTCGTAGTCATTTTCTCACCCCACAACTCCAAAAAAACAGGATATAGGGCACACATTCTTATCCAAATTGTCTCATAAATTAGTAAATTTATTTACGCTTGCTTCATTCTTTCGTTTATTCAGTCAACATTTGTTTGACAGCCATTATGTACCAGGCACTACTCTAGGCACTGATAATGCAGAGGAGACCACAAACTCACCAACCTCAGGAAACTGATATGTTGGCAGGAAATGATATAATAAATAAGTGAACGAGTAAGTGAGGAAGCCCAGATTCAAATCCTGGTTGCCTGATTACAAATTTAGAGGTCTTTTCTGGATACCACTCTGCCAAATTATGCAATGCAGAAGTTCTCTTTGCCATGAATTTGGTAGTTTGATTTCTTCTTGGACTCATCTCTCTTTAGGTTTTAAAAAGGTCTCAGATTTTCCCTAAACTCTGAAGTAACTCTGTTATCAACGGTCAAAACACTGTTTAATAACCATCATTTTCAGGGCATTACTGTAAATGGTTAGGGAAAACCGGCCCCTCCACCCCCTTCTCAAAAAAAGAGAATCATGGATTTTTAAAATTAATTTTAAAAAGAAAACACATATATGCCAAGAAAAACACGTACCGATAAAATTTTAAAGTACAAATTAATATCCTGCAAGAGTATACTCACTGAATTATTAGCAGTTGTCTGCCTACACAGTGTTTCTATAGGACTGCATTTCAAATTACTCCCTTTGCCTGTTTTCCATCTCATACCACTCACTAGTAAGTTAACTTGTTCCATGTATCATTAGTAATTCATGACTTGCTTGCGAAAGTGCAGGGACAGCACTACTACAGACCTAATACAATGAATATCTTATTAGGAAGAAATTAACAAATGAATTGTTGCCGATCAATAGGTGTTGAAGAGAAAATTACAATGATAGTAAAGCCTAAATAATTTATACACAATATTGATTTTTTCATTACATTAATTATTCTTTATAGCACACATAAGGAACTTGGAGAATAAAACCTTCAAAGCAAAGAAATTATCTGCAGTGGTGTTTTAGGCCTCAGTCTGAATTTAAAAGACAAAGAATGGTCTATGAGAGTTAACTATTTTTATTTTTATTTTTTGTTTTGAGACAGAGTCTCACTCTGTTACCCAGGCTGGAGTGCAGTGGCCCGATATTGGCTCACTGCAACCTCCCCCTCCTGGGTTCAAGCAATTATCCTGCCTCAGCCTCCCAAATAGCTGGGACTACAGGCCCCCACCACCACACCCAGCTAGCAAATATTTTTAAATTAAGAATGCACCCAATAATAAATTGGACACTTCCAATGTACACAGGTTCCTTCATGTTGTGAGAAGTTTTTAGACACAAGTAGTTTTGACATTTATCAATAAAAGTAGTGACAGAAATGTTTATTCATAGGAATATTACAGATAGAAATATCCATTAGTCCACCTCTTTCATCGAATATACAGAAGGCACAATAAGGAACTCAAGGAAGCTGTGTGGGGAAAAAAAAATACCTTTTCTGATACCTCTCCCAGATTTTCTAAATTCACTGGACTTAAATTCGGACCAACAAAGTGCACATTCCTTAGAACTAATAACTTTCATAGCCAGCAGAAAACAATTCCGCAGGCAACTTTTTTGTGGCCTCAGAGACAAAGACCTGAAAATGATCCTTTTGTTTACAGGCCATTGATGACTCTAGCTATGTCATAAAATGGTGTATGTGCACGTGCAAGAGAGAGAAAGAGAGAGAGGAGAGAAAAGACAGCTCCGTGTAAGGCGGTACAATGACAGAGAAGATTCAGGTTGGTATATTCTCCATGGATGGCATTGTTTCCAGCAACTCAAAATCCCCTCCTCTGGATGGGAGAAATGAACGTGACATATATGTACCAATGTCAATAGATATACTGCCTACAGACATGGTATTGGATATGCATTTTGTCATCTATAAATATATATGTTGAACAGTGTTTTGCTGATGGCATTTTGACTCTCAGAATTCAAGCAGTGAATTGAGGGTTCTTGTGCCAAGTTTTGTCAGATACCAATTTTATGTAAATATTTTTAGTATCTAGTATTAGAAGCTTTTCATAATATTTTGCACCAAAAGGTACATGCATGTGTACTTTCAACATATCACATTCCCCCAAAATAAATGCGGAAATATTGCTTCAAAAGTCCTTTAAAATTAAAACTAAAAATATGAGGATAGTTTCAAACATGACACAATGAATTTCTTCCCTCACCTATTACCTTCAGAGACTTAAAGCTCATAAATATTACTCTAGAGAATTTTAATGCTCTTGGAAGAAAATCTAAGCGGCAGAAAGGGTCTCATCTCGTAAATGTTTTTGCAAACTATAGCCAGTTTTGCAAACTACTTGTCATGCCTTAACTAATATTGTTACATAACTTCAAATTTATAAAATGTGTGTTGTCTACTGTGCATCATAATATAGATACGACTGGCCAAATCTGTCACTATTATCAGATGATTCTGGGGTACTAAGATGACAAAACACCCAAATTAGCATGATTTTTATTACTCAGCAAAAAGTCACTTTGTCTGTGCTAACTGTTCCTTTGGAGAGCGGCCCTTTGCTGCACTCATCATTCTTTAGGTGGAGACTAATGGTCCATGCAGAAAATCATGCAGTACAGGTACTAAAATATGGGGTATCCGATCTTGGTCTCATTTGTAGAACACAACAGGGCATCCATAAACTGAATTAGAAGAAATTTCAAACTATTTTCAGACACTGTGCAAGTTAGTCTCCATTTTCATCCCTCCCATCACTGGACCCCAAATCCATTTTCCATCTTTCTCTGACTTGCTGAAGGCCACAGAATGCATCAGCTCTCTTGCCCTTTAGCTTCTAAGTGGATTCACTCTGGAAGACAATAGGAGGAAATGGACAGGTGGGAGGAGAAAGCACTCCCACTCCTTTCTCTTGGCCTCTGCTCTATAGCTCTAGCAGTGGCTGCTTTCTGCAAACACCTCCTCTCCAGAAGTTTCTCCTTCGGCTCTCTCCTACTACTGAAACTGGAGCTCCTGTCAGCCACCAGCAGGCAAAAAATACTGATAACACAGTTCTCTCCTTTTGCCTCTTCACATCCAATGGGGTTAACAGTTTCCTCTTGTCACTGGTTGCAAGGTACCTTGAGGTCCAATATTGGTTTCCCTATCCCTGTCCATACCTCTCAAACTAGTTCCTTTGAAATCCCAAAGTGTGCCTCTGCTTGCTGCCAGGAACTGTAAAGCTACCAATACTTTAAAACAGCAGCATGATACAGAAAATGAATGCATAAGTAGATAAATATACATTAGTAGCACTTAAATATACTCGACCTCCAAATCAGATAGCCTTCTGGATAGTGGATTACTTCCCCTAACTGCAGCATTGAGACAAACCATTGCATACCAGATAAATTTCTGTCTTCTATGTTCAATATTACCTTCTTTCTGATTCAGTTATTTTAGGATTTCATTCTTTACCTTGACTATTTTTGTTCTTCTTCTCTCCCTCCTTTGTATCATTCTTCCAATTTACACTTTATATGATCACTGTGTGATATCTCTTTCTTGGCATGTCACCTTGTTCTTTACTATATTATGGGGCTCTTACCCTCAGATTTACAGACACGCATTAAGTTACCACATGTCTTTCTTTCAAACCGTGTTTGCTCTTCTTTCTAGGTCTATATTTTCACATTTGAAGTTTCTACACATTCCTAGAGTCCACAAAATACAGATGCCATCTCTCAGGTTTACGCTTAAATATCCAGAACCTTTAATTATTTGGAAGAAATACTTTGTAAATCTAATAAATAAATACCGAGGACATCGAGGTGATTAGCATTTATACCCTCTGATGTTTATAAGAAAACTAGAAAGCAGGAGCAAACATAAATACACAATGTCAAATGCAAGGTTATGAAAACAAATGACACAGTACTTACCAATAAAAGCATGGTAAGATATTAATAATAGGAATGAACTACAAATATTTACGTGCCCACAGGCAACTAATTCAATTTCACTGCAGGATTGCTTCATGTATGAATTTAATTGTATATGTTTAAACATTTTTATTGCTGTTTCATTAATTTCCCATAAAAAATAAAACTATATGCTGGGGGGGAAAAAGACTGCAAGTTTCCATTCTTGGACTGAGTGCCCAGTGAATATCCACAGCATCCTAAGAATTAACATTGACTTTATCATTTACGGCTTCTCTTTTGCATCACAGCTTGAAAATTCATTTTTACACTATTCAGGAGGAGAAGTTCCAAATTCAAAAAAGATGCTACAGGTTTAGCTATCATTTTATTTTTACATAAAAACAACATATATGTGTTGGGGTGTGGTGGCTCACACCTGTAATCTCAGCACTTTGGGAGGCAGACAGGCAGATCACCTGAGGTCAGGAGGTCAAGACCAGCCTGGCCAACATAGTAAAACCCTGTCTCCACTACAAATACAAAAATTAGCCGGGCATGGTGGTGGGCGCCTTTAATCCCAGCTACTCGGGAGGCTGAGGCAGGAGAATTGCTTGAACCTGTGAGGCGGAGGTTGCAGTGAGCAGAGATCGTGCCACTGCACTCCAGTTTGGGTGACAGAGCGAGACTCCATCTCAAAAACAACAACAACAACAACAAACATATATGCATGAGATGAGTCTCAGGAGAAAATAATAATAGCTAACTCTTTTATGATTTCCTCACTATGTGTCAGCCTTTGTCCTAAGAGTACCACATGGGTTACCAAAGCTCACCATGAGATAGTGCTCTTCTTATCGACATTTTCCAGAGAAGGAAACTGAAGTGCAGAGCAGATAATTGACTTAACCCAGGGCCACGTGACAGTAAGTGACTGAATCAGATTAAAATCCAGGTAGTTTGACTTCAGAGTTCATGCTTTTATTTTATTTATTTATTTTTAGAGATAGGGTTTCACTTTGTTGCCTAGGCTGGTCTCGAACTCCTGGGCTCAAGAGACCCACCTACCCCTGGCCTCCCAGAGTTCTGGGATTACAGGTGTGAGCCACCATGCCTGGCCAGGGTCCATGCTTTTAAACATTACCCCAATTACGGTCACAAATCAAGCACTTGCATGATTTTCAGTGGCTGATAAATTTGTCATTGTTTTCCTCCAACCTCTCTTGAAGTCTTTTTCCTAATTCATCATATCTTTCTATTGTTCTCCAATATTACGATCTCCAACCACCACCACCTCAGCCACCTAGCCTTGACCAGTAGTAATCTAGCATCTATATAAACCAGAGGTTATATTAATATATAGCTCTCTCATCCTTCCATCCTACATCAGAGTTCACATCCTCTCAGTTTAGGCTGATTTTTTTCTAAAGCACAAATGAATGATTACATTAACCTTTTCAAGAGGCAAATACATCTGTCAGTAAACAAATGAGTTTCTGATGTGTGGCATACAGTCTAATAGGAGAAACCTCCTCAATAGTCCAACAAGTCCAATAAGTCCAATAATCCAATAAGTCCAATAAGTCCAATAAGCTCTGGTCTCCATATTTACTTTTACTTCTCTTCTAGACAATCCGGGGAGTGGGCATCTTGCTAATTATGGAAGGCAACCACTAATAATCAGAATTTGCACCTGAAATAACAGAGTCATTTGGAATTTTGATAATTCTATCTTTTAAATAACACAATCTTGTCAAGTTATGCTGCTATGTTTTCAAGGTAATCTAAAAGCCGACATTTATTCAGAATCTTCTATAAATTAATCTCTATGCTGGGCACTTTATATGTGTCTTACTGAGCAACTGAGCAACTGTATTTGCCAGAGGAAGATAAAAACAAATAACACTGTCCAAGTTAAAAAATGTTTACTATTCCTTCCAATACATGAATGCTCAGCTATAATTTAAACAAAGTTGTATTAGCTAATTAAAATCAACAGGGAATTTATAAATGATATCTACAATCTAACCAACTCAAAAACAAGATAAGTGATTACTACAAAACATTAATTTGGCCAATTAAAATCAACAGGGAATTTATAAATGATATCCACAATCTAACGAACTCAAAAACAAGATAAGTGATTACTACAAAATATTAATTTGGATTTTCCATTTAATTGTTTTCATACTGAACCTATTTCTTGGCCCAATAATTTATTTCATGACTCTTAAAATCACATTAGGATTTGCCGGTCTCAATTAAACTGTTTAGTTCATTATCAAGCATAAATAACTTTCAAATGCCATAAGCTTCTGATTGTCTTTAGTCAAAATGAGATGATAATAATTAGCTTTGGGGAATATTAATATAAGAGTCTAAGACTAAGCAAATCCACATTGTTGGCAGCTAAATTTGCCTCACTTCTATTATGAAAACATTTCAATTTCTCTAAAATCAACCCAATCAAAATTCCAAGGTAACCATCAGGAAGAAGGCAGAAGCATAAATCATCTATTACCATTTACCACTTCCAATTCATGTCTTCACTACTCAAAAAACTGACAGGGTTTAATTTAACCTCTTTCTGATTTATAGCAAATATTGTTGGTTTGAAGCAGAAGCAGTATTTTAGGAGACTCGGTAATGAACAAATCAGTAGATATGGCCTACAGACAGAACAATCTCATATCTCTTTAGTTTTACACTGCTCTTTAGTTTTACACTACAAAAACCTTATGGTAAAAATTAACCTTCTTGGTAGTTCAACAATTCTAATTAGAAGAGACATCAAACAGCTTATGCTTTAGAAAGCAGTACAGGCCATAATAGTCTAGTCTTTGAAACAGAGCTCTGTAACCTCCTTATATATTTCAGCCTGCTGTCTAAAGGAAAAGCAATAACCAGACAATGTTTCAAAGTGGTTCTGGTTTTTGTGGCAAGTTGTGTTATATTTTCTCATCTTATCTTTTTATACTTATTATTAAGAAGCAGACGACCTAATACACAGGACCCATTTACTGCTTTTGGCCCTGAATGTGTAAAACAGTCTATACCATCAGACTTTACAAAAAGTTTCCTTGGTAGAAATATTTACAAATGCTAGAGGACTAGTTCATTTATAATCCTTTTTTTCTTTTCTAAGCATGGGGTAGGAAGGAGGAGAAGAAAGATACCCCACACTCAGCTTACATTAGAACTAACGAAACTTAAAATAAAAGGCCATCCAGGCTAACCCTTTCCCCAAGAAGAAATTCCTTTTACAACATCAGTAGTTACCCAGACATTCCTCAAGTTTTTACTGAGAGTGAGCATCACAGAGTTCATGCTCTTTTTAGACAGTTATAAATTTTATTAAGTTCTTTCTTACTCTGAGTTGAAATCCCATCAGTTCTTATCCTAGTTCTATCCTTTGGAGCAATACAGAACAAGCCTCCCTCACCTTCCATATCTCATTCCTTTTACTATTTGAAGGAAGCTTTTATGTCTCACCTTATTTTTCTCATCTCCATATTAAATATTACACATTCTTTCAATTAATTCTCATATGACATGGTTTCCAGATGCTGCAAATAAATTCGAGTTGCAGTTTGACTTAAAATTTTTCCTAAGTGGTATACAAAAAAAAAAGAGATCTGAAGGTTCATTTATTTCTCATGTATTTGCACCTACAATTGACACAGTTGGAGGGGTTGTCCAGAATCCAGTGGTCCATCCAGCAGCTGTATCTATGGCAGCTCCTCTTCTTCCTGATAACACACACACACACACACACACACACACACACACACACACCAGTCATATAAATGGTTCTGTGATACAAGGTGAGTCAGATAACCTTATCTCTCTCTCTGGACACAATGATTGACTGAAAGAATAGTCACAAGTTCCAAGCTGGGCTAATCAGAGTCATTCCCCAAAATTTCAAACTGGAACTAAGAGAAGGCCTGCTTCCCTCTCGGCTGTGGAGCTATTAGATATGAAGAACATTTGCCCATCTTGTGGAATTGGCCAATTTGATAGAATGAGATCAATATCGAAAGGAGTATGGGAAGAAAGACCCCAAATCTCCAGTTCCAGTCATTCCTGAAACCACCTCTCCCCAACCTTCCGGTGGTGTGACTGGGTTAGCCAATAATTCCCCTCTGGCTGAAATAAATTTGGGTTAGGTTGGTATAACCTGCAACACAGAAGGTCCTATTTAATATAACATCCACAGGGTTCAAACTATTCTAACAAAACTAATGGAATACACGTTATAAAAGAGAAAAATTGCCATTCTATCCTACAAAATGATGCAGATAGAATATCTTTCCATCATTATTTAAGAATGGGAGAGATACTCACTTACCAGAGATGAAGCCTAGGCTACACAGGGCTGCCAATATTCAAAATGCAATTCCCAGAACTATCGTAGTGCCTGGCACATAGTAAGCAGGTGCTTAAGGCACACTCCACTGCACTTTCCATAGTAAACACAAGATATATAGTAAGCAAAACATTGAATATAAATTATGAAAATGGAGACATGAATTCCCTCAAGAAACCTTAGGTATATCATTTCACCTTTTTATGGTTACATTCCCCATGAAAAATGTGGGACTAGATTCTCTCTTCAATCCTTTTTAGCCATAAAATGCTATGATTCTATATATACTCAAGAATGCTAAAAAGGAGTCTTTTAAGGCTCTGGACATGCAGATTAAGGGGCGTACAGTAATAAAGAAGGAAGCATAAAGAGAGTGAGAAAGAATGGCCTGCCAAAAAAATAACTGAGGGGGAAAAGCAACACAAAAATAATGGGAAAAAATCATCAGTGATATGATACAAGAGGTAATTCCGATGTGCCACCATCCTATTCTAACCAGTTTCTGTGGTCAGAAGTTACCTCTGTGCTGGATTCAAACCACCAGCCCGGGGTCCTGCCCCTTCATGACCCACATAATCCATATGATGGCCCCTTGAAGTTTGCCATGTATTTCTTTTCAGAGTTGGCTTCCTGCTTCTGCCTTCAGTCCTAGATGTTCTCACCTCCTCGCTCACCATTCCAGATAGTTTTTGTGTTACCAACGGAATGTATATCCAATTATATTGTGTGCCCCCAACTTTGTTCCCCACCTTGCCCCCTGCAAAGACTGATGTCCAAATGTCCATAATTTTCAACTTATTGTTTAAGTTTGCAACCTAGGATGCTTAATACAAGTAATCATAAAATGGTATCTCTGTAAGGTGACCCATTTATACAGATCTTCTCTAAGAAACGGACCTCATGGTTTTTTAGGAAGAAGGCCTTGAGTGGGGAACCTATCGTTGCAATTAACAACTGATATTGCAGTATTACTATATATCTACATAGTAAGCACGATATGCCAGTATATTATACTACGCATATATACTATGCTAAGCATTTTGCATGCATTGATTCATTTAGTTCTCACAACACCCCTATAATGGCCATACTAATTATTATCTACACTTTAAAAGTGAAGAAACTGAGACTCAGAAAAAGTAACTTACTCCTGGGTACATGGCTAGTAAGTACAAGAGCCATATTTATCTGACTCCAGAATCCTTACTCTTATCCATTATGTGATCCATAAGGGCATTGATCTCTGAGTGAAATTGGGAGGAGGCGCTTTGGGGGGACCAAAAGCAGAAAGACTAGGGAACCAAAATCAACAAGATCTACTTATCAATTTTGCTTAGAGTCAGCCCTATTTGAAGTAGAACCTTGTTCCCATTATGTACCAATAGATTATCTGCCATTTTGCATTGTGAAAAGGTACCCTCCATTATCCAGGCTAATCTAGTTGACTGTAGAATGCTGTACACAGACATTACAATGACAGACAACTAATTCAATCTTCTCTGCTAGAGAGATGCTACTGTTAACATCCTTTCAACTTTTTCCCTATAGCTTTTGATGCAGGGCACTTCACATATGCCACAACTATTCCCTCCTACAGTATCTAGAGCAAGGAAGTAATTGAGAATTACTGGGGAGAGAGAGAGGGTGGGAAGGAAAAGAAAGGATTATAAAATGAGGTAAAAACAAAATACTACCAAAAAAAAATTTTTTTTTTTAGAAAGAAAGGAAACCAGAACAGGGTGACTAATTGCCTGCTAACCTGTGATTCAGGGAGAAGTGAATGTTTATGCTCCATTACTAAACAAAGAAAATAACTTGATCATACACTAGAAATCATATGTTTAAACAGTCACAGTGGAGTTTTCCTGTGTCAACAGAATAGAGATATTAAGTATTTCCTATAGAAGTGAGACCTTACTGCTTGTCACCTATTCAGGGTCTGTAGTAACATTATTCATCACTAAGCAAAAATCTAATTATTTTTAGATTCCACATCCTCCTCTAAGTCCTTTAAAATCTTCATCTATTTACTAAGACTTTTATGAACCTGGGACAAAAATAATGCCAGCCCCTACTGAAGAGTAATCAGACATTTCTATGTGATAATCAATAAGACTCCAGTTTTAGTGAAATGGAAGCTGGGAAGCAGTCTAGCAAACCCTTTGAGGTCAATCAGGAATTAATCTAAACAGGGAGTACAAGGTTGGATGAAATGTAGCAGAAATTGTGTCTCACTGAAGTAATAGTGTTATGTGTTAGGAGGTTTGGAAGTAATACTTAATTGAAAAACTGTTTTAAGCTAAAAGAGAGTGGCAAGATCCAAAGTAATACACTATTAAAAATATTTAAAAGCAAAGGATCCGTAAAATATACTAAGAGAAGAGCCTAATTCCCTCATTCCAAATCCAGTTTCTTATTCTAACTAATGTGCAGGAAACAGGAAAAGGAGCAGGGAGGAAGGAAAGTATCTGAAGAATTGCCAGAGTAAAAAATCTCATAATGAAATTTTGCTCATTCTTGGAGAAATGAAGTAGAATTAGATGCTTCAGTGGTGGTGAATTCCAGAATCTGGGTAGCTTCCAGTAAATGAAGCTTTTCTATAACGTCAAATGCAAAAGCTATCTGGGATATCAACATAATCAGCTTGAGCTTTTAAATTCCTATTTCCTCATACCAAATTGTTTGAAACCTTTAAGATAAAAACTTCAATGAACTAGTGTTCCAAGCTTTTAATATTTTCGTCCTTTAGCAAGCATGTCAGATTAATCTTCAAATTGCAATGGGCAGAAAGGACCTTCAACCAAATTATTAAGCCCATGTCTCTCTCAAAGCATGTTAATAATGTAAGCAGTTTCATTGGCTATTAAGATTTTTAACTTTCTTAATTCTCCACTGTATTACTGTTTTTTAAGGCTGGGAGGCAGGGGATCAAGAATGTCATTCCATCCTGAAAACAAGGGATGTTATGTTATCTTTATACTCACTTAACACCTAGCACACTGTCAGGCACCCTGTAGGCATTTAACATACTTTTGGAATAAGTTGATGTAATGGCCTAGGAAGAGCATGGAAATCTTTCTGAGGACAGGTGAGTCCAAATCCTGGCACTGCTGGGCAACAAAGACCATCTCCAGAATTAGAGTTATCTATCGCGGTAGAACAGGAATTTGCACGTGTGTCTTCAAAGTGGCATCAAGAGGATTGACTGTTTCCTGAGCTGCCATCCAAAAGCCACTTAGGGAGGGATTATACTCGTCTCCAGCTTCACCACGCCTGGAAAACTCGTGCCTTGCCTCTCTACTCCCCCTTCCTTTTCCTGGGTTTGGGTTTACACTCCCAAAACTTAAGTTCACAATTCTACAAGGCTGGTCTAACCCAGACCGCGATCCGCTCCCCATTTCAGGGCGTTTTTCCAGCGTCCACTGGGAGGGAGGCCAGGCCGTGCTAGGCAACAGGCAGGATCCACACGGTGGCTCCGCACATCTTAGAGGGTGAAGGCAGAGGGGTGGCGGGAAGCGGTGGGGGCTGGGGGAAGAACGAGTTCAGGACCTAGGCACTATCCGGAGGTTTCTCATCCCTCCCCAAAGCCACGGCGCCAACCGCTGAAGACGCCAGGAAACCATCGGCAGGGGCAGGGAGCGCGGGGTCGCTCTGGGTCAGGACTGAGGAAGAGGGATGGGGGGTGGGGGGGAAGAACAGAGACCCAGCGGGCGACAGTACCTGGTGTGGCTGTGGTTGCGGGGACAGTCCTTCTTCTCCATGATGGCCGGCACGCAGTTGGTGAGCTCCGTCCAGTCGGCGTGCAGCCCGCAGCTCCAGCCGGTGGAGAAGCGGGAGAAGAGCCACGTCTCCTTCTTGCCAGGCCGGTGGCAGGTGCACTTCTTCTGACCCGCTTTGCAGCTACAAGGCTGCTCCAGCCGGATGTTCTTCACCAGGTGCCGGCCGAAAGTGGTGCCCCCCGTCTTCTGGATGTGGAGGAACACGATCACGTCGCGCCCTTTGATGTTGAAATCCACGAAGCGGGTCAGGTCCTTCAGGCTGAAGTTGAAGCGCGGCACGAATCGGGGCAGGGAGCCGTTTTCCGGGGCCTCGGGGTCCGGCTCGTCTTCCTCCTCCTCTTCCTCCCCCTCCCGGGGGTCTCCGGGCTCCTCGTCCTCCTCCTCCGGCGCCGCGGCCCCCCGAGGTCCCTCGGGGGGCCCCCGGGGCGGCGGGGGCAACTGGGGCCGCCGCTCCCACTCCTCCGGCGGCGCCTGAGCCCGGCGGGCGGGACCCGGGACGGCGGGCGGGCCGGCCTCCCCCGCGCGGGGCTGCTCCCCGAAGTTGGTGCAGGAGCTGGTGCAGGAGGGGGACACGTACTGGTACATGATGACCACGAAGAGGAGAGTGAGCACCGGCGTCAGCAGCCACTTGTTGAACCTTTCATCCATGGTCCCGCTCTCAGGCCGGCAGGCGAAGCGGCGGCGGCGGCGGCGGCAGGGCGGACGGGCGCCCGCTCGGAAGTTTCGCGGACTCCGGGGCGCGGCTCGGAGCCCGCCGTTCCTCCATGCCCCTGACGCCGAGGCGTGTGGCTGGCTGGCGGCCCCGCGGCCCTCGGGGCTTGAGGAGCCGGGGCCTGCGAGCCGGGCGGGGGAGGCGGGCGCCGGCGCGCTCGGCTGCGGCTGCGGCGTGGGGCGCCCTGCGCTCCCGGGTGCGCCCGGGCCGGCCCGCTCCCTGCTCCCGCCCCGGCGCGGCTCTCTCAGGCGACGCGCGGCATCCCGCCGGCGGCTTGCAGGCGCTCAGGCGCTGGGGAGCGGGGTTCGGGTCCTGGACCTGCCGCGCGCAGCCGGGCAGCCGGGTAGCTGCGGCCGCGAGCGCCGGGGCTGCATGAGGCTCGCCAGGGCGCCGGCCAAGGGCGAAGGCGCGGCCCGCTCCCGCCGCCCCGGCCGGCCGCGGGCACCGCGCCCGGCACGCGCGCCCGGCGCCTTTGCCGGCAGGTCGCGGGGCTGTGGAGCCGCGAGGGCTGACGGCGCTCGCCGCAAGTTTGCAGAGCGGCCCCCGCAGCGCAGCGGCAGCGGGCGAGGCGCCTCTGCGGAGACGCCTCTCCCGGCGAGTCGCACTGCCGCTCCGGGCTGTCCGCCCAGGCGCAGGCACGCAGACACACTCGCACACACAGGCTGGCACCGCCACAACCCGCCAGCCGGTGTGACAGGAGCCCTGCTACCCGCAGCAAAAACCTGCCCTAGGTACGGAGCATGCGCCAAAGCCTCCCCCAGCCCCGGAGGAGTTTCCAGGGGAGGAGTCCGCTGCTCCGCGGGGCTCGGAGGAGGCAGCTGGGGGTGGGAATCCCTTCGGCCGGGAGCAAGGAGAGATTTGGCAGAAAGGCAAAGGTGGGGCGAGAGGAGGCCCCGAGGTAAGCGTCGCTGGCGTTGATCTGACACCTTAAAATGGGCAGCTTCTCTGTCTGGTAGTGGCCGGCCTTATTTTCAGGAATAACACCTGCACACTCCCGGGAACACTCACTAGACCAGACTTTACACGGGTTGGCAGTTCCCTTCTCAGCAGGGGAACGTGGCTCCAGACTGCTGTGAATTTCTACCCAAGACATTCTAACTGGTGTTCGAGTTTTATGGTGGTCCTCCCTTAATAACAAACTTGGTGCGTCCAACTATACAACTGTATTCAACCAGCATCAATTAACCATTAAGCGCCTAACTGTGTATCAGGCTCTATGTTCAATACACACTTTCTTTCAGCACTAGACAGTCCAGCCCTCAACCATGCAGTACTTAGAACATAAAAAGGAGTTTAGGGATCACCTCCTAAAAAAATCATTCTACTAATAGACGTTGAACTCCTAAATGTTCAAGATTTATTCCTTCCCAACAATGGTGGAAGATAACACTTAAGCTTGCCTATATTTCATAAGCCCTAATTTGTATGCAGATGTTTTTTGGAAACTTTATTTTTCAAACATCTAGATGTTGCATTTAGTATTACCCCAGAACTAAATCTTTGCTCAATAACAACTTCTGTTTTTCAGATAGTGAAAAGATATACGATCAAATTGTTGTAACTGCCCTACCACAGTCCCTAGACCTGCTCGACCTATTTTCCGAGTGGAGAGTGGCAATGTGTTAAAGGCAATGTGTGAGGACAATGCAGTGTGATTCCCTGGCCCAGACCAATGTGTCCCTCCCAGCTACACTACCGTATTCCACAGGTGTGCTATAATATTTCATAGCAGCCCACCGTCCCATCTGGCCTTTTTATGAATCCATGCACTTGTTTCTTCCTGAGACACTCTGTCGATGTCATCTATTTATCAGGGTGTCCCCTCTGCAGCCATCAGTGAAGATCCAGGGCTCTTTCAGGGATGCTAAAGTTTGCCCATAGGATACTATTTTCCTTGTTTAGACAGGTGGAATTCTTCTCAATAAAACTTCCCTCCTCTATTTCCTTTCCCGTTTTCAACTCTTTAAACAACTCCAACCCTTGCCTTTCCTAATATGTAGGAGGCTATATCAGTAGAAAAGGTGTTGGGTGAGATGAATCAGCTTCTTTAAAGCTTATTTGATTCTATTTCTTTTTCTCTCACTTAAGTTTGAAATCCTATTAATGGCATCACACCCCACTCCACAGCAAGAAACTGTGATAAAACAAAAGCCCAACAATTATTTTCTGAATGTGTCTGCTTAATATACACATACCTCTGCTTTAGTTAAGTAAAACATCATTATACCTTTTTATATCACCTTATTGAAGAAGCTTCTCATTTCCTATAAAATTGCTTGATATCACATGGATAAACATCACCTTATTAGCTACCAAAATGGATAACCAGAATGCTAGTGGTAGTTTGTATAGTGGAAAGCACTCTCCTAGCCATTATTTCATTTGCTTCTCAGAACAACACTCTAAGGAGATAAGAGAAGTATAATATCCCATTTCAGAGATGAGGAAACTGAAGCAAGGAAAGTTAGGTGAAAGCAAAGCCAAATTAGAAACTGCTAACATCCCGAAAATACAGTCACTGAAGAAGTTCAACAAACATCAACAACAGAGCCCATAATTTCCTCTCTCCCCTCTTGAGACCATTTGAGTCAAGAGGCAAGAAGAGACAACAGAATTGCAATAGAATAATTAAATTATGTTATCTCTCCTCCTGACTTTATAGGCAAAGCTGAGCAATTCTACATCCTGCAGTATTTTGTCACTTAGTCTATTAGTTTCAAGAAAGAGGGAAAAATAACAATAACAATCATAAAATGATTATATAATTGTTAAATCACTTAGGAGAATTGTAAAAATAAAATGTACGACAAACATGTAGCAGCTACATTGCTAACAAAACGTGTATTTCCATAAATAAGTGTACCTTTAACACTTTTCAAAGAACATTATCTCCGAAAATCTCGTTTTATTTTCAGTAAAATAGCTACTGAAGTGACTCCATTTCCTTGAGGTAACCACAAGGAAAACAATGCATAGAATCAAGGCAATTACACAGACAATTCAGGCATTTACTCAAAAATTCATTTTTTAATAATAGGTAACTTTGGTCGTGTAAATACAGTCTGTCCCAGGTGTGGTCTCCCTATTACAGTTGTGGAACTTGGTGTGAACCTAATCAAAGCTCTTAAATCACACAATAAACAGCCTTCCTTATCTACAAGGGCAGACCTCACATTCAGGCAAAAATGAATAGAAACTTTCTAAAATTGAACGCTCTCCAGGTAAAAAGGCAAAACATACTTGCATTCAGTCTACTATAGTTACTCCACGATGACACCAGCTGGCAATTGTTTCTCCCTAACATATAGCAGCTACTATGATTCCCACACAAATTATTAAAATAATAAAAATAATGTTTTCAAAGAGCTTTCTTCCACTTCCTTTGCCGGTCTAGCAATGAGCTTAACACTATCTGTGAAGCAATTTGTTCACCTAATTTTATGCCTTAATAAGCTTTACTACAATTATTTTCTTGCCTGATTCGTTCTCTGCCTTGACTTTAGTATACTTCCTCCCTGTTCTTCTGCAATATTCTCAAACCTGTTAACAACATCGCACTCCCCCAGGATTCAAACTTTTGATTAGAACAGTCCCCATTTAATCAAGTTCAATTGGGAAATAAAATTGCATCTCAACTTCTCCATTTTCCCTTTGGTGCCAGAAACTGCCTTGAGAATGTTGAAGAAACCCTGGAGAGATTAACAATCCAAATGATCACAGAGGATAGTTTTGGATCCCCTACATTTGCACAGAGGAAGAGAGATTTGAATGCCCCTCAATAGAGATGAAAATAAAACAGATAATGTAAGTCATTGGCAGCATGACTCTCTCCTACAAGAATGGAAAGTGCTCTTATATACTGAAATGACTTTTGTTTTTCAGTTTTGTAAACAATCTTTCTCCCCACAAAAGCCCCTGGGGTAAGCAGTTTTGCAAATAACCAGCAAAGTGACAGCTTTCTTTTTCCTCAGGAAGTTAAGCAGACAGAGCCCACATAGTTAGAACCAATGGCAGAAAGAATTGGGATATATACTGATTGTGATATATTCCGGTTCACTATATGATTGTAACTTTGGGGCAACCATGACCCTACATACCACTTTCCATAAAGTTCTATTTATCTGAACAGTTCATTCTTTGCCTTACTGTGTAACATCCACCATAGATAGCTGCCTATGAGAATGAATGGAAACCATCTGTATGTATAATGTATTCATTAACTCAGTATAGTGTAAGTAGATGCACTAATCTTTTCCCAATAGATATTCTTTTATTTCTTTGATAAGGACTTGTTAAGCATTTGCTATGTACTGTGTACTCTTCTGAATGCTTTAGATATGCTATTAAACAAGAATAAGGATCCTGTCGTCATGTAGCTTATAGTCTAACAGTGGAAAAATAAATTATAAAGAAGTAAACAAGATTCATTCATTTGATCCAAAGATATATATTGAGCCCCTGCTGTATGCCATGTAGTTTTACGTATTTGGTATGCACTGATGAACAATAAAGACAATAATTTTTACCCTCAAAAATTTAAATTCCGGCAGGGTAAAACAGTAGGGAAGAAGTCAGAGAGACAATGGGAGGAAGGTTATGTCAGGCCTTGTGGGCCATTGTGAGAATTTGACTCTGAGAAATGAGGAGCCACTGCAGAACAGTTTTAAAGGGATCCTTTCGAGTGTTTTATTGTCAACTGTAAAAGGAAAAACACAGAAGCAGGAAAACTGGTTAAGTGGCTATTCCAGTAATCATGTGAGATTGATGGTGGCCCAGACCAAGACAGGGTGGTTACAGAGGTGGTTGGAAGAGATCAGATTGCCTGCATTTTCAAGACAGAGCCATCAGAGAGAGTTTCCATACAGATTGAATGTGGGATAAAAGAGGAAGGGAGGAGTCAAAGATGATGCCAAAGTTTGGGGCCTAAACAACTGAAAGGATGGAGTTGTCATCAAAAGGGATGTCAACTGAGATCATTACAAGTGCTAAGAGGGGACATAGCAGGGTGATATGACAAAGAATTCATGGCAGGGTTGAGGGTATGGGGCAGGCCTTTCCACTGGAGAGTCAGAAAAGACTGTTGTTACATAGAGGCAAAGGGGCTAAGTCCTGAAGGATTAGAATGGTCTAGCCGTGCCAGACATCCTGGAGAAGAGCTTTCTAAGCAGAACAATAAGCACAAAGGTCTGGAGCAGAAAAGAATTTAGGGGGCTCCAGACAGACAAATGATAGAGAAATGAAAGAGAGGGAGGTTTGGGGTCAGAGCCATGATAGTGGGTGCAAAGTAGTCATTGAGGAAATGACAGGACTGATTGATACTAAAAGCTTACTGGGATCCATGAAGAATGGATTAGGAAAGACAAAAGAGAAAGCAGAGAAATCAGTTAGGAAGTGGCTGTTGTTCTCCAGGCAAGAGATGGTGGGGACTTGGGATAGGCTGGCAATGGTGGGGAAAATAATTTACAGACACAAGTCCACGGGCCTAGTATGGAAAGATTTCACTTCTTCATTTTCAAATAACAAAATGAGACTTTGCCTTTAAGATTCTATTGCCTGATACAGAGGGAAATGAGAAGCATTCAACTTACGTTAATTCAGTCACTTCTGAGTTAACCTCTGTATCTTTGGAATAAATAGTCAAATTCATGTTTCTCCCCTCCCCTTCTTCTTTGCTTTTTCCTGCAGTGAGCTAAGCCCTTTCGTACTGGCTAAGGGAATTGTGGTCTGCAGGGGAGTTTCCTTTTCCTGCTGCTCCCCCTCACCCCCTCCATGTGCAGTTATTCCTACCTGATCGCAGGTGCAAGCCTGGATTTCTGCTGGGTCTTCTGCTGCCTTGTTAGAATCTAAGCTGTCATGTCCACATGCTCTACATCTTCCTCCACTGAACTGCGAGCCCACTTCTGTCTGCCACCTCAGCTCTTCTGTGGCCCTTTCTCAAGGGCCTGTTAGCATGGAAACCAGTGATGTTTAACCCCATCAGATGGAGCACTCATTTTTATTAAACAAATGTTTTGAAGTAATCCCTTTAATGATCTCAAGTTAAGCATCATAGATAATAGAATCTACCTACACACAATTTCTCAGAAATTAACATAATGCTCTAATTGTAATGTAAATGAAACATGAAAAGAAAGTAATTAATAAAACACTGTGTATTGCAACGTGTAAATGCTGAGACCTGACTACTGTAGACAACATAAAGAAGTTCGCAGATGCTTATGACTTTTAACTATCTCAAGTTTGGACATAGAGAAGTAAGAGCACAAGACATTCTTTTCAAGAAGCAAATAAAAGAGCAAGGCGCCTGTAGTCCCAGCTACTCAGGAGGCTGAGGCAGGAGAATGGCGTGAACCCCCGGGGGCGGAGCCTGCAGTGAGCCGAGATCGCGCCACTGCACTCCAACCTGGGCGACAGCGAGACTCCGTCTCAAAAAAAAAAAAAAAAAAATTGCAGAGGTGTTTGTGGACACCAGAATTAAAATTAGTGATAGGCTAAGTAAGAATAATTCTGACTTAAAAATTGACATATAAGAAAAAGGAGAGAAAAACCTTGGTTGAAGCAATCACACACCCAGACAAATTATAGACTTTTAGAGTGAAGAAATTGGGGAAGTATAATGTTCCCCAATTAACTAGGCTTTTAAAAAAATGTCTGGTCAAAATACTTCTCTATAACATAAAATATCTCGGTGGAACCCCGTCTCTACTAAATATACAAAAAATTAGCCGCGCGTGGTGGCGGGCGCCTGTATTCCCAGCTACTTGGGAGGCTGAGGCAGGAGAATGGCGTGTACCCAGGGGGCGGAGCTTGCAGTGAGCCTAGATCGTGCCACTGCACTCCAGCCTGGGCAACACAGCAAGACTCCGTCTCAAAAAAATAAAAATAAAAATAAAATAAATAAAATAAAATATCTCAAAAAACATAACTTGTATCTTGAAATCCTACTATACATCAAAGGATAATCCAGTTTCTGAATGTAGGGCGATATTTGCAAGTCACGTGAATGCAAGACAATTCTATCATTGCCCCCACCAAATAAATGCCAGTAATAAATAAATCATCGTGAGGTGCTGACCAAACACCAAACTGCAGACTATAAACTCTTTCCTAGCCATTAATTCCACTCCTAACGAGTATCTAGAAATCCCCCTATCTTTCCTCTGTCAAAAAAAAAAAAGCCAGTTTAGAAGACATAAAAAGACTAGGAACACACGTTTCCTCACTGTCCTTATACTTTGGCTCTTGATAGTAAAGGCACATTTTAGAATTTTTAAATGATGCCATTTTTTTCCCTTTGAAAAGTCTGATTTTGAAACCATTTGAAATCAAGGTAACATAGTAAGTGATAGTACTCAGATTTGAACCAGGTAGTCTGATTCCAGAGGTGGAAAGAAGTGATGGCAAGATGGATGTTAGAAGTCAAATCAACAGGATTTACTGAAAGATTGAATAAGAGGAAGTGAACAATGGATGAATCAAAGATGTTTCTCGGGGTGTCTCTTGAGCTCCTGGAAGCCTGATAGTTCCATTTACTAAAAAGAAGAAAATGAGAGAGAAAAAGTTAGGAGGTGTTGAGGGTGGGGAGCAGCGAGGGCGAATTTTGAGTTCTGCTTTAGGTGAGCTAGGTTTAGACTGCTAATGAGACAGCTAAATGGAGATATCAAATAAATAGCTGGATATAGGATCTAGAGTTCATGCAGTAATTCTAGACAGGAGATTAAAATGTGGTGGTTTTAATAACATAGGTAACATAATAGCAGTGAGTGCTCAATAAATATTTGTTGACAGAATCTGTAAAAGACTAAATAAGCAATTACCATGGTCCAAGAGAGAAATGAGACCTCAAACAAAAGGAATAGCAATGGAACAGAAGTGTACACATTTGAGAAATATTCCAAAGGTAGAAACAATAGGATTCAGTGACTAAGTAGGAAGGGGTGAGAGAGGAAGAAATTGAGGATGACTCAAAGTGTGCTAGCTTGGAAAGCTAAGTGAATGGTAAGGTCATTAATATGGGAGGCAAAACAGATGACTGGGCATGAAAATCAGTGTAGATGACTATTCTTTCTCTTAGCAAACTAGAATGTTTGTGTTTTTCAAATGGCTTTGAGCTTCAAAATGTTTACTTACATTTTAAGAAAGCAAGCTTTAAAAATACACTTTAATTTGTCTGCAGCAAGACAGATAACTTTAGTTTAATTATTACCTTTGGAAAAAAAATCCTAGGTGGAAACACATTTGGTAAAAACTGTTTTCTCTTTCCTAATGTTTTATATCACAAATCAGGATGTAATCCTCCTCTTTTCTACATTGGCCATGAATTTTATTTTTTTCTCTCTCTCTTCATATATGTGGATACATTTTTTAAATCATAAGAAATCAAATGTCTAAAGCAGGCTCTAAGAGATATTTTAGGTAATTGTTCTTTGCTTCATTAGGATGGCCTTTTTCAACAGCACAGAAAGATGATCCAGAAGCTTCTAAGAGCAGCTTTTGAATAGGACTCTTAGTTTTTTAGGTACTTACCACAGTGCTTTGCACTCAGTAGGCATCTGAATAAATGTTCTTTGAACATGTTAAGAAGTAAATATGTTCTCCCTTTAAATTGCCAAAAGAGTTTTCACAAAATCCCTTGCTAACATATCCCTAGCTTCAAAACCCTGACACTTCTTGTTTACGTTTTATCTAAGGTGAAGTGAGCTTTGACTCCTTTGGCAAATCGTTCAGTGTGTTCCTACTACTGATAACAACCTTTTTAGTATGACCTTTTGCTATCATTTAAACCAATGTTCCTAGTGAAATGTCTGTTGAATTATACCACATAAAAGCAAAACTCTATTACATATATTTTATATATATATATATGAATATACATATTCATTTATCAAAAAGACTGGTCACCTTGCCATGGAAGCATATTAGCTACCCAACAAAATTATTTTTGCTACCTTATAAAGGTTATTAAATAGAACCTTTTTATCTTCCAAACCTGTATGATTACTTCTCTTTTTTTCCTCTAAGGGATCAGGCAGTATAAACACTTATTGTCCTGAGAGCATTTTCGTAAAGCTTTGAGTTCTGCTTATGATTGTTCTAGTTTTCTATTTTATCAAGAAGCATATTCTGAATATTTTAAAAATCCACAGTTTAATGTAGCCATTAATCTTCGTACCCAAACCCAAACCCAAGTCAAGGTCTTACATATAACCTCAGCAGTGCATATTCATTGTTATTCAATTAATTAATATTAGTATTTGTTTTTAAAATCACATTGTGAATCTCATGGCTTTTTATCTAATTAATTCTTAATTGTACTCCAGACACTCAAATTCCATATACTTTATGCACAAAAAGTCATTTTGAAACAGTTGCTCTTTCATTTTTCCTCCTTCCATGCACTGTAGATGTCTACTGATCACTCTTTCCCATGAATTGCTCATTTAATGCTAATTCTCCCTAATTATTGTTAGTTAAATGTTGTTCTTGTGATTTTATAAGGCAATAATACATCATTTAAGTGTCTTACTCTAAGGTGTTGTCCTAATGTAGCAAATGCAAAAACATCTCATTCCCCCGAAAAAAGGAAATTGAAACATCTGTCTTTCTGGGTCTTTGTTGTGAGTTCTATTTGCTAAAAGCGCAAAATGGCAGAGCAAGATAAAATGATCATGTACCTCACATGATGGTTATTTAACCAAATCAAGCATACCACCCATGGAGGAGTGTTTGCTTGCGGAGAATGAAAACAAGCACTACCAGGTCTTTGACTACTGCTCTTCCCTGGGTCTATTTTACCAGCTCCTGCTCTACCACTTTATCTCTGAATGTTATCTGTCTGGATTATCAGCTCCCTCTTCTCACTCTACTATGCTCCAATGGCAAAGACCCTACCTGCCACCTTACCTTCCCACCGCATGCCAAACACACACACACACACACACACACAGACACACACACAAACACACACACACTGTTTCTATTCCTGGCGGCCTTCCATGAGGAAACTCTTCTCCATCCTCTCCGCCTGATTCAGCTTGCCCTTCCACTCAACTGAAATAGCTTCTCTTCTGTATAGAGATTTCCATAATCCGTCTATTCCAGGTAAAGTTAATTATTGCCTCCATTTATTCAACCTTACTACAATTATGTGGCTCTATTACCATACTGTTTATTTAAATTATGTTTAAATGGCTGACTCTTATGAAAGTCTGTGAGCTCTTTGTGGGGAAGCACTATTGATTATTGATATCTGTATTGATCTGAGGTAGGCAGAATTCCAAGATGAGTCCCAATGACCCTTACCCTTGTATAATCCTATCCTGTTGAGTATGGGCAAAAACTGTGATTATGTTATGTTATAGGGCAAAGGGGATATTATCCGGGTTAGACATGACCTAATCACATGAGACCTTTAAAAGTAGAAAATTGTCTTCAGTTGGTTGCAGGGAAGACATTAGAAAGACACATTCCTGTGTATAGCCATACCACCCTGAATGCAACCAGTCCTGTCTGACCTTGTAAGCTAAGCAGAGTTGAGCCTGGTTAGTACTTGGATGGGAGAAAGACACAGTTATGCTGACCTGGAAGAAGAGCAATAATCATATTGTGAACTGTCTGTGGGGACACATAGCAGAGAACTGCCGGTAGCCTCTAGGAGCTGAGAGCAAGCAGTCCTTGACCAACAGTCAGCAAGAAAACAGGAACTTCAGCCACGCTGCCTCAAAGAACTGAATTCTGCCAAAAGCTGAATGAACTTGGAATCAGGTTCTTCCTCAGCATCTCCAGACAGAAAATCAGCCCAGCTGACACCTTGATTTTAGCACTGTGAGACCCTAAGCAGAAAGCTCAGCCATGGCATGCCTGAGCTTGTGCCCTACAGAACTGTGAACTAATAAATGATTGTTTTTTTAAGCAATTACATTTGTGGTAATTTGTTATGTTTCAATAGAAACTACACACTAGTGCAGTGCCTGGTACATAATAAAATATTGGCTGGTCAGTTATTGGTTGGTTGATTCGACTTAATGAATGAGAGTATGGAAGGAAGGACAGAGTAAAAAGAAAGAGAGGAGGATGAAAGAAATACACTATTTAGAAAAAAAAATGTTTGTATTTTGGCCCATTCATACAAATGAATTTTGAGAGAATGAGTAGATACTTTCTTGGAATGATTGATTGGGCTTTCTAGCTGAAGAAATGTGGCAGACCTATTATGCCTGTTTAGATTAGCTTTTTCTGCTCATGTTTCCTAACTTCCGTCCCATCCCTCATCCCTAATCATTCTTTGACCCTGTTGTCATCCTTACCCTGACTCCAAATTGTCTGGTTAAAAAGAAAAACATAGCCCTGACAACTGTCAGCTAGTAGCTGGCCTAGTTGCTACCAGCTAGGCCACAGTGTTTTCCTGTTGAATATAAACAGCTTCACATTAGTTCAGCATCAGGTGAGAACTCACCATAATTATAAAGTAAACAAAAAAGACCACTCCATAAACTTGCCTGAACAGAGTTCAAAACAAAGAGACTGTGCAACCACAGAACAACCAAACATCTTCCAAAGAATATGAATGACGACGGCTTCCTTTCCAATGTCAACTCTAGCTCTGCTCTATCCCTCCTGCCCCTTAAATAAAAAATATTAAGATACCCATTTACCTAATTGGCCTGCTTTCTGACAGATCCCAATCCAGACCCCTGCTTCTTCGAATCCTCCCCCAAATCACTTAACACAAGCACAAATCTTAAAATAAGCCCCTCCTAACTCCCTCTTTTCAAGACAATTTATGGTTCCTCATGGCGTGCTGTCTTCTTAACTGCAGCAAGCATAGACTCATCTTTGCTTGACTAAAGGTATTTCCCTGGAGGTCTCCTCTGGCTTTGTGGGCCTCCACAGAGGTGAGGATATCTATGCTAGACACCTCTTGGATGCAGTGTCATGAGTGTTTATTGATTCATTGTTGGGGTATGTCAAAGTAAAAATAGCTGAATCTAAAAGTTTGCACAAATCATCATATACCCTCTTCTCTGAAGCTGAGGGCACTTCAGACTTACCTACAAATGCCACCTCTCAGGAGCTGGTTTCCACAGCCCAACAGTGACCCCAGGAAAGTGACAATCGACTATCACAGTGGTGACTCTGGATCAAGTCAGGATTGCGGCTAATCTCATCATGAGTCACTGTCCACATTCTGTTTTCCTTGCTCCTTCCCGACTCCTGAGCCCCCAAAACCCAAGTGCACAAACATTGCTTGGGCTCTGCCCTGATCCCTGTTCCCAAGTGGTAAGAGGGGTAGAAATTCCCTGAGTAAACTGCAGAATACATAAAGTATGTAGGTTTGGATTAAGGCCAAGGCCAAGAGTGTAATTGCTGTTATTTTTATTCAAGGTGAGACTTAGACTGTAACTATAGGCTTTTCTAAGAATAAAGACTTATAATAGAATCAGACAGGTAAAAATGTGATTAATAGGACTCAAGATAGGTAGGTGAGCTAGGCTCAGATCTGACTGACAATCAAAGGCTTGCTCCAGGTAAGCATACAAGGAAAAAGCTGGTATGGATGGGGAAGGGTCAGTCTTTGGGTGTTTATTGCTCTAAACCAGAGATTCTCAACCTTGGATGAGCAATGGAATCATCTTGGGAGCTCTAAAAATTCCTAATATCAAGGCAACATTGCAGATAAGTTAAATCAGAATCTGGGATCCAGGCATCAGAATTTTTAAAACTCTCCATGTGATTCCAATGTAAAGCCAAAGTTGAGGGCCACTGCTCTAAACAAGACTTTGGCCCTGCTTCTGGCTGGCCCTTCTTGCTTGTAAAAGGCCCAGGCTGTTCTAAGTAGGTGCTGATTGTTAAACTGACTGTTGATTCCTCAAATAATCAATGCAATGGCTTTGTTCATGGTGGATAGCAACACTGCGTTTTGAGAATCTATGGGCTCAATAGGAAAGGGTGATTGTTTCTCTTGGGTGGGGTATGGATTTCTCCATGGCCTCATTTTTTTTTTTAATTAAATTGAGGAGCTGGAGCCTAGAAGCTTGATGTTCCCAACACACTATGGACTACTGAGGGGCAGAGTCTCTATCTTCCTCTTCTTTGGATTAGTATTAATGCATAGCTCAATAACTGACACATATTAGAGGCTTTTTGTATAATTGAATGAATGAATGATTTTTATCTGGGAATCTCATTTTCCTGCGTCACACTCAATAGGACTATAAAGGATAGGTTACCATGTACAGTTGCCATAGGTTATTTGGCTTTATGATCACTCCTTTTCACTCTTCTTAGAGCTATATATCAGGGACTCCCAGACCTTCCTATCCTCAGCCTAAACTTCTCCCTTCATGTAAGCACCTGCATGTAGCCAGCTCCCCTCTCAATATCTGTTTGGTACTTTTACTGATAGCGCCAACTCAACATGTTTATAACCAAATTCCTGATCTTTCTCTTATGAGTGCCGCAAGTCAATGGCAAAACCATCTTAAGCCAGAAACCAAAGAGTCATCCCTGACAATTCTTCTTCCTCACCGCTCATCTTCAATCCATTTTCAAGTTCTGTGGATTTTACCTCTAAATACTTTTCAAAACATTTTTTATTTCCATTAGCATGATAAGCTAAGCTACCATTATCCACTGGTTTGGCTCACAATTCACCCTAACTGGTCTCCCTGCTTTTGTGTCTTACACCTTGAAGTCATAATATTATTTTCATATATCAGATCATGCCATTCCCCTGTTTACAATACTTTAATGACTTCTCATTGCTTTTAAGAGAATGAATCACGTCTTGAACATGGCCTTCAGGGCCATTCCCGTGCCTACTTTGCTCTCCTCATTCTCTGTACTATAGTCACACTGGTCTTTGATTTTCTAGAATGAACCATGCATGTTACCTCCTGCCTACAGACCTTGGCATATGCTGTTTCTCTCTGGAAGCACGACTCCCCCAACAATTCAACAAGTGAATTTCTACTCATCCTTCAGATATCAATTCAAATTTTACTCACTCGGGGAAGTGTTGTTTTTTTTTTAATTCTTTCTACTACTATGTTGAATTCTTCTGTTATGTAGCACATTCTCTTCTAGCACCATGTACCTTCATTTCATAGCATTTTAGCTTTCTTCAATTATACATTTATTTGTATGTTATTTGATTACTGTGCATCTTGTTTACTAGACATATGTTCCAAATGTCAGCAATGATGCTTTTACTCATCACTGGAACCCCATGGGCTAGCATGGTATCTGGCATACAGTAGGCACTCAATAAATGTTTACTGAATGGATAAATCTAGACTTTCTGAATATCCTTGCCCTGCTTACCTTGAGAGACAACTTTCACTGTATCTTGATGTACATATGTTAGGGAGACTGATATTTTCCTTTGGATAAGTGACAGCCATTGTATATATGGACAACGGATCAAAGGGTGTTTGAAAAAGGCTTCCTAAGTTTTAAGGATGCCTGTTTGTTGTGTCTTGAAGTCCTCTATCCCTCTGTGATGGCCCTTTGTGCCTAGGTATATCATCAGCCCCTATAAACTCTCTAGAATCCCTTACTCTTTTAGAAATGGCTTAGTACTAATGTCACTTCAGGACTAGAGACCAATTTTTTTTAACCATATCCCCAATAACCTCTAGGGGGCACCAAGAATAACAGCAATTTCAGCAAAGAATTTTTCTTCTAAAGGAATTTGCTCAGTGTTATCTAAAATAGCAAAAGGAAGCAAGTTTGTGTAGCACCATATGCTACCAGGTTATAGTCATATGTAGTACCCCTTTACTGTGTTCTGCGACAAGGAAGGCATGAGTCTACTTTCCGTGTTGGCTCAGGCTGAACCTCTCTCCTCAATTCCTTGGGTCTTCCCAAATTCTGTCCCCAGACTATCTATTACTACAAAGGGCAATAAATAAGCATCCCAAGTGGTCTGGGGTCAAGCTTAAAATGGCTTGTGTAAATAGCAACAGTACATATTTTATCTTAAAAACTTCATGCCAATGCTTTGTTTCATTTCATAAAACATTCCAGAATGCTTTAATTTTAAGATGTTTTGCCGACAACTCTTGGATTAAAAATGATACCCCAAAGTGGTATGTTTATCTTGTAGTTTTGCATAACCTTTGACACAGCTCTCTATCATATACTATATATAGATGGCTTTTCCAACCGGCTGTGAAGTTACCATACACAGTCAGCGCTCAATATCTGTGGGTTCTGCATCCATGGATTCAACCAATCTCGGTTTGAAGATATTCCAAAAATATATTACATCTGTACTGAACATATGCAGACTTTTTTTTCATTATTTCCTAATCAATACAATATAACAACTATTTCCATACCATTTATATTATATTAGGTATTAAAAGTAGGCCAGAAGTGGTGGCTCACACCTGTAATCCCAGCACTTTGGGAGCCCGAGGCGGGTGTATCATCTGAGGTCAGGAGTTCGAGACGAGCTTGGCCAGCATGGTGAAACCCCATCTCTACTAAAAATACAAAAAATTAGCCAGGTGCATTGGTGGCAGCCTGTAGTCCCAGCTACTCGGGAGGCTGAGGCAGGAGAATCGCTTGAACCTGGGAGGCAGAGGTTGCAGTGAGCCGAGATTGCGCCATTGCACTCCAGCCTGGGTGACAAGAGCGAGACTCTGTCTCAAAAAATAAAGTAATCTAGAGATGATTTAACGTGTACAGGAAGGTGTGCCTAGCTATATGCAAATTCTACAGCCATTTTATATCAGGGATTTGAATGTTCATGGATTATGGTATCCACAAGAGGTTCTAGAACCAATTTTTCATGGATACTGAGGAACAACTGTATATTTATTGTTTAACGTTAATTATATCATAAACACACAGTGTACATAACACATAGGTAGAGTTTTAAAATCCACCACCCAGCTCAAGAAATAAAATATTATGGCCAGGTGTGGTGGCTCACACCTATAATCCCAGCACTTTGGGTGGCCAAGGCAGGAGGATCATCTGAGGTCAAGAGTTAGAGACCAGCCTGGCCAACATGGTGAAACTCTGTCTCTACTAAAAATACAAAAGTTAGCCAGGTGTGGTGGCATGCGCCTATAGTCCCAGCTACTCAGGAGGCTGAGGCAGGAGAATTGTTTGAACCCAGGAGGCGGAGGTTGCAGTGAGCCGAGATCGTGCCACTGCACTCCAGTCTGGGCAACAGAGTGAGACTCCTTCTCGAAAGAAAGAAAGAAAGAGAGAAAGAGAGAAAGAGAGAAAGAGAGAGAGAGAAAGAAAGAAAGAAAGAAAGAAAGAAAGAAAGAAAGAAAGAAAGAAAGAAAGAAAGAAAGGATAGGACCCTGTTAGCTCCTCCTAAATTTCCCTTCCCTTTCATACTTTCTTCTACATTCCAGAGGTATAAAGTTCACCTCTTGAAATTTTTGTTAACGTTCTCTGATTTCTCTATGGTTTTAACACTATGCATACATCTCTCAACAATACATTGCTTTATCTGCTTTTTAACTTTACGTAAGGGGACTCATCCTATATATATTCTTCTGTGATTTGCCTTTTCACTAATCAGTATGTTTTTGAGATTAACTATGTGAGTATATGTAGCTGTTGATCATTCATTTTCTTTGGGATCCTATTATTTCCTCCAAGCAGTGTCTCAAATCTGAATTTCTCTTCTTACCTCTTGCCAGGAGACACAGGGACCATATGAAAACAGAATGTGTACAAGTATAAGTATCTATCCTTTTCATAAGGGAAGTATGTAAACTACCTCTAATTACCACCTCAGGTTACTTACATTTCCTGATTCTTAAATAATTTGCATTTGACAATTCTTTTTAAATTTTAGACAAAGATAACAGCATGGACCCATTGCACTCATAAAAAAAAAACCTTCAGATTGTCAGTTGTGCTGTCTTTCACTTCCACACAATTCTATTTTGTAAATACATTTCCAAATGGAAGAGTACCTGTTGTAATTTAGTAACTGAAATCATAAATAGTATTCTCACCTGTAATCCCAGTGCTTTGGGAGGCCAAGGCAGGAGGATCACTTGAGGGCAGGAGTTTGTGACCAGCCTGGGCAACATAGCAAAATTTTGTCTCTAAAAAAGCTTAAAAAAAAAAAATAGCTGGGTTTGATGGTGCATGCCCATGGTCCTAGCTACTTCGGAGGCTGAGGGGGAAGGATCACTTGAGCCCAGAAGTTCAAGGTGAGCTATGATCATGCCACTGGACTTCAGCATGGGTGACAGAGTGAGACCCTGTCTCTAAAAAATAAATAAATAAGTAAATAGTATTATCTAAAGGAGTTCTGTATTACTTTTTCATCTTGCTTGTTTTAGAATGATATCAGCTGTTAAAATGTATTGCCAAGTTTACCTTTCAATGTTGTACTATGGAAAGGAAATATTACCTACAAAAGAGCTTTATAAAAAATAACTCATGAATTATAAGAGAAAATGCAGGTTAAAAAACTGTATTTGATGATCCAAGCACACATTATTTCATTAATGTTCCATTAATGTTTACTCAGCCTCTGCTAGGGATCTGGGTGAGACACAGAAATGAGTAGAACAGGATCCCTGCTTAGGAAGGGCTCCCACACTCTAGCAGAGGGAGACTAACCCATGTGGCTGTAAGGCAAGGCAGTGATTGAAGCAAAGTGTAGGAATAGGAATTAAAAATAAAATAAATTCCAGCCAGGAAGTCAGAGAAGGCCTAAAGGGAAAGGTGGCATTTCAGCTTTGAAAGATTAGTAGGATTTTGACAGCAGCGTGGAACAGAGGTGTTGGCAGATACTAAGATTGAGAGTGTGCAAGCACAAGGGTGTGGAGGTAAGAAGGGACAAACAAGGTTCAGGAAGCAGTGAGTGGTCTCATTCGACTACAGAAGACAATAAAGGGAGTAAATCCTATTTTAAAATATTTTTTTACACTGTTTTTCTTTGGGTGTCTCAGTGGGTCAGCTCTCTCTTACCTAGTGCCCAACCACATGTGTTGATGTAACACACACACACACACACACACACACACACACGCAATCTGACCTTTTCAATAATTTGGTTGGAATTACAGATAAGGGAATGACACCATGCATCCCATAGCAACCCTTCCTTAAAATCCTTATTATACCACCCTTTTCCTTCGGAAGTTCCATGTACCATTTAGCTCCACACTTCCGCAGGCCCCTCAGCATGAACCTACCCTCTTCTTCCCTCTCCTATGCCCCTGCTGGCCATTGCCTCTGTAGCCTCCTACCCCTCTACTAGATTTTTCCTTCTGAATGTCTCCTTTTCTGTTTATCATGAACAGCCACCTGGCTTTCCATTTCTCCAGTTTTTCTCCCCACCCAGCAGCAAGGAAGAGTTCATTGCTTCCAAAAAAAAGAAGAAGAGGAAGACAAAGAGAAGAGAGAGGAGAAAAAAGTAGAGAAGGGAAAGAAAAGGAAGGAAAGAAAGAAAGATAAGGAAAAGAGAGGGTAAGAAAAATAAGAAACTCCTTCCCTAGAAAAATAGTGGGGCAAGGATACAAAACTTTATGCTTTACATTTTTCTCTGAACTAGTCACAAAACTTTATTTAATCTTCAGCCATACCAGCTGGAGCAGTAAGACAATGTAGAGGAATTGGAGGTCATCAGGTTCCTCAAGGTATCAAACAACATTCATTCATATGATGACTTCAACATTTCAACATGTTTCCATTTTCAAAAATCCTCCACTAATGATCTC
Source organism: Homo sapiens (assembly GCF_000001405.40). Lineage (NCBI taxonomy): Eukaryota > Metazoa > Chordata > Mammalia > Primates > Hominidae > Homo > Homo sapiens. The sequence continues at coordinate 96,072,091 of NC_000013.11, read as the reverse complement.
AACCGTCATTCTGGTTTGTTTACGCTTTATTCCTACCACCCCATTTCCAATAGCCTTTGCTGGCCATTATTTTCTACCACGTACATCGTTTCTTGTTGATTTTTCCCATGGGTAGCACAGTCAGGCAGACTATATTTTGAATATTCATGGCTCAACTTGTGCAATGAAAACATGGAACAAGTAAAACAGCTGTCAACAACACTACAAAATTCTGTTTCTTGGATTAAGACCATAGAATGCACCTGCGGGTAAGTGTTATTACTTTTTTTTTCCTTTGCGTACACCTATTAAGCAAAGAGATATTGTAGTCATTGATTCCTAAAAACTCTGTTAATAACCGACATCATCAGGTGCATGCAAGCAGAAGGTAGTTAAACGCAACCTGCTACTGCCAAGAACAGTCCCCTGGAGCCTCTCCTACCTAATCGTTTACTCTTACAAATACACAGACAAGTCAGTGCAGAACTAATGTAAAACCCAGGGGGCAAAAAGTAATAGGAAACTCAACTACTTAAGCTTCCTAGATCGCTGGAGAAAATTACTTCTAAACAATTACATTACATTTTGTTAGCATCATCTTCTCCAAGCCAAGAAAGAGAACAGTTTTTGATTAATAAGCAAAAGAGAAATTGGAAATTGTAAAACTAAAATAGTAAAGTTTAAATTATGTTTGTGAATTAAATAATAGTCTATTCTTTTTTTCTAAGACCAGCTTATTAAAGAATCTACACATCCACTTAGAAATATGGTTTTCCAAATTCAAAGAATGTGCATTATATACATATATATAAAATATTAAAATTTAGACAGCTTCAATGGAAGCCTTATCATTGTTGGTTATCAACATTGTTTTAAAATATTTCTCATCCAGTTGCTCTGCCTAAAAAAGCATTCGTTGGCAGAAGTTGACTTATTAAGCATATCAAAGATACCTAGGAAACTTGGGAATCACCAAGTAGCTGACTTTTATCACCTTTATGACGTGAGTGTGTGCATGTACTAACCTAAGAAAAGGGATCTTAGCTGTTGCAAGGTCTGAAGAAAACAAGATTGTTATGGAAAATTTTAAGCAAAATCACTTAATCCATGAACAAGCAGTCTCTTAGAATGAGAAGCTAGGTCATATGCTAGAGAAAGCACCTAGCTTGGAGTCAGACAAAACTAATCTCTACCACTAGCTGAGTAATCTTGACTGAGTGAATAAACATCTTCACTTCCGTAAAATGGAGACAGCCCTCTCTATATCACAGTGAGGGTTGAGATGATAAGGAGAGTTGATGTATTAAAAATGTCTACTCCGCCTTCCCCTCTCCTGCCAGTCCTTGATCAATTAGCACGCTCCCAACATTTGCATTTTCTTGGTGAAGGTGAAAAACTTGTATGAGGAGTAGAACTAATTTCTGCATAATGTTGGAAGATGCTCAAAGCAGCACAGGAACTTTTTGGGCAAGTACTTGTGTTTGTTTGCTTGTTGGCTTGTTTGGTGTGGAGGAGAAAAGAGGGTGGTTAAAGATTGGTGTAATTTTTAACCTGCCAAAAGAAGATCAGAGGACCCTTTATCTTCCCTTTTCCTCATTCAGGAAGCAGGCTTAGGTTTAATGTTCAATTTTATTTAACCATTCAGAGACACAATGGGATAACACTAAAGATTTCCACCCTTGTTTTGAAGTTTCCATTGAAAAACTACAAGTGGAATCAAGGACATATATGCTAGAAAAGTTAGATTCTCCTGAGACTGCATATTTGAGGTAAATACTACAGAGCTTAATTGTGTGTGTTCTTGTGAGCAAAGTCTTAAAAAGCAAATAAGTACTTGATCACTGTCCCGTTACTTATTTTTTTTAGAGACAGGGTCTCACTCTGTCACCCGGGCTGGAGTATAATGGCACCATCATAGTTCACTGCAACTTTGAACTCCTGAGCTCAAGTGGTCCTCCAGTCTTAGCTGGGACTACAGGCATATGCCACCACGTCTGGCTAATTTTTTTTTTTTTTTTTTGGTAGAGACTGGTTTTGGCATGTTGCTAAGGCTGGCCTCAAACTCTTTGGCTCAAGAAATCCTCCTGCCTTGGCCTCCAAAAGCACTGGAATATAGGCATAAGCCACCACACCCAGCCCCATTACATCTTTTATAACTGTATTTCCCCTCCATATGCCATGAATATTTCCAAAGTTTTAGATTCAGTAAGGCACTCTCCACATTTGAACCATTCTGTAAGGATCATAAAGATTAGATTATCCTAAATTTTTGCCCCATTCCCTAGTGGGACACTTTAGCAAAACACTCACATTAAAGTAGCAAAACTTCTATAGAGACAAGTCCTTCACTGGTCCAACAGATAATATTGAATGAAGAATATGATATCAGGCGTGGTGGCTCATGCCTGTAATCTCAACAGTTTGGGAGGCCGAGGCAGGTGGATCACTTGAGCTCACGAATTCGAGAACAGCATGGGGAACATGGCAAAACCCCATATCTACAAAAAATACAAAAATTAGCTGGGTGTGGCATGCTCCTGAAATCCCAGCTACTCGGGAGGCTGAGGCAGGAGGATGGCTTGAGCCTGGGAGGTCAAGGATGCAGTGAGCTGAGATTGCACCACTGCACTCCAGTCTGGGCAACAGAATGAGACCCTGTCTCCATGTTAAAAATAAAGAGAGAGAGAGAAAAGGAAAAAGCATGTGAGGCCTTTGGTACCAATCTTGTCCCAATGTGAACCTTCAACAGTCACATGTATAATCCTCAATACATCCTTTTATAGTTGAAATAATTAACTTTTTTTGCCTGACTCATAGTAAGTGGAATGTTTTTATTAAAATTTTTAGTAGTTTTAATTGTGGCAAAATATACATAAAATTGGTGTGACCTTGAGCAAGTCACTTAACCTCTCCTGTTTCTCAGATTTTCTTATTATTACAATTCCAAACTCTGACAATTATGCCCTAAATTCACATGGAGATATGGACCTGTCAGGAATTTAGCTGACCCTACAATCCTAGGGTCCAAAGATTAGGCCTTTTGGACCTAATCTTCAGAGTTACAAAAGCCCTGAAACTCTTGCTTTGGTCAGTATATTGTCTCAGCATCTAGAGACAACAGGCTATGGCTTAATTAATTCTTCCATTACCACAAAGTACAGGCTACAAGCACTTTGTTGCAGGTGTGAAGGGAATTCCCCTGCCCATTTCTCTGCCTCATCACCAAAACCAGTTCCACATGTCCTTCATTTCCTGTGAGCTTCCGGTGCATATAGCCCCACTCCTGGTTCCAGTTTATACTGATATTTTGGTTGCAGGGAACATGGGGTCAGTTCATTTCCTGGCACACGGAAAGGAGAAGAATGTGAAGCTTAGGCACATGGGAATCCAGAAGTCAGGCAACCAGTCCTCTTGAGAGAACAGAAAATTTGGCAGAGCTGACTCTTCGAAAGTGTATTTGTTCCTGAGGGCCACCATAACAAAGTACCAACACTGAATGGCCTAAAACAACAGAAATTTGTCTCCTGGTTCTGGAGGCTGGATGTCAGGGATCAAGGAGTCAGTAAGGCCATACTCCCCCTGAAACCTGTAGGGAGGAATCTCTTCCTTGCCTTCCTAGTTTTGGCAATTCTTGGTGTTCCTTGGCTTGCAGCTGGAGTACTTCAATCACTGCCTCCATCACCATGCGGCATCCTCCTCTGGTGGGTCTGTGTTTTCACATGTTTGATATGGTTTGGCTGTGTCCCCACCCAAATCTCATCTTGAATTCCCACGCGTTGTGGGAGGGACCTGGAGGGAGGTAATTGAATCATGGGGGCAGGTCTTTCCCATGCTGTTTTCGTGATAGTGAGTCAGTCTCATAAGATCTAAGATCTAATGGTCATTATAACGGGGAGTTTTCCCAAACAAGCTCTCTTTTTGCCCACCGCCACCACGTAAGATGTGACTTGCTCCTCCTTGCCTTCTGCCATGATTGTGAGGCCTCCACAGCCATGTGGAACTGTAAGTGTAATTAAACCTCTTTCTTTTGTAAATTGCCCAGTCTCAGGTATGTCTTTATCAGCAGCATGAAAACAGACTCATACAATGTTCTTCTCCCTTCTTATAATTATGGGCACCAGTCATATCAGGTAAGAGCCTATCCTAATGACCTCATTTTAATTTGATTACATCTGCAAAGGCCCTATTTCCAAATAAGTTCGATACGATACCAGGTACAAGAGCTTAGAACTTCAGCATATCTTTTTGGGGAATACAGTTTTATCCATAATAGAGACTGACCTGGAAGAGTGTTTAGAACCAGTTCTGGCAACTGGCTTACCTAGCTACCACCTCAGAGAACAAGATTTTATGAATCTCTGTTGCAACGTTCCCCTATTAACATGCTACAGCTTCTTTATTTTCATATTTAAAAAAATAATTATAACTATGGACTGCTGAGCTTTTTCTGAGTCTCACATTCAAAATCACCGTGAAAATATAATTCTTACAACGAGTTGACAAGTCTTCTCTCGTGCAAAGCTCTCAACCCTAATCACCATTCAGGCCCTTGACAAGTCTATACATTAGGGAAACTTGGGTAGGGTGTCCACCCATCCCTTATCTCTGCTATGGCCAAGGGAACATGGTCATGAGATGTCACAGTAGCCACTTAGACTTATGCAATCATCTAGGGCTATTTTGCTTAGCAGGAGACCTTGGGAAGAGAATGATTGGCCTGATCCATGACAACTTTTTTTTTTTTTTTTTTTTTTGAGACAGAGTCTCACTCTGTCACTCAGGCTGGAGTACAGTAGCACAATCTCAGCTCACTGCAACCTCCGCCTCCTGGGTTCAAGCGATTCTCCTGCCTCAGCCTCCCAAGTAGCTGGGACTACAGGCACACACCACCACACCCAGCTAATTTTTGTATTTTTAGTAGAGACAGGGTTTTACCATGCTGTCCAGGATGGTCTCGATCTCTTGATCTCATGATCTACCCACCTCAGCCTCCCAAAGTGCTGGGATTACAGATGTGAGCCACCATGTCTGGCCAACAAATTTTAAAAACTCACACATACACCATAAATCCACGTTACCAGAGATATATATTGTAATATAAATCTAACACATAATGCCATGATTTATAACTATCTGTAAGTTAATGTTGTTTAGGGAATCATAATTTTTAATTACCTGAATTTCATACATTTAAATTTGCATATATATTATTATATTAGTTCAGCTTTAAAGACTATATGTGTAGTATATATATGTGAAATATTATAGTTTGTATATGTGTAATTACAATTGAACTCAAGGGATCCCTATAATTATTTAATAACAGGGAGAAAAAAAATCAAAGCCAAAAGCAATAAATCCATTTTAATTATATGTGTGATAGCTTATGGCTGCAGATTTTTATACATATACATTCATGTGTGCCTTTTATACTCTGCATTGATTCTAAAGCTGTTTCTTCCATGTTTTATAATTATGACCCCATGTAAATCACCTCAGTAGAAAATTTTACATATCCAAACTAATGGAAAAAAATATAAGATGTTCATTTGCATTGTTGAAAAGTAACTTTTACATGTTCACCATAGTTCTGCTCAATATAAGTGATTGTATGAATTCAGTGATTAAATGACTGTCACTTAAATTCTCTGTCTAAAATCATGAAAATGATAAGTTGTATACAGAGTCAATGTTTTTTAGAAGATAGTATTTAATTCATTAGGGACTCTTTAGTCTACAATTTGAAATGCTATAATCAGAGTGTGATTTATTGTATTTCCAAAAGCCTGAATCAAATATGCTGATTGCCTGATAATGTTTGGTTTTAGCTATTAGTGAGTTTTTGTGTTTTGTTTTACTGAATTGGAAATATGTAAGGATTTGACTTTAATAGGGGTATGAGCTTCATTCCCAATTTGGTTAAAGCTGAATATAATACTAGAACTTAGGCCATGTCTTTCCTAAACTCCCTGAAAATTCTATACCCAAAAATTGCAGTGGTGCATTGAATAGCAGCAAATGGAGAATGATGTTACTGTTTGTTTTTGCTTGAGTCTGATGTAGGTTCCATTTATACATGGCATGAGAGAGCCATCTACAGAAAGTTAAGGAAAGAACTGTCTCCTTCTGTAAGAACAGAAAGTCTGAAGGTGTCCGTTAAGAGAGATTACTCTCTGGTGATATGTTAAGCACATTATGGTAGCACAATGAACACAGATTTGGAGTCCGGCATGGGCTCTAACAATATAAGGTAACTCAGGGGGCCTTAAAATGACCTTGTCATAATCACACATGCCAACATTGACAGTGGTCTAAGGTCCAAGAAGTTCTGATGTCAGGACAGGGAGAGCAGGGAGGCATCAAGAGTCTGGACTGGTAAAACAGGAAGCATGAGCATGAAAAGGACTGCTTAGGACACTATCTTATTCCTGAGATAGTATCCCTTTAAGATCACTGTGATAGTTTATTTTACGCATCAACTTGAGGGTTTTAAGGGATGCCACAATATCTGGTAAGACATTTTTTCTGAGTATGTTTGTGGAGGTGTTTCTGGAAGAGATTGGCATTTGAATGAACAGACTGAGTAAGGAAGATCACTCTCTCCAATGTGGGCAGGCATCATCCAATCCCATGAGGGCCCACTCGCTGCTACAAAAAGGCAGAGGAAGGATGAAAACACTCTCTTCTTGGGTTGAGACACCAACCTTCTTCTGCCTTGGACACTGGAGCTCCCCTTTCTGAGCCCTTCGGACCCAAGAACTTACACCAGTAGACCCCCAAATTATCAAGCCTTTGGCTTCAGATTAAGAGTTTTACCACCAACTTTCCTAGTTCTCCAGTTTACAGATTGCAGGACTTCTCAGTCTCCATAGTCACATAAGCCAATTTCCGTAATAAATTCCTTTATCTATATCATATATCCTACCAGTTTTGTTTCTCCAGAGAACTCTAATATAATCACAAAGACCAAAAAAAAGGTGCTGCTTGTTTTGGTGGAAATGACAATACAACTTCTTCAGAATTCTGGTAGCTTCCCTGTGATTTCTTTTAACTCTCTCCTGGCTTCCTGACACTTGTTTTGGTGGAGTCTTGGAGAAATGGCTCTGTGAGCACATTTGTTTCATCAGTTATCATGTCATTTTTATCACTGGCCATTTATCTTTCACCCTGAATGAACTGTACTCCTTAAAGGCAGGGATTTTGTATTTGTTTTTCATTTGGTTTGATTGCTTGGTTGGTTGATGTATCATTGATTCCCCATTGGCTTGCTCAGGACTTGTAGCAGGGGACAAATTAAATGTTGAATGAATGAACCCTTGTAGCACACAGTGGAGGTGGCTCCATATTACACCCAAATCTAGAGTGATCCAGGACCTAGACAATGTGACAGGGCAGGTGTGACAGCAGTGCCAAATAAACTAAAAGCTAAATACAACCACACTCATTATGTAAATGCACCTTTCTTCCTTTCTTTCTTTCCTTCTTTCTCTTCTTTCTTTCCTTCCTTCTTTCCTTCTTTCCTTCCTTCCTTCCTTCCTTCTTTCTTTCTTTTTCTTTTTCTTTTTTTTTTTGAGACAAGGTCTTGCCCTGTTACTCAGGCTGGAGAGCAGTGGCTCACTACCATCTCAAACTCCTGGGTTCAAGTGATCCTTTTACCTCAGATTCTTGAGTAGCTCGGGCTACATGTATGTGCCACCATGCCTGGCTAATTTCAAATTTTTTTATAGAGACAGGGTCATACCATGTTGCCCAGTCTGGTCTCAAACTTCTAAGCCTCCTAAAGTGCTGAGATTATAGGCATGAACCACTGCATCCTACCCCCTCTTTCTTTATTTCTTTCATAACTATTACTATGGATCTGTGCATATTTTTAATTCAACGTGCTATAATTAAGTACCATCATCTTTTATTTCAAATTATCATAAATTTGGCTAGTGGAAGTCTCATCAATTTTCCTGCCAGTTGATTTTCAACTCATCCCTCAATTCCTATTTCATACCATTTTATCTGTGAAGCATTCCTTACTGAGAGTATTAAGTACTCCTTTCCCCTATTCTGCTATTGGGTGTTTCTTATATCTTCATTATCAAAATTAACATTTTTTCCATAATAATTATTGTACATTTGTCCCCATATTCATCTATAGGGACCCCAAAAGAAGAGATATAATTATATTTGGCATCCCCAATACTTAGTGTAGTGCCTGATGAATATGCATTACAACTGATTGAATGAATCATTGATTTCTCTTGTCCAGTTTATCATTCATCTTCAAGTTTGTGCCCCTCCTATCTTGCCTTGGTTCCATACCTCAGTTCTCACCAATTATTTATGCAATTAAAAGCATTTTTTTCGTGCCACAATTGATAGTAACCAATTTTAAAGAATAAATTAACATTCCTTTCCTACAGAAGTGAATTGCCTCACAGTTAAAGTTTAGGTGAATGGTTTCTGATGAACACTATCTGAAATGATTTCTAAGACTGGCATGATGCCATTGTCATCAGTGGCAAAGCGTTGATGTCTTCTTTTACCTCCACAAAACCACAAATGATGTTTCTTTTCCAGCAATTAATAATGAACTAGTTGGATATCACTATCAGGGCTTTTTCAAACTGAGTCAACAAAAAGAATAGCAACTAATAGTTGGAGCAGGCCATACTTTCCAGAGTGCCTTTAAATATCTCATTTTACTTTATATTCTCCAAAAAAATCCATGTTTTGAGCCCAGACTCATATATCCAGTTATCCATAACCTATTCCTATTTAGATGGCTCCCAACAGATGCCTTAAACTTAGTATGCCCAAAACTTATCGGTTCCCCTAGCTCAGTGAATGCCTGTATCCTTCACCAACTTGCCCAAGCCAGAGTCCTGAGGACCATCACTCACACCTTTATTTATTTACTGAGCTCTTCCCCCAGATATTTAATCAACAAATATTTTACATTCTGACTTCCTAATATCTTAAATAACCCATCTCCATGCCACCTTGCACTTCAAACTCAGTATGTTCACGCTGAACTCACCTTTTTACCCCTAAAACCTGCTCCATTCTTTCAGTGAATGGAACTACACCCATGCAGTTGTCACAGCTAGAAACCTATAAGTCAACCTGGATCCCTCATGCTCTATACAAATCAGACATGCATGTTTGTTTCTTTTTTTTATGTATTTTATTTTTTTATTTGTGCAAGTTTATGGGGTACATGAGAAAATACGTTACATGAGAAAATACGTTACACTACTAACAGTAGTGATCAAGTTTAGGAAATTCAGGGTATCCATCACTCAAGTACAATAGATTTTATAGTTTTGTTAACTATAGGCATCCTACTCTGCTATCAGACATTGAATTTATTCCTTTTGTCTTACTATATGTTTGTACCCTTTAACCTGCTTCTCTTCATCCTTTCTCCTTCCCCTGCTCACCCTTCCCAGTCTCTGTTATCTATTTTTTCACTCTCTGCCTCCATGTGTTGAAATTTTTTAGCTCCCACATATAAGTGAGAACATGTGATATTTACCTTTTTTGCCTGGCTTATATTCTTTTAATATTTTTATAGTTTTGGGTCTTACATTTAAGTCTTTAGTCTATTTCGAGTTGATTTCTGTATATGGTAAGATATAGGGGTCCAGTTTTATTCTTCTGAATGTGGCTATCCAGTTTTCCCAGCACCATTTATTGAAGTGAGTGTCCTTTCCCCAATGTAAGTTTGTGTTGGCTTTATCAAAGATTAATTGGCTGTACATATGTGGCTTTATATCTTGGTTCTCTGTTCTGTTCCATTGGTCTAAGTGTCCATTTTTATATCAGTGCCATGCTGATTTGGTTTCTACAGCGTTGTGATATCAGGTAATTTTAAAGTCAGGTAATATGATGCCTCTAGCTTTGTTCTTTTTGCTCAGGATTCCTTTGGCTATTCAGGCTCTTTTTTGTCTCTTCTTTACAAATCCTATTGCTATTTCTTTGTTGACTCCTCATCCTGTCTTACCCACACTATTTTAATCATCTTTTACCTGGTCTTTGGGGCTCAAGCTGCTTCTTTGTATTGCTGTAGAATAATCTATCACATGTGTCTGGCAGTGCACTCCCCACTTTAAACCACTCTCAAAAGTAGCACAGAATTATGATTCACAATACAGATAAAATTAATTGATTATGTGAGAGCTCTGGTTAGTCAATGAATGAATGAAAGCTAATGAATTAGCTTTGGGGAGAAAGATGTGAATAATGACCGTTAGGAGGCAAGAGAAGTGCTACCAATATGTACTATTCATTTAGCTGGGTAGAGTTTACACAAATGTCATACCTGTGTAAAAAATTCATTGATCTGTACAAGTATGATGCGGGAACTTTTCTGTATATATGTTTTTCTTTCACTAAAAAGTTAATTAAATTTAAAAAAATACTTGATTAGCTAGTTATTCTTCACATCAGGATTGAGCAGCAGCTGCAGTTTTTTCTAAGCATCTTTATCATGGTGACTTTTGTTTTTAATTACGTTCAGAACCAAAAGTGTCACAGTCTCAACAGTTAATCGTCAACTACTAGCAGAATGTCACATACTTACTCTTATTTATTATTGATAGTTGGGATATATTGATTTGTTTCATGTCATTGTGATAATGCACCAACTCACTGTGAAACGTTTTCTCTTCCAATGGGCAACGGTTCATCCATTCTGGGGATGATTACTGTCAGCTCTCTTTTGTCACCACACTTGTTTAATGCCTATGTGAGGCAGTTTAGTGACACAGAGAAACATTTTGGTGTCACTAGCATCAATATGCTGATGCAGGAACATCAATATGCTGATACAGGCTCAACTCTATGCCAGCTGGTATTACTGTTCAACTCTTCCAGCCTGGATGAATTAGAGATAAAAATGAAAGCCAAATGCTTAAATATGAATCCAGACAAAACAGCCGAGAAACTGGTAGGAAAGAGACACCTTCAGAATCAATGGCAGAAATTATTCTGACATTTTGAATTATAGGAACTTGGAACATAAATTTTAGATGAAGATATGGTTTATAATTATCAGTAGGATTTAATAAAAAAAAAAACCACACCAATGTGTTCCCACCAGTTTGGAAAATTTATGAATAGAAAACTCTGCTACATGGACACTAAAGTTATAACAATATGAACCTTAAAGATAATCTTATAAAACACCTGTTAATTAATAGTTTCATCAAATGCTTATTATATAATGCATATATAATTATAATTATATGATAATATATAATTAATTATATATTTGCACTTTTTTTTTTGAGACAGCGTCTCACTCTCTCGCCCAGGCTGAAGTTCAGTGTTGCAATCATGGCTCACTCAAGCCTTGACCTCATAAGCTCAGTGAGGTCATAAACCCCATTCTCCCACCTCAGCCTTACACGTTGCTGCAACTACAGGTGCTTGCAACCACACCAAACTAATTATTACTATTATTATTACTATGTGTAGAGATGGGGTCTCACTATGTTGCCCAGGCTGTCTTGAACTCCTGGGCTCAAGCAATCCTCTCACCTTGGCCTCCCAAAGTGCTCCCAGACAGCCACCACGCCCGGCCTATATTTGCAGTTTTGAGTGCCTTTCATACACTTGGCATGTACAAGGCATTTTATACATATTTATTTAATATAGTTTTGCATATACTTCCTGTGATGCATTTACAAGGAATTAAAAAAACAGTGAGAAGTTCATCTCAATCAGTGCAATTGTTCATAGTTTTTATCCTCTCTTTGTTGATTTTTAGTGTCTATGAAGTGCCCACATTTGCAGTTTAATCTTTATTAGATTCACATATTAATATGATGCACTAAAATGCGTAAGTCCTGAACCCAGCTCCCCAGTAGTCAAATTTCAGGACATTTTGTTCTCTACCCAGTCATATGTAGCCTCTGATTCCTATTTGCCTTTTTCGTAGCTTCCTCCGGGATGTTTCTGAGAAGTGCGTCCATATGCAGCCCACCTCTCCTTAGAAGGTTCAGTCCCAGATGTTCTGGATGCCAAATGATAGAAAATAAAAAAATATCTGAGGTGTGAGACCAAAAGGCTAGTGTAAATGGGTGATGCTCCAGCTTGGGAGGAGGAAGCCAGGCTGCTGAGCTAAAGGTGTTGATGTGAGGAAAGAAGTTTGAACTACAAGTAAAAGAGTGTAGAAGACAAGCACAGATAAAACAGGATTCTGTTGTTAAGCAGAGTAACCTGTGCTGTCTTAGGTCATGCTCCAGGTACCTCTTTCTTCCAGTGTAGCTGCAAGTGGGAGTACTGAATGACCTTCGAACAGAACACACAGCTCTTTCAAATAGTACTCTGGCAACTCCAGTTTAGGTTCTGAAATACATTCACACTAAATTAAAAATAAATGATATCAGATGACTCATAGAAAGGAAATGAGAAGAAAAAAGAGAATAAAGAACTATACTGAGTCTAAAGTGGAATGGAGACAGAAATGAAAATGAATAAAAAGGTTTACCAAGTCTGCTAACATTGTAAAACTTGGTTGCACTTTCTCTCCATTTCTCTGCCTATACCTCAATATCTCCATCTGACATAACACATAAAACAAAAAAATAAATTCTCCATCTGATGTGGTGCCTCCATGCTTCTTTCTCTCTTTTCCAGAATCTTCCCTTCTTAATTCTAGAGCTGAAATATGCGCTCAGAAGGAGATGAATAAGTAAATGGGAAGAATGAATTTCTCTGGTCTTTCTTCAGCTAGGCAAGAATAATCAAATTTTGACTTTTGAAATGAAACAAGTTATTATTTGATTATATTAAGATCAGTTGCTAGGTCAAGAGGATTTTTAAACCAAAATTACACAAATGACGTAAATTTTCTTGGCTCATGATACTTGATACAACTAATTTTAGACAAAGTGATTTTTAGCACTTCCAGCTGCAAATATAACAGATTCGAGACAATAATTCAACCCTAAATTTTTATATTTTGTTACATTTGAATTATAGTATTTTTGAAATAAAGGCACTTTTATTGCAATTTGACTTTCAAATGATTAGCATTTGCTTTCTTCAACCGATGAAAGCCATATTATTGTACTTACATTAGGCTAGAAGATACTTCCTAACAGTAGACAATCTGTTTCCTAATATTGTTCTACAAATTGTCCTCTGACTTCTAGAATTTCACTATTCCTGGTTTCCAGGCCAACCCATTGCCTCAAAATGAGATGTGGAAAGTAGAAAGAATACATGGGTTTAGCAAACACAGCCAGGAGTCTATATAACACACTTCACTCTCCAATTCCATAGTAACAGAACTCTAATTTTCTTGAGGAAGAAAGTATGCCCAGCTATAAAATTACATTTCTCAGCCTCTCATTGTGCAAAGAATGACCACAGGGCAGAGAACTGGTTGATAACTGATTAATACGCCATCAGGGGCAGTTATTTGATAGGGCTTCTGGGAAAGTTTACTAAATATAACCAATTCAATTGACATCCAGGTTTTGCCTTTTGCCCTTGCTCTTTCACCTTCCACTTGCCAGGAATATGTAAATGATACCTGGAGACACAGAAGCCATCTGTGATGATGAATTAAAATCCACACATCAAAATGGCAGATAGACGCAAAAGATTGGACACCGTTAGCTGCCATAGAAGCTCTAGACTGCTTATTTCCAGGTTTATGAGAAAGAAAATGGAGTCTCTTACTAGTTTAAGCTACTCTTTTGGAGGTACTGATACTGTTGGCCCAAGTCAATCTTTTAAGCAATATATTCAGTGAAACATGGACAGAAAACAAAGGAAATTGTCTTGCATTTATATAATTATGGAAATTATTATCTTGAGCAGCTCAGAAATTGGCTCTGAAATGAGTTCCAAAACTTGTGTTTCAAAAATACTTTGACCAATTAGGAAAATGCAAATCAAAACCACATGAGATGTCACCTCATCCCCATTAGGATAGCTGCTATTAAACACACACACACACACACACACACACACACACACACACACAGAGAAAATAAGTGTTGGGGAGGATATGAAAAAATTGGAACACTTGTGCCCTGTTGGTAGGAATGTAAACTGCAGAAAACAGTATGGTGGCTCCTCAAAAAATTAAAAATAGAATTACCATGTGATCCAGTAATTCTACTTCTGGGTAGATTATCCAAAATAATTGAAAGTGAGATCCCCAGGAGGTATTTATACACCTATGTTCATAGCAACATTATTTACAATAGCTAAAATGTGGAAGCAACCCAAGTGTCCATGGACGGATGAATGGATAAGCAATATGTTGTATATACAGAGAGTGGAATATTATTCAGCCTTAAAAGGGAAGGAAATTCTCACACATGGTACAAACACAGATAAACCTTAAGGACATAATGCCAAGTGAAATAAGATGGCCACAAAAGGACAAATACTGTATGATTCTCCTTGTATGAGTATCTAGAGTAGTCAAATTCATAAAAATTGAAAGTAGAATGGTAGTTGCCAGGGGCTGGAGAGAGAATAGAGCATTTTTGTTTAGTGGGTGCAGAGTTTCAGTTTTGCAAAATGAAAAAGTTCTGGAGACTGGTTGCACAACAATGTGAATATACTTCACACTATTGAGCTGTACACTTAAAAATGGTTAAAATGGTAAATTTTATGTGTATTTTACCACCATTAAAAATACTTCGATTTAACCATATAAGTATAGATGGTTGTTGTTAAATAGCAAATCTCAAGTTCTTACATCATCCAAAATGATTAATTTAAAAATTATATATTTCACATCCTTTATTTGCTATTTGAAAGCCACTGTAGTAAAAAGCTCCACTAAAAAAATTCATCAAACATACTGGGATTAGACATTTGTGAGGCATTTATTATCTATCTTAAATAAAATATGTAAACCTGTAAATATCAAACTTGCAGACCCTTAAATTTTAAAAAAAGCTATAAAGAGTTAAGCTTAAAACTAAACATAAAAAACCTAAACCATACTCGTTTGATTATGATTTTGGTATAATCTTGTCTAGGGAATAGTGATGTAACAAATTACATAAGTCTCTAAATTTTTCCCAACTGGAATGAGTAGAAAACTTTTGTGTATTTAAGATATTTAAATAATATCCAGGCACGGTGGCTCATGTCTGTAATCCCGACGCTTTGAAAGGCAGGGGTGCACAGATCGTTTGAGCCCAGGTGTTCAAGACCAACCTGAGCAACATGGTGAAACTCCACATCTACAGAAAATACAAAAAATTAGCCAGGCATGGCGGCATGTGCCTGTGGTCCCAGCTACTCAAGAGAACCACTGCACTCCAACCTGGGCGACAGAGACTCTATATCAAAAAAAAAAAAACAAAAAAACAAAAAAACAAAAAAAACAACTCCACCCTGGGTGACAGAGAGAGAATCTATATCAAAAAAGAAAAAAAGGAAAAGAAAAAGAAAAAGATCTTTAATTTAATTTATTTATTTTTGAGATGGAGTCCCATCTGTTGCCCAGGCTGGAGTGCAGTGGTGCAATCTCGGCTCACTGCGACCTCTGCATCCTGGGCTCAAGTGATTCTCCTGCCTCAGCCTCCTGAGTAGCTGAGACTACAGGCACCTGTCATCACACCCCGCTAATTTTCGTGTTTTTAGTAGAGATGAGGTTTCACAATGTTGGCCAGGCTGGTCTCAAACTCCTGACCACACGCGATCCACCTGCCTCGGCCTCCCAAAGTGCTGGGATTACAAGCATGAGCCACCACGCCAGGACAAAAGATCTTTTAATAATAAAACGAGAATAGGAGAATAGGGTCTTTCTTATAAGGGAAATCTGGAAAACCTACAGAATAATACTTTTAAAAGTGAGTTCACCCACTGGATTTTATGTAGGCTTAGAAAATTAAAATTTTATTATATAATGCAATAATTTGGCAGTAACTTTGTACTCATGTCATGCCATTATTATCATTAAATACATATCATTAAATTCAAGATGATTTATTCTGTTAAACACAAGATTCTTATTATAAAGCACTCATTAATCACTTCTTCCACATATGATAGAAACTGCTACCTTCATCAATTTTATTCCTTTTATCCTGCAGTGAATAACTTTTGTATTGTATTTTGCTAAAAAGACTTAGGTAGAGTTAGGTCCGTAGTTCAAAGCCAATCTGTGCCAAAGGGTTATTGATAGTGGATTTTAAAATACTTTGCTACTCCACTGACTGGAGTGGACTTTGCTAATTTACTCAATTTTTGCATTTTAGTATTTTTTTATCTGCACATAGGAATCACATATAGAAGGAATCTTAAATATCACATTGTCTTATCCTTTTGCTCTGTAGATGGGGAAACAAGCTTGGGGATCATCATTCTGAGGAATGTTTCAAATTAAAATTTCTAGGAGAACACCATGTAAGATAAAATGTATAACAAATATATTCATAGATGGCCTAGATTAGATTAATTTTATTCTCTTTAAAAGAGAAATGAGCATTCTCACTATTCTGAACTCACATATAGTGAAATTTTTACTAATATACATTTTATTAGTGTCCTTTAATAGTCTATTTAATGTGCCTTTTATATGGCCAATTATTTCTTAAAGATTTGCAGTCCATTGGATATGCTGACATGTAAGACATTCACTGTCAATATTTTATTTCCTTAATCCCACAATCTCAATAAAAATTTCGGTCTAAATATGAGTGGAAATGGGGAGTTAATTAAAGCAAATAATTGTGAAAGATTCGTAATGTATTTTTCTCGTATACACTATGGATAGAAATGAAGTGCATTTGCCTTAGCTTTCTACATTCTTTCCATAAAGCAAGGGTTCTTCAATCTTCATGGAGTCCCCAAATAACATGTGAATGTGAAGTATTGTGCTAGGTACTGCACGGGATGCCAAAGATGAACAAGGCATGAGTTCTGGGGGAATATACTATCTCTCACAGGAGAAATAAGTAAGTAGCGTACTCAAGTATTAAAGTGAGAACTTAAGTGCTATATGGCAGTTACAATAAAGAGGAAATTTAAAGTAAGGATAGATCATACCAAGTAGGATAAATCAGGAAATGAAGGCTAAACTTTGGAAGTGAGAAATTATTCTGGAAATTCGTGGAACTGCTTAGCGGAATAGGGTTTTCTAAGGAAGGGTACTGACTAAGCAAATGAAACGAAAAAAGGGAATGACTATGTTTCCGCAACTTCAAGAGATCCAGCTTCCCTGCAGGGCAAAGGAGTAACAGGAGAGAAAAAAAGCAATGAATCCGTGCATCCGCTAAACTCTTTTACCATATATTTTACTCTGACAAAACAACTATCACGTATTGGCCTTTTGTTTGTTTGTTTTTTTGAGACACGGTCTCCCTCTTTCGCCCAGGTTGGAGGGCAGTGGCGCAATCACCGTTTTCTGCAGCCTCTACCTCCTCGGCTTAAGCTACCTTCCCGCCTCGACCTTCCAAAGTGCTGGGACTACAGGCGTGAGCCACCATGCTCAGGCTTATTGGCACTTTTCTGTGCACTTTTAAATGTAATCCTCTAAATCACTCTTCTCCACCTTTCCTGTGCATAGGAATCACCTGTGGTTCCCGTTAAATTGGAGATCTTGATTCATTAGGTCTGGGGCGGGGCCTGAGCTTCTGCATTTCCATTGAGCTCACAGCTGAAGCCTACCCTGGACCACACCTTCCAATGGAAAAGGCTCCAGTGTGATTTCTAGCCACTAGTATTATCTGCGAACTTGGGAGAAATAAAATGCAAGTTCTCGGCCCCCGCAAGGGCTCTACTGAATCCGAAACACTGTGGGGAGGCCCACCACTCTGCAGTGTTTTAACAAGCAAGTGGTTAAAGTTTGAGAGCCACCCGTAAGTCACGGGTTTCCTAACATGATTGGACACTGGAATCACCTGCGGATTTTTTTTTTTTTTTTTTTTTTGAGACGGAGTCTCGCTCTGTTGCCCAGGCTGGAGTGCAGTGGCGGGATCTCGGCTCACTGCAAGCTCCGCCTCCTGGGTTCACGCCATTCTCCTGCCTCAGCCTCCCAAGTAGCTGGGACTACAGGCGCCCGCCACTACGCCCGGCTAATTTTTTGTATTTTTAGTAGAGACGGGGTTTCACCGTTTTAGCCAGGATGGTCTCGATCTCCTGACCTCGTGATCCGCCCGCCTCGGCCTCCCAAAGTGCTGGGATTACAGGCGTGAGCCACCGCGCCCGGCCTGCGGATTTTAACTAATACTACTGATGCCGCATCTCACCCCCCCTCCCGAGATTCTCAGGTACGGGGCGTGGCCTTGGCGGCGGCCTTATAAAAGCTCTCCCAGGTGATTCCAACCTGTAGTAACACTTGAGAACTGCGTGAGGTGGGGACTTCAACTTTAACTGGACTTATTTTCCTCCTATGTAAAAGGTGGACAATATGCAAGTGGTCCTGACTTTGCTTCCAGATTTTGGCAACTCCAGAGCCCTAGTTCGGTCTGGAGAGCCAGCTTCCCGCCCCGTGTCCTAAGGCCTCTGTCCGAGAACCCAAAGTCCTGGGAATGGACCCGCGGGAGCGGACCCGCGGGAGCATCTGTGACGCCGCTCAGCAACCCGGCGCCGCCCCGGCGGCTCCGACGTGGCCCAGTGTCCGGCTGGCGTGGGCTCTCCAGGCCGCACCCACTAAACCGCGCCGGAGCGGGACACGCATGCGCCGGTCTGGACCCGGCACCCAGTAACGGACTCGAGCTCCTCCCACCGGAAGTGGGCAGCCGCGCAGCGGGAAGAGCCGGCCGAAGCGTGGCGGCCACAGACTGTGGGTACCGGGTCCGAGGGACTCGCGCTTTTCTCTCCGTGCCATGGCGCCAGCGAAAGCCACGAACGTGGTGCGGCTGCTACTAGGCTCCACAGCGCTGTGGCTTTCGCAGCTCGGCTCCGGGACGGTCGCCGCGTCCAAGTCGGTGACTGCCCACTTGGCCGCGAAGTGGCCCGAGACCCCGCTGCTGCTGGAGGCAAGGTGGGTGCGGGCCGGGCCCTCGTCCGGGCGGGTGTGGGCGCGCTGCCACCCTCAGCCGCGCTTTCTTCGTGCTCGCAGCGGGTGTCTGGCTCCCACCCGGGTTCTCCAGACGCCCCCGCTCTGGCCCTGAGCATCACCACCTCCTTCCTTCCCGACCCGGGGCGGCTTCTCGGTTCCCGTGCAGCACTCACTTGCAGTTCCTTTCCCCCTCAGTCTTACTTTACCTACGATTTTTAAAGCTTCCCTGCCCTGCTTTAATACGTTGGGATGTATTAGCATTTACGCGTGGCACTTAACGCAAGAGCTTCTACTGGGGTAGGCAGTTCTGTTCAGACAGTGCTTAAAGTACCTAGTTTCGTAATGATGACATCATACCATCAGCTCCTAGGCTTACTATGGGGAGGGCAGCTTCCTGCAAGGTAATATTTTTCCTGTATCTCTTCCAACGGAATTAGTTCATGACCTGTCATTTACTCTGCAGAACAAAACTTGTAGCTATTGCATTTTGCCCTTTAGTATTCTAGTTGAGTAAAATTAGAAAGTTCTTTCTCTTAGCAAAAATGAAGTTTTACACCAATGACTTAATGGCTGTTCACCACAGCAACAGTGTGTGTCCCTAAAAAGAGACTCCATGACTCCACATAAGTTCATGTATTTGATGCTAAAAGTTCTTTTTTTTTTTCATTTCTATAGTTTATTGGGGAACAGGTGGTGTTTGGTTACATGAGTAAGTTCTTTAGTGGTGATTTCTGAGATTTTGGTACACCCATCACCCCATCAGTATATACACTGCACCCAATTTGTAGTCTTTTATCCCTCACTCCCTTCTCAACCTTTCCCCCGAGTCCCCGAAGTCCATTGTGTCAATCTTATGCCTTTGCATCCTCATAGCTTAGTTCCCACATATCAGTGAGAACATACTATATTTGGTTTTCCATTTCTGACTTACTTCACTTAGAATAATAGTCTCTAATCTCATCCAGGTTGCTGTGAATGCCATTAATTGATTCCTTTTTATGGCTGAGTAGTGTTCCATCATATATATGCCACAGTTTATCCACTCGTTGATTGATGGGTATTTGGATTGGTTCCACATTTTTGCACTTGTGAATTGTGCTGCTATAAACATACTTGTGCAACTATCTTTTTCATGACTTCTTTTCCTCTGGGTAGATACCTAGTAGTGGGATTGCTGGATCAAATGGTAGATCTACTCTTAGTACTTTGAGGACTCCCCACACTGTTTTCCATAGTGGTTATACTAGTTTACATTCCCACCAGCAGTGTAGAAGTGTTCCCTGTTCGCTGCATCCACGCCAACATCTATTATTTATTTTTATTTTTTTATTATGGCCATTCTTGCAGGAGTAAGGTGGTATCGCATTGTGGTTTTGATTTGTGTTTCCCTGATCATTAGTATGTTGAGCATTTTTTCATGTTAGCCATTTATATATCTTTTGAGAATTGTCTATTCATGTCCTTAGCCCACTTTTTGATGGGACTGTTTTTTTTTTCCTGCTGATTTGAGTTCCTTGTAGATTCTGGATATTAATCCTTTTTCAGATGTATAGATTGTGAAGATTTTCTCCCGTTTTGTGGGTTGTCTGTTTACTCTGCTGACTATTCCTTTTGCCGTGCAAAAGCTGTTTAGTTTAATTAAGTCCCAGCTATTTTTTTTATTATTATACTTTAAGTTCTAGGGTACATGTGCACAACGTGCAGGTACATAGATATACATGTGCCATGTTGGTGTGCTGCACCCATTAACTCATCATTTACATTAGGTGTATCTCCTAATGCTATCCCCCGCTCCCCCAACCCCACAACAGGCCCTGGTGTGTGATGTTCCCCATTGTGTGTCCAAGTATTCTCATTGTTCAGTTCCCACCTATGAGTGAGAACATGAGGTGTTTGGTTTTCTATCCTTGTGATAGTTTGCTGAGAATGATGGTTTCCAGCTGCATGCATGTCCCTACAAAGGACATGAACTCATCCTTTTTTATGGCTGCATAGTATTCCGTGGTGTATATGTGCCACATTTTCTTAATCCAGTCTATCATTGACGGACATTTGGGTTGGTTCCAAGTCTTTGCTATTGTGAATAGTGCCGCAATAAACATGTGTGTGCATGTGTCTTTATAGCAGCATGATTTATAATCCTTTGGGTATATACCCAGTAATGGGATGGCTGGGTCAAATGGTATTTCTAGTCCTACATCCTTGAGGAATCGCCACAATGTCTTCCACAATGGTTGAACTAGTTTACAGTCCCACCAACAGTGTAAAAGTGTCCCTATTTCTCCACATCCTCTCCAGCACCTGTTGTTTCCTGACTTTTTAATGATCGCCCTTCTAACTGGTGTGAGATGGTATCTCATTGTGGTTTTGATTTGCATTTCTCTGATGGCCAGTGATGATGAGAATTTTTTCATGTGTCTGTTGGTTGCATAAATGTCTTCTTTTGAGAAGTGTCTGTTCATATCCTTCACCCACTTTTTGATGGGGTCGTTTAATTTTTTTCTTGTAAATTTGTTTAAGTTCTTTGTAGATTCTGGATATTAGCCCTTGGTCAGATGGGTAGATTGCAAAAATTTTCTCCCATTCTGTAGGTTGCCTGTTCACTCTGATGGTAGTTTCTTTTGCTGTGCAGATGCTCTTTACTTTAATTAGATCCCATTTGTCAGTTTTGGCTTTTGTTGCCATTGCTTTTGGTGTTTTAGACATGAAGTCCTTGCCCATGCCTATGTCCTGAATGGTATTGCCTAGGTTTTCTTCTAGAGTTTTTATGGTTTTAGATCTAACATTTAAGTCTTTAGTCCATCTTGAATTAATTTTTGTATAAGGTGTAAGGAAGGGATCCAGTTTCAGCTTTCTACATATGGCTAGCCAGTTTTTCCAGCACCATTTATTAAATAGGGAATCCTTTCCCCATTTCTTGTTTTTGTCAGATTTGTCAAAGATCAGATGGTTGTAGATGTGTGGTATTATTTCTGAGGGCTCTGCTCTGTTCCATTGGTCTATATCTCTATTTTGGCACCAGTACCATGGTGTTTTGGTTACTGTAGCCTTATAGTATAGTTTGAAGTCAGGTAGCGTGATGCCTCCAGCTTTGTTCTTTTTGCTTAGGATTGTCTTGGCAATGCGAGCTCTCTTTTGTATCCATATGAACTTTAAAGTAGTTTTTTCCAATTTTGTGAAGAAAGTCATTGGTAGCTTGATGGGGATGGCATTGAATCTATAAATTACCTTGGGCAGTATGGCCGTTTTCACGATACTGATTCTTCCTATCCATGAGCATGGAATATTCTTCCATTTGTTTGTGTCCTCTTTTATTTTTTTGAGCAGTGGTTTGTAGTTCTCTTTGAAGAGGTCCTTCACATCCCTTGTAAGTTGGATTCCTAGGTATTTTATTCTCTTTGAAGCAATTGTGAATGGGAGTTCACTCATGATTTGGCCCTCTGTTTGTCTGTTATTGGCATAGAGCAATGCTTGTGATTTTTGTACATTGATTTTGTATCCTGAGACTTTGCTGAAGTTGCTTATCAGCTTAAGGAGATTTTGGGCTGAGATGATGGGGTTTTCTAAATATACAATCATATCATCTGCCAACAGGGACAATTTGACTTCCTCTTTTCCTAATTGAATACCCTTTATTTCTTTCTCCTGCCTGATTGCCCTGGCCAGAACTTCCAACACTGTGTTGAATAGGAGTGGTGAGAGAGGGCATCCTTGTCTTGTGCCAGTTTTCAAAGGGAATGCTTCCAGATTTTGCCCATTCAGTATGATATTGGCTGCAGATTTGTCATAAATAGCTCTTATTATTTTGAGATATGTCCCATCAATACCTAATTTGAGAGTTTTTAGCATGAAGGGCTGTTGAATTTTGTCAAAGGCCTTTTCTGCATCTATTAAGATAATCATGTGGTTTTTGTCTTTGGTTCTGTTTATATGATGAATTATGTTTATTGATTTGCATATGTTGAAACAGCCTTGCATCCCAGGGATGAAGCCCACTTGATCATGGTGGATAAGCTTTTTGAGATGCTGCTGGATTTGGTTTGCCAGTATTTTATTGAGGTTTTTGCATTGATGTTCATCAGGGATATTGGTCTAAAATTCTCTTTTTTTGTTGTGTCTCTGCCAGGCTTTGGTATCAGGATGATGCTGGCCTTATAAAATGAGTTAGGGAGGATTCCCTTTTTTTGTATCAATTGGAATAGTTTAAGAAAGAATGGTACCAGCTCCTCTTTGTACCTTTGGTACAATTTGGCTGTGAATCTGTCTGGTCCTGGACTTTTTTTGTTTGGTAGGCTATTATTGCCTCAATTTCAGAGCCTGTTATTGGTGTATTCAGGGATTCAACTTCTTCCTGGTTTAGTCTTGGGAGGGTGTATGTGTACAGGAATTTATCCATTTCTTCTAGATTTTCTAGTTTATTTGCGTAGAGGTGTTTATAGTATTCTCTGATGGTAGTTTGGATTTCTGTGGGATTGGTAGTGATATCCCCTTTATCATTTTTTATTGCATCTATTTGATTCTTCTCTTTTCTTCTTTATTAGTCTTGCTAGCGGTCTATCAATTTTGTTGATCTTTTCAAAAAACCAGCTCCTGAATTCATTGATATTTTTTTGAATGGTTTTCTTGTGTCTCTATCTCCTTCAGTTTTGCTCTGATCTTAGTTATTTCTTGCCTTCTGCTAGCTTTTGAATGTGGTTGCTCCTGCTTCTCTAGTTCTTTTAATTTGATGTTAGGGTGTCAATTTTAGATCTTTCCTGCTTTCTCTTGTGGACATTTAGTGCTATAAATTTCCCTCTACACACTGCTTTAAATGTGTCCCAGAGATTCTGGTATGTTGTGTCTTTGTTCTTATTGGTTTCAAAGAACAGCTTTATTTCTGCCTTCATTTTGTTATGTACCCAGTAGTCATTCAGGAGCAGGTTGTTCAGTTTTCATGTAGTTGAGTGGTTATGAGTGAATTTCTTAATCTTGAGTTCTAGTTTGATTGCTGTTGTCTGAGAGACAGTATGTTATAATTTCTCTTCTTTTACATTTGCTGAGGAGTCCTTTACTTGCAACTATGTGGTCAATTTTGGAATAAGTGCGGTGTGGTGCTGAGAAGAACGTATATTCTGTTGATTTGGGGTGGAGAGTTCTGTAGATGTCTATTAGGTCTGCTTGGTGCAGAGCTGAGTTCAATTCCTGGATATCCTTGTTAACTTTCTGTCTCGTTGATCTGTCTAATGTTGACAGTGGGGTGTTAAAGTCTCCCATTATTATTGTGTGGGAGTCTAAATCTCTTTCTAGGTCTCTAAGGACTTGCTTTATGAATCTAGTTGCTCCTGTATTGGGTGCATATGTATTTAGGATAGTTAGCTCTTCTTGTTGAATTAATCCCTTTACCATTATGTAATGGCCTTCTTTGTCTCTTCTGATCTTTGTTGGTTTAAAGTCTGTTTTATCAGAGACTAGGATTGCAACCCCTGCTTTTTTTTGTTTCCCATTTGCTTGGTAGATCTTCCTCCATCCCTTTATTTTGAGCCTATGTGTGTCTCTCTCACATAGCAAGGAGCTGCGTTCCTTTGGAGGAGAAGAGGCACTCTGATTTTTAGAATTTGCAGCTTTTCTGCTCTGGTTTCTCCCCATCTTTGTGGTTTTATCTACCTTTGGTCTTTGATGATGGTGACGTACAGATGGGATTTTGGTGTGGATGTCCTTTCTGTTTGTTAGTTTTACTTCTAACAGTCAGGACCCTCAGCTGCAGGTCTGTTGGAGTTTGCTGGAGGTCCACTCCAGACCCTGTTTGCCTGGGTATCTACAGCAGAGGCTGCAGAACAGCAAATATTGCAGAACGGCAAATGTTGCTGTCTTATTGTTCCTCTGGAAGCTTCGTCTCAGAGGGGCACCCGGCTGTATGAGGTGTCAGTCGGCCCCTACTGGGAAGTGCCTCCCCATTAGGCTACTTGGGGTTCAGGGATCCACTTGAGGAGGCAGTCTGTCTGTTCTCAGATCTCAAACTCCGTGCTGGGAGAAGCACCACTCTCTTCAAAGCTGTCAGACAGGGACATATAAGTGTGCAGAAGTTTCTGCTGCCTTTTGTTCAGTTATGCCCTGACCCCCAGAGGTGGAGTCTACAGAGGCAGGCAGGCCTCCTGGAGCTGTGGTGGGCTCCACCCAGTTCAAGCTTCCAGACTGCTTTGTTTACCTACTCAAACCTCAGCAATGGCGGGTGCCCCTCCCCCAGCCTCACTGCTGCCTTGCGGTTGGATCTCAGACTGCTGTGCTAGCAATGAGGGAGGCTCCGTGGACATGGGACTCTTCAAGCCATGCGCAGGATATAATCTCCTGGTGTGCCGTTTGCTAAGACCGTTGGAAAAGCGCAGTATTAGGGTAGGAGTGACCCGATTTTCCAGGTGCCATCTGTCACGGCTTCCCTTGGCTAGGAAAGGGAATTCCCCGACCTCTTGCACTTTCCGGGTGAGGCGATGCCTTGCCCCGCTTCGGCTCACACTCTGTGGGCTGCACCCACTGCCCTGTACCCACTGTCTGACAAGCCCCAATGAGATGAACCTGGTACCTCAGTTGGAAATGCGGAAATCACCTTTCTTCTGCATCGCTCATGCTAGGAGCTGTAGACTGGAGCTGTTCCTATTCAGCCATCTTGGAACCTCTCTCCTATTTATCTTTGTTTTTATTGCATTTGCTTTGGGGTTCTTGGTCATGAAATCCTTGCCTAAGCCAATGTCTAAAAGGGTTTTTCTGAGGTTATCTTCTAGAATTTTTATAGTTTCAGGTCTTAGATTTAAGTCCTTGATCCATCTTGAATTGATTTTTGTATAACGCGAGAGATAAGAATCCAGTTTCATTCTCCTACATGTGGCTTGCCAAGTATCCCAGCACCATTTTTTTGAATAGAGTGTCCTTTCCCCACTTTGTTTTTGTTTGCTTTCTCGAAGGTCAGTTGGCTGGAAGTATTTGGGTTTATTTCTGGATTCTCTATTACGTTCCATTGGTCTATGTGCCTGTTTTTACACCAGTACCATGCTGTTTTGGAGACTATGGTTTTATAGTATAGTTTAAAATCAGGTAATGTGATTCCTCCAGATTTATTCTTTTTGCTTAATCTTGCTTTGGCTGTGTGGGCTCTTTTTTGGTTCCATATGAATTTTAGGATTTTTTTTCTAGTTTTGTGAAGAATGATGGTGGTATTTTGATGGGAATTGCATTGAATTTGTAGATTGCTTTTGGCAGTATGGTCATTTTCACAGTATTGATTCTACCCATCCATGAGCGTGGGGTATGGTTCCATTTGTTTGTGTCGTCTATGATTTCTTTCAGCAGTGTTTTGTAGTTTTCCTTGTAGAGATCTTTCACCTCATTTGTTAGGTGTATTCCTAAGCATTTTATTTTTGTTGGAGCTGTTGTAAAAGGGGTTGAGTTCTTGATTAGATTCTCAGTTTGGTCGCTGTTGGTATATAAGAGAGCAACTGATTTGTGTACATTAATTTTGTATCTGGAAACTTTGCTGAATTCTTTTATCAGTTCTTGGAGCTTTTTGGAGGAGTCTTTGGGGTTTTCTAGGTATATAATCGTATCATCAGTTAACAGCGACAGTTTGACTTCCTCTTTACTGATTTGGATGCCCTTTATTTCTTTCTCTTGTCTGATTGTTCTGACTAGGACTTCCATTACTATGTTGAATAGAAGTGGTGAGAGTGGGCATGGTTGCCTTGTTCCAGTTCTCAGAGGGAATGCTTTAAACTTTTCCCCATTCAGTATTATGTTGGCTGTGGGTTTGTCATAGATGGCTTTTATTACATTGAGGTATGTCCCTTGTATGCCGATTTTGTTGAGAGTTTTAATCATAAAGGGGTGCTTGATTTTGTCAAATGCTTTTTCTGCGTCTATTGAGATGATCATGTAATATTTATTTTTAATTCTGTTTATCTGGTGTATCACATTTATTGACTTGCCTATATTAAACCATCCCTGTTATGAAACCCACTTCATAAT
Source organism: Homo sapiens (assembly GCF_000001405.40). Lineage (NCBI taxonomy): Eukaryota > Metazoa > Chordata > Mammalia > Primates > Hominidae > Homo > Homo sapiens. Next base: position 96,045,144 of record NC_000013.11, on the reverse strand, counting down.
GGTGGATTATCTTTTTGATACATTGTTGGATTCGGTTAGCTAGTATATTGTTAAGGATTTTTACATCTGTGTTCATCAGGGATATTGGTATGTAGTTTCCTTTTTTGGTTATGTTTTTTTCCTGGTTTTGGTATTCGGATGATACTGGCTTCATAGAATGATTTCAGGAGGATTCCCTCTTTCTGTCTCGTGGAATAGTGTCAATAGGATTCGTACGAATTCTTTGAATGTCTGGTAGAATTTGGCTGTGAATATGTCTGGTCCTGGACGTTTTTATGTTGACAATTTTTTATTACAATTTTAATCTCGCTGCTTACTATTGTTCTGTTCAGGGTATCTAATTCTTCCTGATTTAAGCTAGGAGGGTTGTATCTTTCCAGGAATTTATCCATCTCCTCTAGGTTTTCTACTTTATGCATATAAAGTTGTTCATGGTAGCCTTGAATGATCTTTTGTATTTCTGTGGTGTCAGTTGTAATAGCTCCCATTTCATTTCTAATTGAGCTTATTTGGATTTTCTCTTTTTTCTTCTTGTTTAATCTTGCTAATGGTCTATTTATGTTATCTTTTCAAAGAACTAGCTTTTTGTTTCATTTATCTTTTGTATTTTTTGTTTGTTTCAATTTCATTTAGTTCTGCTCTAATCTTGGTTATTTCACTTCTACTGGGATTGGGTTTGGTTTGTTCTGTTTCTTTAGTTCCTTGAGGTTAGACCTTAGATTGTCTGTGCACCTTCAGACTTTCTGATGTAGGCATTTAGGGCTATGAACTTTCCTCTTAGCAGAGCCTTTGCTGTATCCCAGAGGTTTTGATAGGTTGTGTCACTGTTGTTGTTCGGTTCAAAAACATTTTAAATTTCCATCTTGATTTCATTGTTGACTTATTCAGGAGAAGGTTATTTAATTTCCATGTATTTGCATGGTTTTGAAGGTTCCTTTTAGGGTTGATTTTCAGTTTTATTCCACTGTGGTCTGAGAGAGTGTTTGATATAATGTCAGTTTTCTTAAATTTATTGAGGTTTGATTTGTGGCCTATCAGTGGTCTACCTTGGAAAAAGTTTCATGCACTGATGATGAATAGAATGTATATTCTGTGGTTGTTGGGTAGAATGTTCTGTAAATATCTGTTAAGTCCATTTTTTCCAGGGTATAGTTTCAATCCATTGTTTCTTTGTTGACTTTCTGTCTTGATGACCTGTCTAGTGCTATCAGTGCAGTATTGAAGTCTCCAACTATTATTTTGTTACTGTGTATCTCATTTCTTAAGTCTAGTAGTAATTGTTTTATAAATTTGGGAACTCCATTATTGCATATATATTTCAGATTGTAATATTTCCGTGTTGGACAAGGCCTTTTATCATTATATAATGTCCCTCTTTGTCTTTTTTTAACTGTTGTTGCTTTAACATTTGTTTTATCTCATATAAGAATAGCTACTCTTGCTCGCTTTTGGTGTCCATTTGCATGGAATATCTTTTTCTACCCCTTTACCTTAAGTTTATGTGAGTCCTTAGGTGATAGGTAAGTCTCTTGAAGACAGCAGATGGTTGGTGAATTCTTATCCATTCTGCAGTTCTGTATCTTTTAAGTGGAGCATTTAGGCCCTTTACATTCAATGTTAGTATTGAGATGTGAGGTACCATTCTATTCATTGTGCTATTTGTTGCCTGTATACCTTGTTTTTTTAATTGTATTTTTGTTTTATAGGTCCTGCGAGATTTATGTTTTAAAGAGGTTCTGTTTTGATTTATTCCCATGATTTGTTTCAAGATTTAGAGCTCCTTTTAGCAGTTCTTGTGGTGCTGGATTGGTAGTGGCAAATTCTGTCAGCATTTTTTTGTCTGGAAAAGACTGTATCTTTCCTTCATTTATGAAGATTAGTTTTGCTAGATACGAAATTCTTGACTGATAATTGTTTTGTTTAAGAGGCAGAAGATAGGGCCCCAATCCCTTCTAGCTTGTAGGGTTTCTGCTGAGAAATCTGCTGTTAATCTGATAGGTTTTCCTTTATAGGTTAGTTACCTGGTGTTTTTGCCTCACAGCTCTTAAGATTCTTTCCTTCATCTTAACTTTGGATAACCTGATGACTATGTGCCTAGGCAATGATCTTTTTGTGTTGAATTTCCCAGGTGTTCTTTGAGCTTCTTGTATTTGGATGTCTAGGTCTCTAGAAAGGGTGGGGAAGTTTTCCTCAATTATTCCCCCAAATATGTTTTCCGAACTTTTAGATTTCTCTTCTTTCTCAGGAATACTGATTATTCTTAGGTTTGGTCATTTAACATAATCCCAGACTTCTTGGAGGCTTTGTTCATATTTTATTATCCTTTTTTCTTTGTCTTTGTTGTATTGGGTTAATTTTAAAACCGTGTCCTCAAGCTCTGAAGTTCTTTCTTCTGCTTATTTGATTCTATTGCTGAAACTCTATTTTACATTTCTATAAGTGCGTCCATTGTTTCCTGAAGTTTTGATTGTTTTTATTTATGCAATCTATTTCACTGAAGATTTCTCCCCTCCTTTCTTGTATCTTTTTTTTTTTATTTCCTTAAATGGGGCTTTGCCTTTCTCTGGTGCCTCCTTGATTAGCTTAATAACTGACCATCTGAATTCTTTTCAGGTAAATCAGGCATTTCATCTTAGTTTGGATCTATTGCTGGTGAGCGAGTGTGATTTTTTTGGGGGGTGTTAAAGAACCTTGTTTTGTCATAGTACTAGAGTTGGTTTTCTGGTTCCTTCTCATTTGGGTAGGCTCTGTCAGAGGGAAGGTCTAGGGCTGAAGGCTGTTGTTCAGATTCTTTTGTCCCATAGAGGTGTTCCCTTGATGTAGTACTCTCCTTCTTTTCCTACAGATGTGGCTTCCTGACAGCCAAGCTGTAGAGATTGTTCTGGATCTAGCCACCTAGTAGGTCTAACAGGCTCCAGGCTGGTACTAGGAATTGTCTGCACAGAGTCCTATGATCTGAACTGTCTATGGGTCTCTTAGCTGTGGATACCAGCACCTGCTCTGCTGGAGGTGGCAGGGGGGTGAAATGGACTCTCTGAGGGTCCTTACTTTTTGTTGTTTAATGCACTATTTTTGTGCTGGTTGGCATTCTGCAGGGAGGTGGCCTTTTCAATAGAGCATCAGCTGTGGTAGTATGGGGAGGATCAGGCAGTGGGTGGGCCCTGGAACTCCTAAGAGTATATGCCCTTTGTCTTCAGCTACCATGGTGAGTAGGGAAGGACCATCAGATAGGGGCATTTCTAGGGCATGTCTGGGCTCAGACTGTCCTTGGGTGGGTCTTGTTGCAACTGCTGTGGGGGATGGGGGTGGGATTCCTAGGTCAATGGAGTTATATTCCCAGGAGGATTATGGCTGCCTCTGCTTTGTCATGCAGGTTGTCAGGGAAGTGGGGGAAAGCCTACAGTCACAGGCCTCACCCAGCTCCCATGCAACCCAAAAGGCCAGTCTCACTCCCTCTGTGCCCCACCCAACAGCACTGAGTCTGTTTCCAGGCGGTGGGCGAGCAGGGCTGAGAACTTAGGTGGTGGGCGAGCAGGGCTGAGAACTTGCCCCAGGCTACCAGCCTCCCAGCTGCAAATGCAAATAGGGCTCTCATGCTTCCCCACCTGTGGAGTTTGCACACCAGATTCATGCCCTCTCCCAAGTTCTGGCCAGGAGATTTCTTGTTCCTTTGAAATTGTTACAAGGTTCAGCTGGAGGTTTCCTTCTCCCTGTGGCCTCTTCCCAGTACCTCTGGCAGCCCTACCCGAGGACCCCTGTGAGGCAAGGCAGAAATAGCTTCCTAGGGGACCCAGAGAGCCCACAGGGCTTTTCCTGCTGCTTCCTCTACCCTTGTATTTTGCTTGGCTCTCTAAATTGACTCAGCCCCAGGTAAGGTCAGAATCTTCTCCAGTGATATACACCTTCGGGTTCCCCAGTGAGAGTGTGTTTTCAGGGGCAGACAATCCCCCTTTCCCACTCTCACAGTTTGGGTACTCAGAGTATTTGGGGTATCTCCCAGGTCCTACAGGAGCAATTCATTTCCTTCAGAGGGTCTGTGGGTTCTCTTGGCTTTTCTAATTTATTCCTGCAGCAGTTCTGGAGCAAAGGTTCAGAATTCAAGACTCCACATGCTGCTCTGTCCATTTGAGTGGGAGGCTAAAACGGTTTTTATTTAATACCTGATTCTAGCTTAATTTTGATCCCCTTCCTTTATCCTTTCCCCAGTATTTAACTGTTTGCCTAGATCTGATCTCACACTTAGCTCCAAATCAGTCTAACTTTTTCCAGCCTTAGACTGCTTGTTACAGTATCTGGCTTTACATTTGCCTTGAGAGTCTTAGAGTTGGAACTGCTGTGTTATGCTCCTTAAGGTCCTTGACAGTCTAGCCGCAGTCTGATTTACAAACCCCATCACTTGTACAAATTGTCCCCAACTTATCATGGTTCAATTTAGGATTTTTTGACTTTACTATGGGTTTGCCAGGGTATTAAATGCATTTTTTACTTATAGTATTTGCAACTTAATACTTAATAAACCCAACTTAATGGGTTTATTGGGAGGTAACCCTAAGTCAAGGGGCATCTGTAGTAGGTTGAATGCTGGCCTCAAAAAGATATGTCCACATCCTAACTCCCAGAACCTGTGAATGTTACCTTATTTGGAAAAATGTCTGTGTTAATGTAAGTAAGGATCTTGAGATGAGATCATCTTGGATTATCTAGATGGGCCCCAAATCCAATGTCATTTTAAGAGACAGAAGCAGAGAAGACACAGGCAAAAAGGAGAAGGCCATGTGAAGTTAGAGATTGGAGTTAGGCAGCCTCAAGCCAAGGAACAGCTGAAGCCACCAGGATGGAACAGTCTCCCTTAGAGCCTTCAGAGGGAGCACAGCCCTGCCAACACCTTGATTTTGGACTTCTGGCCTCCAGAATTGTGAGAGAATAAGTTTCTGTTTTAAGTCACCAAATTTTTCATAATTTGTTAAACAGATCTAGGAAACTAATACAGATTTTGGACCAAAAAGTTGGGTGCTGCTGTAACAAATAGTTCAAAATGTAGAAGTAGCTGTGGAGTTGGACAGAGGCTAGAATAATTTTGAGAAGTTTGGTATTAAAAGCCTAGACTGCCTTGAGGAGACTTCAGAAATCTGGACATTAAGGGTGATTCTGCTGAGGGCTTAGAAGAGATTAAAGGGCATAGTTGAAAAAACTTCTGTCATCATAGAGAATACTTATATCATCCTGAAGAGAATTTCAGTAGAAATATGAACATTGAAGTCTGTTCTGGCCATGGCTTGGAAGGAAATGAGAGACATTATATTGGAATCTAGAAGAAAGGTAACCCTTGTTATGTAGTGATACAATACCGGCTGACTTGGTTTCTACAGTTTGTGGAAAACATCTTGAAACTGGTGAACTTGGATATGAGCTGAAAAGATTTCCAAGCAAAGTGTTAAAAGTGCTGCTTGGTTTCTCCTCGCTGCCTATATTAAAATGAGAGAAGAAAGAGATAAATTTAAAAAGGAACAGGTAAGGAAAAAGGAACCAACACTTGATGATTTTGGAGGTTCTCAGCCTATCCAGATTGTAAAGAGTGTTACAACTAGGAAACTCAGTGTTGGGAATGTGTGCTCTGGAGAGAAAGACAGAAACCTGGCAGGACAACCTTTTGCTGAACAGGTTAAGCATGTGATTCATGGGTCCCCTCAACCATCTCCCCAGAAGCTTGGTATAAAGAAGGTGGGGATATCCAGGAAGGATCTGGGGAGGATCCGTGTAATGATGTGGCTCTTGGTGAAATATACAATAGTCTTACAAAGTTTTGGGGAATGTATTAGAAACACTGTCAGCTTGGACCGAAAGAGACAAGACAAAATGAAAGAAGGCTGTTGGACTTCCAAAATTCTATAGGCAGGAAATGGACTATAGAGCTACTTGGCTGTAAACATTGTGCTGCCCTTTCAAGAAAGAAAGAATAACTCTGCAAGCAGAACCATGGCAGGCAGCACAGAGGGTGAAGCATCAGGCCACAGAGAGTTATTCTCAGGCTTTGAAACATAATGGAAATTTGCCCTGCTGGATTTTGAACTTGCCTGTGACCAGTGACCCCTTTATTCCTTCTATTTTTTTCCTTTGGGAATTAGAGTGTCCATCCTATGCCTGTCTCTCCATTGCATTTTGGAAACATAACTTGTTTTCTAGTTTCACAGGTGGACAGGGGAGAATTTTACCCCAGGATGGATCATACCCAGAGTCTCACCCATACATGATTTAGATGATAAAATTTGTAAATGAAGTTGACGATATTTACATGAGATTTTGGACTTAGAATTGATGCTGTAATTGGTTGAGTTTTTGGAGGTTGTTGGCAAAGGGAAATATATTTTATGTAGGGGAGGTGGATTTTGGGGGCTTTGGGGGCTAGAGGGTGGCTTGAATGATGCACCCAACAAAAAAAGGGCAGCTTTTAGAATCTTTTGCATTAACTCTGCTCAAACCTTGACTTCAGACTTTTGGCCTCCAGAACTATGAGAGAATAAATTTCTCTTGCTGAATAGGTTAGACCTGTGATTCATGAATCCACTCAACCATCTCAGCAGAAGCCCAGTACAAACATGGCGTTATCCAGGAAAGATGTGTAGAGGATCCTTGGGTAATGGTGTGGTAGCCCTAGGATAGTAATATATCATTCTTTTACAGTCTTCCTCATTGATACCTTACTTGTGGGCATACCATATTACTCTATCTTGCCTGATACTTTCCCATGACAAAATTAATAACTTTCTATTATTCTCTCATAGCATTTGGCCAGTATTTCTGTAATAATCCTTACTGTAAGGTATCATATATGCTAATCTCTGTTGTTAAAAGGTGAGCTTCAGAGACAAAACTGTTTTTTATTCATGTTTATTTTGCCAAGGCACAGTGCACAAAAGTTGGGTACTCAGTAATGCTAATTCAACAAAAGGTACTTTTTATAGGGAAAGGTATACTTTAAGCCACCATCAGAATTACCTCTACAATATACCTTACTTGTGGAAACTAGTTTGTCCTTGGAAAATCCAGAGAGGATGCTCAGTGTTACCTCATGTGCCTTATTGTTTTGTTGTGAACAAATCAAAATTGTAGGAGGTCCTTTATTATATAAACTAAAATCTTTCTCTCTATACCTTTTATCTACTGATCCTCTCTTTCAGAACCAAATCTGTTTCTGTGTGTGACACATTATGTGAGAATAGCAGGCCAAAAGCCTGTAGTTTCTTCAACCACTGCACTTCAAAAAATTTATTTTATATAGTTCGTTATTCTGCTTTCCTTCAATTTGTTTATGTTTCTCTTAAAATTGTAGGAAAAGCAAAGAGGTTGAGAAGAGTAAGTGTGGAAGTGGAAGAATTGAAGAGCATTGAATAGGTTGAAGGAGCTGGGCAGATAGGAACTTAAGGAAAATAATGTGGGAGCAAGTGAGGGAAATTTTTAAGAATAATGCTTTAAATCCAAAAATTGAGCTTCCCAACCAAAATCTATAAATGCATACACACACACACAGATATTTTTCAGTTCATCCTGGAAATTTGAGTGCATAACTTGAGTATAGTCTTATGTAGGAAACAAAGATGAATAAGGTATGTCCCCTGTATAAAGAAATTTATAGTATAATAAAATTTGCGGCCAAGCGCAGTGGCTCAGGCCTGTAGTCCCAGCACTTGGGGAGGCCGAGGCGGGCAGATCATGAGGTCAGGAATTTGAGACCAGCGTAGCCAACATGGTGAAACCCTGTCTCTACTAAAAATACAAAAAATAGCTGCGTGTGGTGGCACATGCCTATAATCCTAGCTACTCAGGAGGCTGAGGCAGGAGAATTGTTTGAACCAGGGAGGTGAAGGTTGCAGTGAGTCAAGATCGCACCACTGCACTCCAGCCTGGGCGACAGAGCAAGACTCTGGCTAGAGGTGGTTATAGGCTGAAGAGGCTAGCATTTTACAGTATGCATACCTTAATTTGTACATCTGAACTGCAGTTATTCTACTTGTGTTGATCTGACTGAAAATATTTTTGAAATTCCACTTATAATTACTGTCAAACTCTTTAGTGCGTATAAAAACACCCTTTGTAGAAATAACTGTTTTCTCTGGGTAGAATTTTTTGAAGAAATACACTTATTTTGAGCCATATATTTTGTAAGGCAAGTGAACAATTGCAAATGCCAGCTTGTTACCTTTAAAAAAACTTTGTCCAAAAGAGTGAACTGGGCATGGTGGCATGTGCCTGTAGTCCCAACTACTTAAGTGGCTGCAGTGGGAGGATCGCTTGAGACCTCCCAGGCTAAAGTAAGCCATGTTTGCACCACTGCACTCCAGCCTGTGTGACAAAGGGAGATGCTGTCTTAAACAAACAAACAAAAATGTTGTTCAAAGGTAATATCTTACCTTTTACCAGGTGCAGAACTGGTTTAGATGGTCTCAAGGATGTTTGCTCTTCAGTGATTAATAATGAGTTACCAGTAAATGGCCTCTGAGATTCCAGAAGAGTTCCAAAAGTGCTTAGAGCAGTGATGTATTGAGGGAATAACTTTTAAGTGAATACTTTTTTTTTTTTTACTTGAACTTTTAAGTTCCAGGGTACACATGCAGGATGTGCAGGTTTGTTACATAGGTAAATGTGTGCCATGGTGGTTTGCTGCACAGATCAAACTATCACCTAGGTATGAAGCCCAGCATCCATTAACTTTCTTCTTGGTGCTCTCCGTCCCCTTGCACCTTTCCAACAGAGTCCAGTGTGTGTCGTTACCCCCATGTGTCCATGTGTTCTCATCATTCAGCTCCCACTTGTAAGTGAAAACATGCGGTGTTTGGGTTTCTGTCTCTGCATTAGTTTGCTGAGGATAATGGCTTCCAGCTCCATCCATGTTTCTGCAAAAGACATGACCTTGTTCATTTTTATGGCTGCATAGTATTCTGTAGTGTATATATACCACATTTTCTTTATTCAGTCTATCATTGATGGGGATATAAGTTGATGCCATGTCTTCGCTATTGTAAATAGCGCTGCAGTGGACATATGTGTGCATGTATATTCATAATATGATTTATATTCCTTTGGGTATACACCCAGTAATGGGATTGCTGGGTCAAATGGTATTTCTGCCTCTAGATCTTTGAGGAATTGCCACACTGTCTTCTACAATGGTTGAACTAATTTACGTTCCCACCAACAGTGTAGAAGCATTTTTTTCTCCACAACCTTGCCAGCATCTATTGTTTCTTGACTTCTTAATAATCACCATTCTGACTGGTGTGAGATGGTATCTCATTGTGGTTTTGATTTGCAGTTCTCTAATGATCAGTGATGTGGAGCTTTTTTTCATGTTTGTTGGCCGCATGAATGTTTTATTTTGATAAGTGTCTATTCATGTCCTTTGCCCACTTTTTAATGGGGTCGTTTGTTTTTTTCTTGTAAATTTGTTGAAGTTCCTTATAGACTTTGCATGTTAGACCTTTGTCAGATGGATACATTGCAGAAATTTTCTCCCATTCTGTAGGTTGTGTGTTCACTCTGGTGATAGTTTTTGTTGTGCAGAAACTCTTTAGTTTAAATAGATCTCATTTGTCAATTTTTGCTTTTGTTGCAATTGCTCTTGGCATTTTTGTCATGAAATCATTGCTTGTGTCTATGTCCTGAATTGTATTGCTTAGATTTTCTTATAGGGTTTTTATAATTTTAGGTTTTACATTTAAGTCTCTAATTCATCTTGAGTTAATTTTTGTATAAGGTGTAAGGAAGGGGTCCAGTTTCAGTTTTCTGCATATGGCTAGCCAGTTCTCCCAGAACCATTTATTAAATAGGGAATCCTTTCATTGCTTGTTTCTGTCAGGTTTGTCAAATATCAGATGCTTGTAGGTGTGCAGTCTTATTTCTGAGTTCTCTATTCTGTTCCATTGATCTATGTGTATGTCCTTGTACCAGTAGCATGCTGTATTGGTTACTGTAACCTTGTAGTATAGTTTGAAGTTAGGTAGCATGATGCCTCCAGCTTTGTTCTTTTTGCTTCAGATTGTCTTGGCTATTTGGGCTCTTTTTCATATTTTCTAATTCTGTGAAGAATGTCAGTGGTAGTTTTGTCACAGGATAAGGATCCCGTGATAAGGGTTTTGGCTTTGCCAGCCGGAAACCTCTATGGCTGGTAGCACCTTTGCCCTAGTTTTGCTCGGGCCTGCTGTGCTCCTTTTGTCCACTCGGCCTGGCAGGCTATGCTCGGCTTGTGTTACTGGCCTGGATCCCACACCTGCCAAGGGGGAGCCAGGTGCAGGGCGGCGGTGAGTGTGTGAGCAAGCACAGGGTCCGGCCACTGCGCACAGCCAGGAGTGCCAGCTGCAGTGGGGTGGGCAGCTCCAGGTACTGGCACAGGCACCAGCTTTGTACAAGACTGTGGCTCGACCAGGCATACTGCAGGTGGCTTCCACTGCAGGCACTGTGGTGGAATGCAGTGGCACCTGGAAGCTTGGAGATACCAGGAACCACACAGCCCTAAAGAGAGTGAGTGTCACAGCTCTGGCTCAGGGAGCCTGTAGGTCTGGGCTCCCCAAAGGGCTGCAGCTCTTCTCTCCTTTTCATTGCCTGCAATGTGGTGAGTGGGGCACGTGTTTCAGCCCTGTTCATGTTACAGCTCTTTCAGTCCTGCCATTTGGTGAGTTCCAAGTTCTTGTTGCATGTTCAGGAAGAATGAGGCATGTAGACAACTGGAAGGTGAGCAAGGCAAAGAGGTGCTTTATTGAGAGACAGTACAGCTCTTAGGAGAACTGAAGTTGGTAGCTCCTTTCTGCTGGCAGATCGTCTTGATGAGCGCAGCTGTCACTAGAGAGGAGACATGGAGTGGGTAGCTCCTTTTCACAGGCAGGTCATTCTGTTGAGTCTGCAGCCCTCAGCTGAGAGGAGAAATGGAGTGGCCACCTTCCACCTGCAGTCAGGTCATCCCGATGTCTGGGAGAGGACACCTGGAATGGGTAGCTCCTATCCACAGGCAGGTCATCTCATTATCTGCCTGAGTTTGGCTGAGTCTGGGGTTTTTATGGGCTTCAGAGGGGGGTAAGTGTGTGCTGACTCGTCCATGGGAGGCCCTGGGTAGGCCGGGACAAAAACACCGTACGTTCTCACTGCAGTCCATGGAAGAGGTAGCCCAGCCCCCAGGCTTCAGGTTGTCCTTAGCTTGAAGGTGGGGCTTCACCGGGGACCCATCCCTTTTTGCCCATCTGCTCCCTGCCACCATTAACCTGCCATCTACCATGTCCATGGCACCCAGGCAGTTCGCGTCATGGGGCACCTTTCAGGCCTGTGCCAAGCTGCTCCCAGGCCCTCTTGGCCTCCCTTCCATGCCCATTGGTGCCCAAAGTCTGGAGGGGGCTGAGGTGGTAGGGGGCTGGCATGTCAGCACTACCCCAAACATGTACAACCAGCCGGGTTGTGGCAGCTTCTAGGCTCAGGTGCAACTTTGCTCCGAAATTGAAGCAGGGATTGGGAGCAGAGAAGAGGCCAGGAAGCAGGAGCAGGCACTTTCAAGTCTGTGTTGGGACAGGGGGCTTTGCAGGCCCCTGAGAGTGCAGGGATGCGTTGGTCCACAGCTGCAGCTGGGTGGTTGCAGCTGCACCCAGGGAGTGCAGGGCTCCCACCCCGCCAACTCAGTAGGAGGCATGGGCTCCTACCTGCCTTCAGCCCCCAAAAGCACAGGGATGTCCGGGTCCGGACAGCTGCACCTGGGGAGTGCGGGCCCTCCACCCTACCAACTCAGAAGTGGGTGGGGCTTCCACCTGTTCCTTGCTCCCACCAGCTCCGTGGAGTACACAACCCTGGCCATATCTCCCTTGCTACAGCTGGCGTTTTTGCAGCTGCCACTCTAGACAGGTCACTGCTGCCATCAGTTTACTAGGAATAGCATTGAATCTATAAATTACTTTGGGCAGTATGGCCATTTTCACAGAATTGATTCTTCCTATCCATGAGCATGGAATGTTTTTCCATTTGTGTCCTCTCTGATCTCCTTGAGCAGCGATTTGTAGTTCTCCTTGAAGAGGTCCTTCACTTCCCTTGTTAGCTGGAACACTTTCTTAAGGCGATCACTTTGAAGGATCAGACTTAGTTAGATGTACAGATTCTGGTAGTTGGAAGAAGTTTTTACCTGTGGTTGCACAGTATATGAGCATGTCTGTAGCTGTTTGGTCAAATCAGTTAAGCCTTGCCCAGTGTTGATTTGAAGTTACTTATTACTCTAAATTCCTATGCTTGTCGTGTTTATGTTGATGAATTAATCAGTCTTTCTGACTTCCTTTTTCCTTTTTAGTGGCCATGTCAGACTCACAAGAATTAGTTAATCTGTATGTGTTGTGGATGTTCTCAATACTTTCCATTTATTTTAAGCATTAGTTTAAGTTTACCAAGCCTAGAGAGAAAGGTAAGGTGGGCAATAACAAATAATCAGCACCATGTGTATGGTGGCTGTTTTGTTTCTAGCTTAAATATTTAACCCTATTTGTTTTAGCTCTCTAGTGTTTTGTTCTGTGCAGAACTAAATCTTTCATTTATTTCATTATTTCTGAAAGGCTTTAAATGGCTTTGGCCATTTTTTCTTAAATACCATGAAAATTTCATTGGGCTTTATGGCCAAAGACATAGTGCAGTACACTGATTTCCTGTTTTTAAAATTAAGATCTTTTCTGTTTTAAATAATAAAAAAGATTTTCTACACAAGTAAAGGCAATAGATAATATAACTTCTATAAAATATTTATAGAACCAGTTTTTGTTTATGAAACAGGTGGTCTTTTTTTTCTACTTTTTACCTTTATATAATGTTCTATCTTAATTATAATTTTTGTATTTCTCAGTGGCATTTCATATGGCAAGATAGAATAAACTATCAATTTTTTAGTTGTTGCTAATAACAAGGAAAAGCCAAAGGTAATTTCTCATGAAGCCTTTTCCTGACATGATTATATGTTTATAGTTGAGAATGATATCTCAGGTAAGAATAGTCAGTGTGTTTTTTTCCAGTGTTATAGTAAATGGAAATTAGTAATTTGACATTAATTTTTAGGGGTTTTTGTTTTTGCCATAGATATAATTTGGTTCTTGAGTACAGTTTATAGTATCTAAACCATTTTAAATTCCATCTACTAACCGATTACTTCTATTTTTTTAATAGTGAATTTATGGCAGAAGAAAGTAATGAAAAATTTTGGCAGTTTTTGGAAACTGTGCAAGAATTAGCAATTTATAAGCAAACAGGTAGGTGATATGTAAATTTTAACTTGTAAGATTTGTATTTATGTACACACATTGTAATGTTTATTATTTTTTAATGGTAATGGTTAAGTGTGAATGCTTCACTGGGTTAGTAAATCCGAACATTAAATTTGAAAATATGTTTTAATAGAAACCATTCTAAGCATCTGTTTCCAAAAATACAAGGTTTTAATACTTTATTATAAGATACCTCATATAATTAGTCATGTTTGGATATTGCATTCTCATCAAGAAGAAATCAAAATTGTTACCTGGGCATGGTGGTGTGCATCTGTAGTAGCAGCTACTTGGAAGGCCCAAGGCCAGAGGATTGACTGCTTGAGCCCAGGAGTCAGAGACTAGCCTGGGCAGTATAGCAAGACCCTGTTTCTAAAAAAGAAAAATAAAAAAATAAAATAAATTGGCCAGGTGTGGTGTTTCACACCTGTAATCCCAGCACTTTGTGAGACTGAGGTGGAGGATCACTTGAACCCAGGAGTTTGAGCTGTGTTTGTACCACTGCACTCCAGCCTGAGCGACAGAGAGAGGCCTTGTCTCCCCTGTCCCCCCCCAAAAAAATTAAGATAGTTTTCTTTTTACCTAGATTTCTTTGAAGTAATAATTTTGCATCTAGTAATAGTACATTTTTTTCTTTTTTAAAAGTAGACTTAATTTTTTTAGAGTAGTTCTAAGTTCATAGCAAAATTGGACAGAAAGTACAGAGATTTCCCATATTCCCCCTTCCCCTACACATAAATAGCCTCCCCTGTTATCAACATCCCTCACTAGTGTGGTACATATATATCTGTTGATGAACCTTCCTTGACAGATCCTTAATACGCAAGGTCCATAGTTTACATTAGGGTTCAATCTTGCTGTTATACGTTCTATGGGTTTGGACTAATGTATACTGACACGTATATTGCATTTTTATTGGCAGAATACTTTGACTCTTAAACCATTAAAGAAACTTTTAATACCTCAAAAAGTCAGGTAACTAATATGCTCTCATTTCACTATTTGTAAGATAGTAATTTCTGTTTTTATATGTATATGAGAGTATATACCTATATATACGTATATCTTCCTCAGAATTAAAAAGTGTTTATTAATGTGTTTATTATTTTCCTATCTCTGCAGAGACTAGAATAGATGACATGAGCATGGAATCCCTTAAGAGTAAAATCTTCAGCCATTTAGATATAGAGACATCTTCTTACTATTGGTGATTAAAATAGTTTATTATTTTGTTCCTGAGTGTAAATGTAAGATAAACTAAGTTTCAGATGTTTTAAATGCTCATTTACTGAAGCCTGTTTGGCTCAGGTAGCCTTGAAGTTCAGTGATTTTGTGATTTCACAAAGTAGATTTTAAAAATAAAGAGATCAGACATGCTTTTAATAACATTTTAAACTGAAATATTTCCAAAAGCAAATAATTTTTCCTTTCAAAATTTTTTCCTGAAAAAGCTTTTTAGTCATAAGAAATGCTGGAGGTACTTTAGATGATGGGAATACAAAGATGAATAAATGGGATCTACATCCACAGGACTTTGTGAAACAATGAAGGAGACAGCAAAACAGTGATGTACACTATTAGGCGATAAGAGCTTTAATTGGGTCATGCATAACATGAAAACACATAAAAGAGGCACCTAGTCAGTGTTCCAGAGAGAGCAAGACAGGATTTTCAGTGCTGAATGCTGGAGCTGAGTTTGAATGATGAGATTTAGCCAGGGAGTAGGGAACACAAATGAGTAGAAGAGACCGGAATGGAATGTGTGGAGGAACCTCGATCACTTAGTAATGTTTACTTTCAAATCATTAGGAAATTACTGTCTGTTGTCCTCATATTTGTCCTAGTAATTTTATTAATAGTTTTGGTGATTGAGGTAAAAGTAGGCTAGATTAATATGTAAGGTT
Source organism: Homo sapiens (assembly GCF_000001405.40). Lineage (NCBI taxonomy): Eukaryota > Metazoa > Chordata > Mammalia > Primates > Hominidae > Homo > Homo sapiens. The sequence goes on along the minus strand of NC_000013.11, from coordinate 96,029,969 downwards.
TTCATGGTTAATGTCAAGTATCCAAGATAGTTTAAAAAAACCTAACACCAAATTTCGTGTCTCTCACCTAAAATCCTCAATATATCTGTCCCATATATGTTGTTCTCAGTACATGCTTTTTGGCCTTATTCAGTGCTATTTTTTATTGGAGACGCAATCTTAAAAATTACTCCTGTAAATTTCAAATTCATTTTAAGTTACTTAAATATATCAGCATATTTTATACCTAAATGAAATGATATACCTGGACAATCTGGTGGCAGATCATTCACAAGCTGGAATATAAGCTCAGGAGTACCTAAACTCTACATCAAGCATATATGGAAGGAGGTATTTCAAGTGTTTTCAGGGTTGAACCTAAATTGTATTAAAGTAGGAATTACTAGCACAGCACAGTGGCTCATGCCTGTAATCCCAGCACTTTGGGAGGCTGAGGTGGGCAGATCACTTGAGGCCAGGAGTTCGAGACCAGCCTGGCCAACATTGTGAGACCCCGTCTCTACTGAAAATACACAAATTAGCTGGGCGTGGTGGTGCGGGCCTGTAATCCAGCTACTCGGGAGGCTGAGGCACAAGACTCACTTGAACACTGGAGGCATAGGCTGCAGTGAGCCGAGATCACACCACTGGACTGCAGTCTGGGCAACAGAGTGAGACTCTGACTCAAAAAAATAAATAAATAAATAACACTTAAAATATAATTCTATTGGCTTTATTTATAATGGCAGAGTCTAATGCATGTGGTGATATTATTGCTGACCTTGTTAAATGTGGAAAAGAATGGTACAAATGAGAAATAATGAGCAGAGATTTTTTTTTGAGACGGTGTCTCACTGTGTCGCCCAGGCTGGAGTTCAGTGGCATGATCTCGGCTAACTGCCAGCTCCGCCTCCTGGGTTCACACCATTCTCCCACCTAAGCCTCTGAAGTAGCTGGGGCTACAGGTGCCCACCACCACGCCCGGCTAATTTTTTGTATTTTTTTTTTTATTAGAGACGGGGTTTCACCGTGTTAGCCAGGATGGTCTCGATCTCGTGACCTCGTGATCCGCCCACCTCGGCCTCCCAAAGTTCTGGGATTTACAGGTGTGAGCCACCGTGCCCGGCCTAATGAGCAGATTTTACTGAATTTGTTTTCAAGACATCTTAGAGGAAACATTTAATAATCCTCTGTTACTTGTACTAATTTAGGTTGTTGAATCTCCATGAGACCTTCTAAATACTCTTTACTAAAGCATGTCTTAGTGATCCACCTGCCTAAAAAAATTGTAAATATTGAACATTTAACTTTTTGAATTCAAGTACTAGTTTTATACCATTTAATGCAATTACTTTATATTATATGCCAGCAAATTAAGACTTTTTAAGCAATGAATTGCCTGTTTAAAAAAATTTATATGGTTCTGCCAGACTTACATATTTATTGATGCTTCAAGATTCAAGTGGCATATTAGTTAACCTATGTAGTTTTGTGAGGTGAGAAATGTCACCCAAGATTTATCTGATTTCCAAATGCCTGTTTATTTTTACTTCTTCACATGCTGCTCAGCATATAAGAATGTCATTTTCAAAGTCCTTGAAGATTTTAGTGGTTTTTACACAAATTAAGTTGCTTTTGTATTTTATTAATGGAAGAAATTTTCAAAAAATGTTAAGGCTTTCTAACATAGTTACTTTTACCCAAGAACCAGATTTGGGGGAAGAAGGTAATTGGAATTTGGACGTGCCACATTTGAAATGCTTGTGAAATATCCAAATATAAATATATCGGTAAGCTGATATATGAGTGAGAGATCTAGATAAAATAAATTATAGGATAAAGGGTAGGATTTCAGAGTGATCAATATGAAAAACGGTAATTTAAGTTGTAGGGAGAAGGCACAGAATGAGAATAAAATAGTGCCCAGTGGCAGAACCCTGAGAACAGCAATGTTTAAGGGAATCTGATGAGAAGAACAGCACACAGTGGAGACTAAGGAAGAGTACCTGTAGTGGTAGCTGAAATCCTGTAAAAGTATTAGATCATGAAAGCCAGGAGAATATTAAGTTGTAAGTGATTGCTGTTATCAAATACTGTAGACAGATCAAGTAATATGAATATTATGCACCTACTACTTTTAAAAACAGAGAAATTATTAGTGCCTTTGGTGAGAACCATTTCACTGGTATAGTAATCAAGACTTTAGTAAGTTAAGATGTGAGTAAAGCTTTTCATATCTCTGTTATTTGGTTATCTAATTTCTGAGTTTCTTGTCAAATTGTCACAATCAGCAAATAACCCAGTCTCCAACCACCCCCAAAATGTCCCCTTCCAGTAGAGCTACGTGTCGTTAAGTCTTTTAAGACCTTTGACTATGAAGGGAATAAGATGAGTCAGTAGCTGTCTGTGGAGGCTGCCACTTATTTTTTTTAATAAGAGTGATTTTTGAATATTAGGTGCCAGTAGTCAAAAATTGAGTAAAAGCTGAGGTTGAAGATAAAGGCAGAAAATATTGAAGGGGCATTTTTAGCAGGTGGTTGGTGAGCATGGATTTAGTTATTTAACAAATCAGCCAAAATAGCCCAATGCATCCATTTCATAATAGAGATGATCTTGCTAGTTACATCTAAATTATAAAAGTTTACTTTCTATAAACTCCTGAATCCTACATTCATTACTACATAAGGGACAACCTTGATGGTGACCTTGATGAAATTTGGTATCTGTTGTCAGGCACTACTCACATTTCTTTTGACTTTTCTCTGCTTCCCTGGGTGACCAGTCCTTTGACTGATGTAGTCATATTTTAGATGTCATTACATTAATTTTTATTATTTTCTTGCTGACCTTGTAACTATAAGTATTTTAAGAATATTATTTAAAATAACATTTATTTTCTATTTTGCTTTTACTGTTGAACACGAATCTTATTTGCATTATTTTTTGATTCTTGGAGGAAAACTCACCATATCTCCCAAGTTCTGAGAAATCATCTATAGTTTGTTAAAGAATTAAGAGTGGGCTGGGCGCGGTGGCTCACGCCTGTAATCCCAGCACTTTGGGAGGCCGAGGCAGGTGGATCATGAGGTCAGGAGATCGAGACCATCCTGGCTAACAAGGTGAAACCCCGTCTCTACTAAAAATACAAAAAATTAGCCGGGCGCGGTGGAGGGCGCCTGTAGTCCCAGCTACTCGGGAGGCTGAGGCAGGAGAATGGCGTGAACCTGGGAAGCGGAGCTTGCAGTGAGCCGAGATTGCGCCACTGCAGTCCGCAGTCCGACCTGGGCGACAGAGCGAGACTCCGTCTCAAAAAAAAAAAAAAAAAAAAAAAGAAGAGTGAAAGAGGCAATGCTTATTCTCATATGTCAACTGTTTAAAGCAACTGGATTAGGAAAATATTGTTTAGAATGAAGAAACTTATTTATAATATTTATTAAATATTAAAGAAATTTATTGAATGTCTATTTTGTATGCCAGGAGTAGAAATGTACAGTTGAAAAACTATGATAGAAAAGATCCTTTCCTTCATGGTTTATAGCTTAATAAGAGGCACCAAATTAAACAATTATACCAATACTTTTTAATGACTTCTTTGTGAATTGATGTAGAGATGGTATAGAGCTCACAATCAGACTTTATGCTGCAATTTCTCCAATTATTTCTTGGTTATATAAAGTTTGCTCTCTGGTTGGTGCCTCATGAATAACTCTTGGAAAAATAGCCCTTGAGTTCTTCACATACTTAATTGTTCATGTGTGAATTCGAAACTTCTGATTTTTAACTTTAGAGCCCCAGAGTTGTTTTTTGTTTGTTTGTTTGTTTTTTAAACTAGAGAATGTTGCAATGCTGATCATTCTGTGTCTTTTTTGTTTTAGGTATGTAAGTTCATTATTTTTAATTCTGGAAAGTTTTCTTGGATTATAGTTTTCTTTAATTATTCTGTTCCATTCCCTTGATTTTCTGCCTTAGGGTCTACAAGTATACATATATTAATCTCCTTTGCCTGACCTCTGTGTTTGTCATTTACTCTCAAGTCATTTTTCCCTTCTCTCCTTTTTATTTGTTTCATTTTTATCACTTTTCCTCTGCATATTCTGTTTCTCCTACTGTTTTCCACAGTGTCTCTTTACTCTTGTGCTCCTTCTAATTTAATCTGTATTTTCTAGTATTATTTTCTTTCTAGTTCTTATTTGTATTCTTTCAGGAAACTTCTCATATCTCCCTCTTTTTTTGGTCATCTCATTTCTGAGCTTTTTGTCAAGAGCTGTGAAGGGGCTGGAATTTTTACCCTGCTTGCAAGCTAAAAACTTAGCTTGCCACAGTTTCAGGAATCAGATGGACAACATAAGACTCTTGGATCAGAGCTGAAAGACTTTATAACTGACTAGAGGAAATCTCCTGAGTGATTCATAGCTTCTTTATATCAGCCAGGACCTATTGAACTAAACTCTGAGACTTTTTATTGTCATCTTTGAAAGGATCTAATATTGGCAAGTTGGACTGTAGGAGGAATTTAGTCATAAGGTGCCACTAAGACATTGTTTGGGAGATATTTTTGAACTTATTTCCCTTGGCCTATAACCTTTTCTTCTTCTCTTCATTAATAGGCAGCAAAATTAAGATGACTCATTGCCTGATTGACTGTACAGTTTTGTCAGAATATCCACTATTACTTCTCAAGCACTCTCCTCAAATCCTATTAATTGGACCATGGGACTGGGTCTTTTATTCTCCAGAAATCCACGTATCTTGTCAGCATTCCATTTTGTTGTCAGATCTGTCAAGTACTGTGAAGGGTCTGAGATGTTACCCTATTTGCAAAGATAACAGATTAGTTTCATGGATGCTGACAGATGACCTGAAACCCCTGATTCAGAGACAGAAGAAGGCTTTATTACATATAACAAAAGCAATAACCACAATGTCCCATATTTGCACTGGTTGCCTGAGCCTCAGTTCCCACAGGACAACTTGGAGGGCCAGATAACACCTGTACCCTGAATGGGTTGTGGTAAAGAGAGGAACTGAGGGTCAAGGGCCCAGCACTTTCGGAGCAAATAGTAAACATTGTCACAATCAGCAAACAACCCAGTCTTCCAGCCAACCCCAAAATGTCTGCTTCCAGTCAGAACATCCTTTTCCTCCTCTCAGAAAGAGAGTATCTGGTGTTGCAGTCTGGTGTAACCACATTCTTCTTGTTATCCCTTTCACATCAGATATCCACAGGGAACTGCTCTTCATCTACCTCAACTCTGTTCTTTTGTATGAGAAATTTCCATCACTTGATAACCCAGTGCCAAGATGTAGAGGAGAATAAATTACCAGAGAATGTCTAGAGGCCAGCCTCTATGGATGCCTATACCAAATGGACTCCAGAGCTGCCCTGTTATTACCTTACCATCTCTGGCTGGCCCTGGAATGACATTACAGTTTTCTGACACAATGCAGTCAATGGTTACACCCAGGGAAGAGTAGAGAAAGGAAAAGGGCACAGACAGAAAGTTCTGCCCACCCCTGCTTATCCCCGTTAGTGCCACCAGGTCTTCTTCAGCTCTAGGCTGCACTTTTCTGCCTTCTCCCATTCAAGTGATCTCTGTCTCCCCAGGGGTGTTGGAGAATTTTTAATTAAATTCTAGGATCCCTCCTTCTCCTTTATGTCTTTGAGTTCTTTGAATAGGGTTTATAGTAGGCAACTCGCAGCTCAGGTTAGTTTGTTCAAGTTCCAGACAAGATGACATTTAGTTTTGAAGACCTGGTTCAAATTTTGTCTCCTAAAAGTATTCTGGATACACTAATTATACTTGGCTATTGGCACTAAATCTCAGTAGAATTTATTCATACAGGTACTTTAAAATTCATTAACAATCATATTATTTAACTTTTCTGCTGTTCTTAATTTCTACCTTGTAGGTAGGACTTATATCTTATCCTTGTAATATAACCCCACAACTTTGGAGTAAGTTGGTCTGAAATGTTGGTGTTTCCAAATAGATTTTAATGGCAAGATTATTTTCACCTGGTCTCATGTTGATTACTTGGACATTACTGGAAGATCCAAAATGAAGTTGATTATAGAACTGAGATCTTGATTTTTCCATTTTTCTCTAGCATTATCCATAACCAAACTTCAGATATGATTATATGACATTAAGTTAGCCTTACAGTGGAAGATGTGCCAATGTGCAGTGTATAAAATGCTAACATTTATTTTCTTTTGACTTCTTTTTATAGAATCAGATTATTCTTATTACAACTTAATCCTGAAGAAAGCTGGACAGTTTCTAGACAATTTACACATCAACCTTTTAAAGTTTGCTTTCTCTATAAGGGCATACTCCCCAGCTATTCAGATGTTTCAGCAGGTGCGTAAAAATACCCAATCTGTATTTGACAAAGAGGCACGCTAGCAATGTACATAGAGTTCTTTAATATGAACATCTTTAGTTCAAAATGATCTACAAGTTTATAGTTGGTTCCATAGCCTATCATTGATTATATTATTATTGTTGTCATTTATTATAATGTAATTGAATATATTCTGTAATTTTTATAGTTATTTGGGATAAGGAAATTATGAGGACAAATAATTGAAATGAAGTATCATAAAATTTTAATAGAATTTTTTCAATAACTATGAAGCATGTCTTTCCTAGGATAAAGTTGATTTTATTAAAATATTTCTTAGATTCTACCTACGTATAGATGTTTTTTTACTTTAATTAGAGCAATAACTTAATAGTAGTTGATGAGTTATTTTAATCAAAGTAATGTGTGAGGGTTTTAAAATCATATTGTAATTATCAACTGCTGTAGCTAAATATAATCTTTGAAATCTTAGATTGCAGCTGATGAGCCACCACCAGATGGTTGTAATGCATTTGTGGTTATTCATAAGAAGCACACCTGTAAAATTAATGAGATTAAAAAGCTGCTGAAGAAAGCTGCTTCAAGGTAAATTAATAATAGCCTATAATGAAAGAAGTGGTTATAGAGAGGAGAGTTCAATAGCAGAAACTTCTTATAATAAAAAAAATTTAATATTCTAAGACATTGTATATTCAAGAATGTGATTTGTATTGAAAACCGTAATATATCTGAGAATGTTTTGTCTTGATTAGCTTTTGATTTTAGCATATAAATTGTGCCAAAATAACATAAAATGTATGAAATGTTTCATATAAGCATAACTTGTTTTTTGAAATAAACATGCAAAACTGAGTTTATTTGGCCTATAGCTCTTTAAATATAAACTGAATATATACCTGGGGAATAACAAAGTAATCAAAACAATAGATGAGGTTGCTTCCTATATTCAAAACTATTTTTTTGCTTTTTTGCAAGTATTTAATTTAAAAAATGGCAAATCAGAAGTAAATTATTAATTTATTAGTGATTTTTTAGAGTAATACTACCAGTATATTTTTTTTGCCTGATTATTTATACTTTAAAAAATAATAAAGTAGTTTTTTTAATTTTGAAAGAGCTCTATTAAACAGTAATATATATTTATGCATATTAATACTTAACTCACTTGTTAACAAACCATTTCTAACATTTTCTTATACTTGTATTGAATTTCATATACAAAAGACTTTTATTTTTATGTAGCCAAATTTTCCTGTGTATGTGACTTTTATATTGTTTTTATACTAACAGTTTTTCCCGAACCTGATTGGGAGATTTTACTAATTCTTTCTGTAGCTTTCTAAAAGTTTTTCCTTTTATTTTACATTAAACTTTTAATCTATCTGTAATTTATTTTCATCAAAAGGTAAGAATCCAACCAGATTTTTTTCCTCAGGTACCTAGTCAATTGTATTCATTATATTTATATTATGGTCTATTTCATAGCTCTTTGTTCTGCTCCATTATCTATTTCTTATAGTAGTGCCATACTGTTTTAATATTTATTGCTTTATTATCCAGTTTCTGACAGGAGGATTTCTTCTTCATTGTGGCTCTTTTTTCCTCCAGAATGCCTTAGCTCCTTGTATTTGTTGATGCTTTTAAGTCAACATTGGAATCCTTTTCCTCCCCAAGCTCCCCTTCCCCAAAAGCCTTGTTAGGGTTTAATTAGAATTATGTTAAAAGTATTGGTTAATTTAGGAAAAATTTACATCTGTGTTGTATTGAATCTCTTATCAAATAACATGGCATGTTTCTCTGTTCACACCTGCTTTTAAAACTTAAAGGCAGAAATAATTGCTTTATTTTATCAATTATTTTTTCAACTATTGGGATGGATACAAGGTTTTTCTCATTGGACATACTAATATATTACAAAATACTTTGAAATATTATACCTTCTTTTCAATTCTGAGGAAAACTACTGATTATTAATGGTGTGGGATTATCTTAATTTGCTTTTGAATTAAGATTGCTTTCATTTTGTTTTCATGTTTCTGTGTTAATAAATGAATAGCTGTACATTTATTGAAATTATTTGACATCTTTAATTTTTATCGGTCATTCTACTTTCGTAAAGTGAATTAGGCAGCCATATTATTCTTATTCTGGATGAGTTAATATAGGAATTATCTATTCCTTTATGGCATTATTAGACTCACTATAATATAACTCACTAGTGCATCTTTTAAAGGAAATTTTGTAATGTTTAAAATTTATTGTCATTGGTTTCTGATGTCAACTTTTATAATTATAGAAACTAAAGTATCTTGAAGATTACAAAAAAATTAACATCAAACTATTAGGAAAGTCCATCTGCCATGGGCCCTGTGAGTCCTTGCATGTTCTTTCTTGGTCTGACCAGCAAAAAATGCAAGGTCCTGACCACTCTTTACCTGGGCCATTTCTCAGGGTTGTGTTTGCAGTGAGCAACCTTGAGGAATGAGGTAATGTTTGCCTTTGGGATTGGGGACAGGGAGCAAGTGTGTTTTATTGCTTACTATAAAACAGTGCTTCCCCAAGCCCAGTGTTCCTTAACGGAAACATATGCCAACTCTGTAGGATCCATCTAAGTCCATATTTTGTCACCCCCTGTGGGACTTTGGGGGCAAGCATAGTAACGCTTATACTGCTTGCTCTATGTCATGAGCAGTAAAGTCATTTGTCTTTGACCCAGGAGTCTGTCTTATGTCTTCTATCAGAATCCATAAAAGAATAAAAGGCTAACTTATTAGTTTGTAAGTCAGGTAAAATCATACCTTAGACTTTTACAGTTCTTGGTAGTTTTGGAGACTGTCATGGGTGGGATGTTGACTGACACACAGCTTCTGGAAGAGGAAGTTCGTAAGGGCCCATGGGTCGAGAAGAAAAAGGTCAATACTTACATTTCTTCCCACTGCTCACCTCTTTCTCCCTGTACTCCTGGTGGGTGATGGTAGTCTCCTGATAACTGTGTTGTAGTCTGACACATGTTCCTTGATCTGGGCTCCTAAGGAAAAGGCACTCAAACTTGACTGATTTAATGGTTTATTGTTTTGGCTCTGATTATATAACTGGTATTGGTATTTTACATGCTTATACTGTGAATGCTGTCAATGTTTGTGAAGCCCAGAGGGAAACTGTCATTCAGAGACTACCACACATGGACACCCCCAGGTGGTCCAGCAGAAACAACAAAGAATCAATCCCAGGAGGAGAAAGGACAATCACAACTTTGTATAGACTTCATAGCTGCTGGACTACCCCGAGAGACTGTTTCTAAGTACAATAGTGCCACCTGCCTGACTCAGCCACTTAGTACACCCCTTTTTAAAATAGCAGTTCTTAAGCTCTTGTTGAAACTGAATGCCTGACCCATGGAGGCCTTGTGACTCTACCACATGACATTTACATTTTCACGTAGTTCAACTAGGAGTCAGTGTCTCGCAAGGTAAAAGGGACCCAATAAGCCTCCCTGCTCAAATGGAAATTATATATTCAAAAGCCCAGCTTCTGGGCCCTAGCATGGTATCAGGTATATGTGAAAAAGTGGCAGCTACTCTTTTGGGAGTGAACTAAATAACCCATTTCACTACCTGAAGTAAGGTCACTGGCTCAAAAGGGCCCTCAGTTCACAGTGGTTTCCCTAAATGCCTGGGCCAGGCTGCTGGGACGTTTAGCTAAGTTAACAGCTGGTGGGCTCTTCGGGCTGCCTCTGCTACCATTTCACCAGGCATAAGCCTTGTAAAACCAAAAGCTGAAGTGGTCACTCTACTCAGTGGGCAGAACTCAAGGCCGTCATCCTCTCCCTGAACAAAATCTGACCCCTTGGTTAAATATAATACATTCATACTGACTCTTGTGCTGTTGCCAATGGCCTACCTGTCTGGTCTGCCACTTGGAAGACTACAGATGGGCAGCTTAAAAATACCACTCCTTGGGGCTTGCACACTGTGAAAGTAATTTGCACTTGCCCATCTGACAGTCTGGTTTACTCCTTTAGATGTACATATTATAGACCCATTCCCTGATAAGTGTGAATAGAGACAAACTGACTATGCCAAGACCGTGTGAGGCCCTGACTGCTCTTTACCATGGCCTTTTCTCGGGGTGTTTTCAGTGAGTGACTTTGAGGGATAAGTGAGTGTTTCTCCCTGGGACAAAGGGCAACTTACTTACTGCTTGTTATTAAATGATGGGTTTCCCACATTCAGTGTTCTTTAGATGTGATCCATACCCACTGCCTGTGTAGAATTCTTGTGGGTCCATCATACTTCTCCCTGTGGAATGTGGGCCCATGGGGAACCCATGTAAACATACTAATGTTCATGTTGCTTGCTGTGCCACAAGTAATCAAGCTCTTTGACTCAGAAATCTCTGTCTTTTGCCAGAATCCATGAAACAATGAAAAGCTAACTTATTAGCTTGTAAGTAGGGTAAAACAATTCTACAGCCTGACAGAAACATTCCCCCCCCCCCCCCCCGCTATGTAGGGCAAAGTTAATAATTTTTTTTTTCCTTTTGTGAACTTCAGGCATATACTCTTGGGTTTGTGATATCTTATCAATATTGGTCAATGGTTTTTTTTTCTTATTTAAGCATATAATTTATGTTTTTACATAGGTTATGTATAGTAATATAAATATTTTAATTTTTTCCTCTCTGTAGATATGTTTCTCCTTCCTAGATTTTCTTTAGTTTTCATTTTCTTTCAGTTTTTCCAGATTAGGTTTTTATCTTTTTTTAAAGAAATGACTGATAAATTTTTTCTGCTTTTTTATTCTAATAGGTTTTGCATTTATGTATTTTCTTCTGTCTGTGGTTGAGCTAAACACTTGGTTTTTTGTGTTTTTTTTGTTTTTTTTTTCAATTATAACATATTTAGGTCATCAATGTTGCCTTTCTTTACTATGTGATATTCTCATTGTCCCAATTTCGTAAAATTCTTCTTAACAGTAGTTTTATTTACATGTTGGAAAGTAGAGTGACCACTGGGAGAAAGTTATACTCATTTAGGATGGTAATGATTGCTGTCACTTTCCCCCAGATATATAACTCATATTTTATTTTGTTTTATTTATTTATTTTTTTGAGACAAGGTCTCACTCTAGTGCCCAGGCTAGAGTGCAGTGGTGCAGTCTTGGCTTACTGCAACTTCTGCTTCCCAGGCTCAAGTTGTACTTCTGCCTCAGCCTCCTGAGTAGATGGGACTACAGGTACAAACCACCATGCTCAGCTAATTTTTGTATTTTTTGTAGAGACGGGGTCTTGCTATGTTGCCCAGGCTGGACTCGAATTCCTGAGCTCAAGCAATCTGCCTGCCTCAGCCTCCCAGAGTGCTGGGATTACAGACATGAGCTACCACTCCTGATCTTCATTCACATTTTCGTATTATGTCTATAAAGTTTTGGGGCAGTTCCAGACCATAGATTTTTGAACCAGGGAATAGGAAATAGGGAGAGATGAAGAATCAGTTTACTATTCTTTTTTTACTAGCATGTTCTTGTTCTAAGTGGTAGTTGACTGTCAGTTATGATTCTAAGTTGAACAGCATAGGTTTTATAGTTAGTAGACTTTACTCCCAATTTATGTATGATACAAAGTTATTTTTAGTTTGCAACTTCATTAAGAATTTTTGTATCTGAGTCTTTGTAAATATTTTTGGAGATACTGTAAAATTTAGTGTCAGGGACTGCTCTCCAAATGCCACTTCAAATCAATATGACCATCTTTTTTGTGGCTTTAAACTTTTGTCCCAAATGGAAAGCTGTATGTTTAAAGTTAAAAAAATCCCATATGGTCATTATAAAAGAATTCAAATACTTTAGAAAAATGCAAAGTAGAAAGGGAAAATGGCCTATAATTCTGCTAACAGTTTAGTATATGTTCTTTTTTAATGCATATATGCATATACAGACATACTTAAAAAAACATTTATTGTACTATAAAGGGTATCTTAGATCCTTCTCCCACAAAGTTATTGTGTTCTTACATGTAAATAAATAAAATTACTGGTATGTACCGATTTTATGTGTTAGGCTGTTTTTGTGTTACTATAAAGAAATACCTGAGGCTGGGTAATTTATAAGTAAAAGAGGTTTAGTTGGTTTATGGTTCTGCAGTCTGTACAAACATGGCATTAACATCTGCTTGGCTTCTGGTGAGAGCCTCAGGAACCTTACAGCCATGACAGAAGGCGAAGCTGGAACAGGCACGTCACATAGTGAGAGCATGAGCAAGAGAGTAAGGGGGGCCCCTGGGAATTGCATTTCAACATGCGATTTGGAGGGGACAAATACCCAAACTATGTCATTCTTTTCCTAGCCCCCAAAATCTCATGTCCTTCTCACATTGCAAATTACAGTCATTTCTTCCCCATGTCTTAACTCGTTCCAACATCAAGTCCAATGTCCTAAGTGCCATCTGAGACTCATCTGCTTCCACTTATGAGCCTGTAAAATCAAAACAAGTTATTTACTTCCAAGGTACAGAGATGGTGCAGGCATTGGGTAAACATTCCCGTTACCAAAGGGAGAAATCGGCCAAAAGAAAAGAGTAACAGGCCCCATGCAAGTCTGAAACACAGTAGGCAGGCACTAAATCTTAAAGCTGTCATGTAATCCTTGACTCCATGTCCCACATCGTGATGTACATCCTGGTGGGCTCCCTAGGCCTTGGGCAGCTCCAGCGCTCTAACTTTGCAGGATACAACCCACGTGGCTGCTGTCATGGGTTGGGGTTGAGTACCTCTGGGTTTTCCAGGCACAAGGTGCAAGCTGCTGGTGAATCTACCATCCTTGGTTCTGAAGGGTTGCAGCCCCCCCTCCACTAGCTCCACTAGGCAGTATCCAGGTGGGGACTCTGTGTGGGCGTTCCAACCCCACATTTCCTCTATGCACTGCCCTAGTAGAATATCTGTGGGGGCCTTGCCTGTGTGGCAGGCTCCTGCCTGGGCACCAGGCTTTTCCATACATCCTCTGAAATCTAGATGGAGGCCTCCAAGCCTCCTTCATGCTTGCCTCCTGAGCATCTGCAGACATGAGACCATGTATAAACTGCCAGGGCTTATGGCTTGTGCCCTCTGGAGCTGTGACCTGAGCTTTACCTGTGCCCCTTTGAGCCGAGGCTGGAACTGGAGCAGCTGGATGCAAGTTGCAACCTGCTGGCATGGCACAGGGCAGTGAGCATTCTTTCCTTTTAGGCCTTGGAGTGTATGATGAGAGGGGCTGCCTCATATATCTCTGAAATACCTTCCAGGCCTTTTCTTCATTGTCTTGGCTGTCAGCTCCTGGCTCCCTTTTAGTCATGCAAATCTCTCTAGCAAATGGTTGCCCAATAGCCCACTTAGATTCTTCCCCTGAAAATGGACTTTTTCTTTTCTGGCTAGGGCTGCAAATTTTTCAAACTTTTATGTTCTGCTTCCCTCTTAAATATGAATTCCAACTTAAAGCCATTTCTTTGCTCCTACATCTGAACATATGTTGTTAGAAGCAGCCAGGCCACTTCTTGAATACTTTGCTGCTTCGAAATTTCTTCCACCAAACGTCTTAAGTCATCCCTCTTAAGTTCAAACTTCCACAGATCCCTAGGGCATAAGCACAATGCAGCCAAGTTATTTGCTAAGGCATAACAAGGGTGACCTTTACTCCAGTTCCCAAAAAGTTCACCTACCATGTAGTAGATGCTGAAAAATATTGAGTGAGTGATACCGTAATGAAATGAATAAATAAGTTTCATTATTCCACTCCTTGCGGTGTATATATAGGTAGTTTACAGTAAACAATATCTAATTGAACTTCCTTGTACATATATCTTTGCATAGTTACCTTGGTTATTTTCTTAAATTTCTAGAACTAAAATCTCTAGGTAAGTACATGTATATTAAAGTGTATACTACAAAATTGTCTTCAGAAAGCTGAAGTTTTATACTCTACTTCTAAAATTTTTACCAATGCTAATTTGTATTAATTCTCTTTAACACCTTAGTCAATTCAGTAAATTGCTACTTTTAAATATAATTATTTAATTTTCAAAGATCATTTTCCTCTTATCCAGCCATCCTCTATAGGTATAATTTTTCTACCTATGATATATCCAAGCAGTTCCTGAAATAATCATAAAAGCAAATTTTGAAAGTTATGTGTCTATAGGTACAGGAAGGAAGGTACTGTCGATTACAGACTCAGCAAATGGTAGAGAGCCCTTACCTTTGTGTGTAAAGTCTATTCCATTTCCTCTAATTTTTCCTTTTATATTCAACCTCAATATTTATCTCCTAGCATAGTTTTATTGGCAGCCTTTCTAGTTTTCTTTCTTTTTTTTTTTTTTTGAGACGGAGTCTTGCTCTGTTGCCCAGACTGGAGTGCAGTGATGCGATCTCGGCTCACTGCAAGCTCCACCTCCTGGATTCATGCCATTCTCCTGCCTCAGCCTCCCGAGTAGCTGGGACTACAGGCGTCTGCCACCACGCCCGGCTAATTTTTTGTATTTTTGGTACAGACAGGGTTTCACCATGTTAGCCAGGATGGTCTCGATATCCTGACCTCATGATCCGCCCACCTCGGCCTCCCAAAGTGCTGGGATTTCAGGCCTGAGCCACCGCGCCTGGCCGCCTTTCTAGTTTTCAACAGTAGTAAATTCTTTGAAGGAAGAATTTTTCAGGCTTAAATTAAAATTTAAGATTCCTTATATAAATTACTAAATGTACTTCTATGATACTGATTTGATAAAATCAGGTTTATAAAATGATAATCCAGCTGCTATATAAGTGACATTTGAGTTCCAAGATTTCAGTTAAAATTTATGAGAATAATTTTAATAGTTTCATGCAAGAATCTCTTTCACTTCTCTTTTCAAAGTGAAGTATGATTTTGTATCCTTTTAGCATTTATTAATAGCCTCTCATGAAGAAAGACAGCAAATTCAGTGTCTCTTGTTTTGCACATTCATGTCTCTTCATCGGTTACAGAAGATTAATAATGAAGTGAAATTCTATTTGGGGTTAAGATTCTATTTACTTTATGCTTCAGCTGTCCAAGCATTGACAGTAGTAACATTTCTATATTGCTGTTGAGTAATGGCACAAATTCTAAGCCAAATAACTGTGGAAATCTCTCAAATTATTCTGTTAGTCAATAAGATTGAATGCTTGAATGATTTTGATTTAGAATATGTTGAGTCAGTAAGTAGTTAAGCTAGAATTGAATCCAATTCTGCCTGATCTCAAAACCCACCTTCTTTTCACTAACGTGCTGTAGGAATGTTACTCATACCTTTTTTCTTCTGTCCTTAATATTTGTTATCCAAAGGTAGTAATTGACTGAATGATTGTAGAGATCAGAATTCACTAAATAAAAGGTTATTTCTCAACATCCTTGTTACTCTGAACTTCCTTATCTCTTGGTTTGCTTTCTACCTGTATAAATTGCCAAAACATATGGGCTTTGGAATTCCATAAACATGAGTTGAAATTCTGGCTTTCCATTTGATCTTTTCCTGAATAGTTAACTTATCTGAGCCTCAGAAACTTAAAAGTTTCAGTGATGGTAGCTGTCTAATTTTTCTTGTGAAATAGAATTTACTAATAAGTGTAAAGAACCTAGCACAGTGCCTGGCAAATAAGAAGTCAGTTAAAGTCTGTTTCTGATGATAATGCTAGACCATAAGAGTCCTGGTTTCTTTGCTTATACTTGGGGATTTGATGAGTACTTGTTCATACTAAGTACTGATAGTCTTTGAATAAGGTAGTACTTTTGCTTTGTGCCTTAAATATTTATACCTTGTTTTCAGGAAATATGAGCTGTAATGAAAAATTATAACCTAACTGCATAAAATATAAATTTTATTTCACTGAAAATTGTGCTGCCATTATATGTTATTGTTTAAAGATAATAAACCTTGTTGGGAAATAAAGTATTTTTAATATTAGATTTGGGTTAACCAAATTCTTTTCTTTCTTTTCTGTCATTTAGTTCAAGTTATGTGTACAAAGTCATCACAGGAAATTTAAATTCTTTTTCTGTGATTATGTATATTATGAATTGTTTGATAAGCAGTAATTATACAGAATTGATATGCCATTAACTTTCAGTTTTTTCAAAACTTTGTGTTTTGCTTTTATCTTAGGACTAGACCTTATCTATTTAAAGGAGATCACAAATTTCCTACAAACAAAGAGAACTTACCAGTGGTGATTCTCTATGCCGAAATGGGTACTAGAACATTTAGTGCATTTCACAAAGTATTGTCTGAAAAAGCTCAAAATGAGGAAATTCTGTATGTTCTTCGCCATTATATTCAGGTATGCGCTTGTTTTTTCCAAGGTTGCTTTTGGCTGTAGAAAAAAACAATTATTATGATAATCGTCTTACTAGATTTAAATATTAATTTTCACCAGAATAGTTATCTAACTTTTTTTAACTTAACAAATGTGAATTTCATGTGGAAAAATATATTGGGATTCTGTCTCTTCTGGGGGTATGATGTCTATAATTCTTTGCCTTATATCTGGCACAAATTTAAAACTTGGATAAAAAACAAAAACATACTTCAATAATGTGTATAATATTTGCTAAGAATTTGCAATTAAGAAATCTGATTTACTCAACATACTAATATATACAGTACTAGATCAAAGTGCAAAGCATGGTGTTGGAATACTGTTAACTCTTTCTTTTGAGACCTGACTACTTTTCATTCAGGTATCTGGTATGTGCTGTATTGTTCCCGTTCCTCTAGCCTGCCGTTGCTATGACACTATCACATTTTTCTGTTTTAATGATTTCATAGCACTTATTACTGTATCTCCTCAAGTTTATTTAACACTTTCAGAGCACATACATGCACACACACACACACACACACATGCGTATGAATATAATGGCCATTAGAGGAAGGACTATGCTTTGTTACTACTGTCTTCCCAACATGGAGTGCTTTAATTTGCATTTCCCAAATTATTAAGATTTATATACTAATATTTAATCTAATTAAAACCTTAAAAATATATTTGTAAATTGCCTGTCCGTAGCCTTTGCCTATTTTTGAATTGAGATTCTTTTTTTCTCATTGGTTTATAGGTGTTTTTAATATATTTTGAATACTAATATTTTCTTCCATACTTCGCAGTATCTTCTCCTAGTGCATTTCTGGTCTTCTGATTTTTTTTAAAAATTGTTTATGACATCTTTTACAAATATTACTTGTGATATAGTCAGATTTACTCAACTTTACCTGAACGATTTCCTTTATGCTGTTATAAGGACATTCTCTTGTAAGAGTTGAAGTTCTATTTTTTGTTTTGGTTTTTAATCCATCTGGAATTTATTTGAATATACTACGGGGTAGAGATATAATTCTGTTTTTTCCATATGAAAAATTATTGGTCTTCACATACTTTGTTGAACAGTCAAGTCTTTATTCTACTCCATCATATGCTAATTTTTCATATAGACATGTATATGTTTTTAGACTTTCCATTCTGTTGCAGTGATATATATGTCTATTCTACACAAAAATAACATCATTTTAATTGCTGTAGCTTTAAAATATATTTTGATATCTGGTAGTTCAACTCTGCTTCTTAATTTTTGTTTTTCTAAATACCTTGGCTGTTCTTGCATGATATGTAGCCATGTTAATTTTAGAATTAGTTGGCCAGGTTCCATGAAACATGTTGGGATTTCATACGGGAATGAATTGGACCTTTCTGATTAATTTTGAAGAGACTTTTTCTTCATATATATTGAGCTTTGCCTTCTATGAACATATTTTTATTTCACAATCTAGTCAGATGTCTTTTTGAAAAGTATCATCTGTGATGTACAATGTTGGGTTTCAACAATCACACAGAGTCATCTGTCAGTCACCTTAGTACCATCATATTCACATACAGATTCTTGTAGGAACATATGTTTTCAATTCACTTGGATAAATGCCTGGAAGTTCTATTGCTGAGTTGTATGGTAAGTCAGTGTTTAACTTCATAATAAACTATACCAAACTGTCTCTCAAAGTGGCTGTACAATTTTTCATTCCCCTTAGCCAGGAAAGATAATTTCGCTGCTCTAAATCCTAACCACCATTTGTTAATGTCAGTTTTTTTTATTATAGCTGTTCTAGGTACACAGTGGTATCTCATTGTGGTTTTAATTTGCATTTCTCTAATGACTAATGAAGTTGTCTGGCTTTTCATAAGTTTCTTTTTGGTGAACTTTTTTTGTTTAGTTTTCAGAATTCTTTTTATGTCCTAGATATAAATCATTTATGAGATACATGATTTACAAACATATTCTACCAGTTTGTGAATTATCTTGTAATTCTCTTAATGTGTTTTGCAGAGGAAGAGTTTTTAATTTTGATTAAGTCCAGTTCATCATTTTTTTGTTTATAGATTATATTTTTTGTATTATATCTAAAAACTCATCACCAATCTCAAGGTCATTCAGATTTTATTCTAAGCGTTTTATAGTTTTATGTTTACACATAGGTTTATGATCCATTTAAGGTTTGTGCAACTTGTGAGATAGATGTTGAGATTTATTTTTCTACATATGGATATCTAGTTGTTTTAACATTTGTTTAAAAGACTGTCCTTCTCCATTGAATTTCCTTTATCCACTTGTAAAATATAATTGACTGTATTTGTATGGGTCTATTTCTGGCTTTGCTTTTCTGTGCCATTGATCTGTCTGTCCCAACATCAATACTACACTGCTTGATTACTTTACCTTGATAGCCTTGAGATCAGGTTGTGTTAGTCCTCCAGCTTTGTTATTCTTTTTCAGAATTGTTTTAGCTAATCTAATTCCTTTGTCTCTTCTTGTGAACTTTAAAATCGGCTTGTCTGTATCTACAAAACATTTTGCTGGCATTTTGATTGAGATTACATTGAACATATAAATTAAATTTGTGGGAGAACATCTTAAAAATATTCAGTCTTCCAATTGAAAATTATGTCTCTTGATTTATTTAGACATCCTTTGATTTCTTTCATCAGTGTTTTTCTTCTTTTTCAACCTATATGCCATTTATTTTTTTTTAACCTTATTTTAATGATTAAGACTTCTAGTCAATGTTGAATGGGGAGTAGTGAGGGAAGATATCCTTGCCTTTTTCCTGATTTGCAGAGAAAGCATTTGGTCTTCTACTATTAACTGTCATATTAGAGGAAGGGTTTATTTTTAATTTTTTAAGTTCTGGTGTACATGTGCAGGATGTGCAGGTTTGTTACATAGGTAAATGTATGCCATGGTGGTTTGCTGCACCTATCAACCTATCACCTAGGAATTAAGCCCGGCATGCACTGTGTAGTATTTCGTGGTGTATATGTACCACATTTTCTTTATCCATTTTACTATTGATGGGCATTCAGGTTGATTTCCATGTTTTTGCTTTGTGAAAAGTGTTGCAGTGAACATATGCATGCATGTGTTTTTATAGTAGAGCAATTTATATTCTTCTGGGTATATACCCAGTTATGGGATTGCTGGGTCAAATGGTAGTTCTATTTCAGGTTCTTTGAGGATTGCCACACTGCTTTAAATGAACTAGTTTACAGTACCACCGGCAGTGTATGTGCATTCACTATTTTCTGCAACCTCACCAGAATCTTGTTATTTTTTGACTTTTTAATAGTAGCCATTCTGACTGATACAAGATGGTATCTCATTGTGGTTTTGATCTGCATTTCTCTAATGATTAGTAATATTGAGCATATTTTTATATGCTTTTTGGCCATATCATATGTCTTCTTTTGAAAAGTGTTCATGTCCTTTGCTCACTTTATTTATTTATTTATTTTAGACAGAGTCTTGCTCTATCGCCAGGCTGGAGTGCAGTGGCGCGATCTCGGCTCACTGCAACCTCCGCCTCTTGGGTTCAAGCAATTCTCCTGCCTCAGCCTCCCAAGTAGCTGGGATTACAGGCATCCACCAACATGCCCGGCTAATTTTTGTATTTTTAGTGGAGATGGGGTATCAGCATGTTGGCCAGGATGGTCTTGATCTTTTGACCTCGTGATCCGCCTGCCTCAGCCCCCCAAAGTGCTGGGATTACAGGCGTGAGCCACTGCGTCCAGCCTTCGCTCACTTTTTAATGGGGCTGTTTATTTTTTGCTTGTAAATTTAAGTTCCTTGTAGATTCTGGATATTAGACCTTTGTCAGATACATAGTTTGCAAATATTTTCTCCCATTCTGTAGGTTGCGTGTTTACTCTGTTGATAATTTCTTTTGCTGTGCAGAAGTTCTTTAGTTTAATTAGGTCCCATTTGTCAATTTTTGTTTTTGTTGCAATTGCTTTTGGTGTCTTCGTCATGAAATCTTTGCCAGGGCCCATGTCCAGAATGGTATTTCCTAGGTTATCTTCTGAGGGTTTTTATAATTTTAGGCTTCACATTTAAGGCTTTAATCCATTTTGAGTTGATTTTTTATATGGCATAATGAAGGAGTCCAGTTTCAGTCTTCTGCATATGGCTAGCCAGTTTTCCCAGCACCATTTATTGAATAGGGAGTTCTTTCCCCATTGCTTGCTTTTGTCAGCTTTGTCAAAAATCAGATGGCTGCAGGTGTGTGACATTATTTCTGGGCTGTCTATTCTGTTCTGTTGCTCTGTATGTCTGTTTTTATGCCAGTACCATGCTGTTTTGGTTACTGTAGCCTTCAGCTTTGTTCTTTTTGCTTAGGATTGCCTTGACTATTCAGGCTCTTTTGTTCCATATAAAATTTAAAATAGCTTTCTCTAATTCTGTGAAGAATGTCATTGGTAGTTTGATAGGAATAGCCTTGAATCTGTAAATTGTTTTGGCAGTGTGGCTATTTTAACAATATTGATTCTTCCAGCCTGTGAGCCTGGAATGTTTTTCCATTTGTTTGTGTCATCTCTTATTTCCTTGAGCAGTGTTTTGTATTAATAATTCTCATTGTAGAGATTCACCTCCCTAGTTAGTTGTGGTCATTAGTATTTTATTTTTATGGCAATTGTAAATGGGATTACATTCCTGATTTGGCTGCCAGTTTGGATGTTGTTGCTGTATAAAAATGCTAGTGATTTTTGTACATTGATTTTGTATCCTGAAACTTTGCTGAAGTTGTTTATCAGGTCAAGGAGCTTTTGTGCAGAGACTATGGGATTGTCTAGATATGGAATCATGTTGTCTGCAAACAGGTATAGTTTGCTTTCTCTTTCCCTATTTGGATGCCTTTTATTTCTTTCTCTTGCCTGGTTGCTCTGGCCAGGACTTTCAGGACTATGTTGAATAGGAGTGGTGATAAAGGGTATGTTTAAGTTCCTTATGTATTCTGATATTAATCCCTTGTCAGATGGGTATTTGTCAAATATTTTCTCCCATTCTGTGGATTGGCTCTTCACTGTGTTGATTGTTTCCTTTGCTGTGTAGAAGATTTTTAGCTTGATGTTAACTCCACTTGTCTATTTTTAATTGTGTTGCCTGTGCTTTTGAAGTCTCACACAAAACATTTTTGCCCAGACCAATGTCCTGGAGCATTTCTTCAATATTTTCCTCTAGTCGTTTCATAGTTTTGGGTCTTATATTTGAGTCTTCAATCAATTTTGATTTGATATTTGTATATGGTGAGAGATAGTGGTCTAGTTAGTTTCATTCTTCTGCATTATGGTTGTTCAGTTTTCATATTGAAAAGACTGTCCTTTCCCCAGTGTATGATCCTGGCATGTTTGTCGAAGATGAGTTGGTTCCAAATGTGTAGATTTACATCTGAGTTCTCTATTCTGTTCCATTGGTGCATTTGTCTGAATATGAATTCTTCCATGAACATGGAATATCTTTCCATTTTTTGGTGTTCTCTTCGATTCCTTTCATCAGTGTTGTAGTTTTCTTTGTATTAATGTAGGTCTTTCACTTTTTTGGTTAAATTAATTCCTAGGTATTTTATATTATTTGTAACTGTTGTAACATTTTCAGAATGTTGTTTGCTATTTGTGTATATAAATAGTACTGAATTTTGTATATTGATTTTATATCTTGCAACTTTACTGAATTCATTTATTGGTTCAAACAGTTTTTTGGTGGAGTCTTTAGGTTTTTCTAATATAAGATCATATTGTTTGCAAACCAGGGTAATTTTACTTCTTCCTTTCCAATTTGGATGTCCTTTATTTATTTCTCTTGCCTTATTACTCTGGCTAAGGCTTCTAGTATTATGTTGAATAAAAATAGTGAAAGGGGGCATTCTTGTCTTGTTCCAGATCTTTGAGGGATGGCTTTCAATTATTCCCTGTTTCCATATGATATTAGCTGTGGATCTGTCATATATGGCCTTAATTATTTTGAGGTATGTTCCCTCTATACCTAGTTTGTTGGGGGGGAGGGACTTGTCAGAAAGAGATGTTGAATTTTGTCAAATGCCTTTTCAGCACATATTTAAATTATCATATGGTTTTTGTGTTCTTGGTTCTTTTAATATGGTGTATTACATTTATCGATTTGTGTATATTGAACTATCCTGTATCCCTGGGATGAATCTCACTTGATCATGGTGCATGATCTTTTTAAGTTGTTGCTGAATTCATTTTGCTAATATGTTGTTGAGGATTTTTACATCTGTGTTTATTAGTGATATTGGCATATAGTTTTCTTTTTTTGTTGTGTCCTTGTCTTGTTTTGGTATTGAGGTAATGCTGGCCTCCTAGAATGAATTTGGAGGTGTTCTCTCCTCTTCAAGTTACAGAGCAGAGTTAGAATTTCCAAGACTGGGGATGGCAGTCCTGCCTTTCCTCTTTGTCTTTGTCCTGAGGCATATTTCTCCCTTTAGACACTCATGATGTTTCCCATGTGTGGTACTATCCCACAGCTCCTGAGTGTTCTGCTCAGTTTCTTGCTGTTGTTTGCTTTTTGGATTTTTTCCTTTCTTTCTCTACTACATTTTCTTCTTAAATTCAATTTGAATAATTTCTATTGACCTGCCTTGGAGTTAACCAATTCTTTTTTTTTTTTTTTTTTTTTTTTTGAGGCAGAATCTCGCTCTGTCACCCAGTCTTGAGTGCAGTGGTGCAATCTCAGCTCACTGCAGCCTCCGCCTCCTGGGTTCAAGCGATTCTCTTGCCTCAGCCCCCAAGTAGCTGGGATTACAGGCACACACCACCATGCCTGGCTAGTTTTTGTATTTTTAGTAGAGACATGGTTTCTCCATGTTGGTCAGGCTGGTCTCGAACTCCTGACCCCAGGCAATCCATCCACCTCAGCCTCCCATAGTGCTGGGATTACAGGCATGAGCCACTGCACCCAGCCAGCCAGTTCTTTCTTTGGCTATATCAAGTTTACTTGTGACTCTGTTGAAGGCATTCTTTATTTCTGTTACAGTGCTTTTAATTTCTATCATTGCCATTTGGCTCCTTCTTACAGTTTTAATATGTGTGATGAATTTTCCTTTCTGATCACTCATATGTTCTACTTTTTTCATTAGAGCATTTAACATGTTAATCATTATTTTAAATTCCCTCCTGAAAGTTTCAACTTCTTTTTTACATCTGATTTTGAAATTGTTGATTGATTTGTCTCTTCAGACTTTTGTTCCATTGACTTCTTGGACATCTTGTGATTTTCGTTGTTATTAAAAGCTCAACATTTTGTGTAGGAGCCTTGACCCTGCCTTTAGTTTAGGCCATGCCTTTCATGTATGCAGGATTGAGGTGTTCTGGTCAGGAGTTGGGTTGGGTTTCACGTTTGTGTTCCACTTGGCTTTAGGTCTCCCCACTTAGATTTGGATCTTCCCTTTGTACAGCTCCCCAAAGACAATGTGTTTCTTATAGCTTTCCCACCTGTATTTCAGCGTTATCTTTACTCAACCCTTGTTAGATTGGCCTTGAGGTGAAGGTGAGGGGGCAGCTAAGGAAGGGGATATTCTCTGATGTTCCAATTAAGTTTCCTTTCTAGGCATACTGTAAATTTGGGCCTCAAGGTTTCTGATCCTCTCTCAGAATGTTGGGCCTGGCAGGTATTCCCGTCCTTCCTTCAGACTAAGACTTTCATCTGTTCCATTTCTCCCGTCTTCAGTGGGCTTCCACCAGTACACTATATAGCTACAATTTTGTTGCCCTTGCCTCTGAAGATTAAGGCTTTGGTTCTATAGGGGAGATAGGTCTGAAGTGGATTTCAGCAGTGATTTTTCTTTCCTCTCTACCTGTCACCATTAGAGTGGAAGCTTTCTCAGGACCTTCCCCAGTCTTCCCTGTGCAAGAGGGTTTCAGCCTTGCTATGTCTGGAGCTACCAGGGGCTTCACACTCTCACGTTAGCCCACATTTAGCCTTTAGCAAGCTTTATAGATTTCTAGCTAAATATCTTTACCAGCTTCACTAGCATTTGGTGGTATCTGTCCTGGGTATTCAAATGTTCACCTTCCCACAGGTGCCTTTTTCTTCTGTTATCATTCTCGTTCCTTCTGCTTTATTTTTTCTTCAGAAAATTTTCTAATACAAAAAGCCTAAAAATAATAAACTTTTTGTATATGCTACCCAGAATTGACAGCTAACATTTTATCTTTTCAAGTTTATTTTTTAATTGAAGTAATAAAACTTTAAAAATAAAGTTGAAGATTATTTTGTTTTCCATTATCAGTCTCATTCTCTACCCCAACACCAATTGGAGTGTTCTTTTAAATAATAAAGTGCTGTCACTCCTAGAGATCTTTCTTCGTTAGATCTGGCACATTGGTTGGGAATATATAGCATATGATTCTGAGGCCCTCTGATATCTGTCCACTGAAGAAAGAGAAAGATGAGACATTCTAGTTCTGAGAGAGGAGGTCATAACTAGGTGGCTGTTTAATAAGGATACAATGCTTATAAAATTATTTTTCCTTGTTTTGAAACATACAATAAATTATTTTTTTGGTTTTATTACATTTTTTTCTGTTCTTTTTTTCATTTATTATTATTATACTTTGGGGGGAGGGGGGAGGGATAGCATTGGGAGATATACCTAATGCTAGATGACGAGTTAGTGGGTGCAGCGCACCAGCATGGCACATGTATACACTAACCTGCACATATGTAACTAACCTGCACATTGTGCACATGTACCCTAAAACAATAAATTATTAACCATAGTCACTCGATTGTGCTGCTGAACACTAGATGTTATTCTTCCTAACTGTATTTTTATACCCATTAACCATCCCCTCTTAATCCCCACATCCCCACTAGTTTTTCCATCTTCTGGTAACTACCATCATTCTAGTCTCTGTCTCCCTGACTTCAAAAATTGGAATGTTCCTAACACAAAGAAATAATAAAATGTTTGAGGTGATAGATATCCCAAATACCCTGATTTGATCATTACATTTTGTATGTTTGTATCAAATTATAACATATACCCCATAAATATGTGCAACTTTTCTGTATCCATAATAATTAAAAATAAAAAATTTTAAAAACAAATATGTTTTTTTTTTTTTTCCTAGAGTTGCTTAGATACCATAGCTTTGCTGCTTACCTGGGGATAGCTTTGCTGCTTACATGGGGAATCCAAAATTTAAGTTTCTTAGTGCTGATTGAAGCTATCTTATAACTTCTGAAAGCAGTAATATATGATTGTAGAGGATGAAAATCTCTTAAGTTACTACTATTTATGAGGAAACTAGGTATTCTTTGAATTAGAAATTTGTTAGAGGAATCTGTCATCTCTTCCTTCTTTCTTTCCTCCATGCACATTTATTAGATGCTGTGTCTGTGTCTGAATTGCTTTGTAACAAATCTTCTCAAAATTTAGTGGCTTAAGGAAATATTGACTTACTGTTTCTCTTTATTCTGTGGGTTGACAGTCGGGGCACTTTTTCTGCTGGTATTGTTCATGCAGTGAGGGTCATTCAGTACTAGATTAGAGCTTGGGGATTCAAATTATTCTGACAGACCTGTGTGGCAGTTCAGGCTGATAGCTGGAGTTTCTTGTCTTTTTCTACATGGCCTTTCATCTTCCAAGAGTTAGACTATGATTCTTCACATCATGATGGCTTAGGGTCCCAAAAAGAAAAGAGTAGAACTTGCAATACCTCTTAAGCCCTATGCCCAAGAACTCATACAGTGATACTTCTGCCACCTTGTGTTAGTCAAAGCAAGTCACAAGGCCAGCCAGATTCAAAAGAATGGAAAAATAGACTCAATTTCCTGGTGAGAAGTAGCAAGGTCACATTGCAAAGGAGTCTGGACATGGGAAGGAGTTACTCATTTGTGGCCTTTATAATAATCTTCCACAAATGCCTGTAATTTGGGCACTGTGCTTAGTACTGGTGATAGAAGATAAGTAGCTTATTTCAGTATCTTAATTTTGTTTTATATATTTGATAATTTTATGATGCAGGTTCACTGTGCACTGGTATCAATCCCAGGGGAGGACTGTAAACACCTTGCCAATACTGTGTACCAGTATCAATCCACTGGCATGAGTCTGGTGAGACAGAACACACAATAAGTTTAGGGAAGCAACTTTATTACTCACAGACAGGCAGCAAGGGACAATAGACACCTAAGGATTCATGGCAAGCTCATCCCCCAAAGCTTAGGATAGCTGTCCAGGATGGATGGAGTCTCACGTGCACGTCATTCATGTTGCACCGCAGCTAAGGAACTCTGAAAGCCTGCTCTGCCCTGGGTTTTATACCTAGGAGCAACTTGATGAGCTGTGCTAAAGCATTGCAAGACATCCTGTTCTAGGAGCTATGGGAACAGAGCTTGGCTTTACTGGCAATTCCTTCATATTTCTTGCATTTCCAGCACATCATTCTACAGTTATTCTGAGATTTACAAGTGAGAAAGCGAGGAAGAGCTGGGTTGCCAAGATCTTTTGGGGACTTGCCCTACAATAACATCATATAAAATGTGTTTTTTCCCTCAGTGTTCTTCACATTCTCAATTTTAATTGTTCATTGTATAATTTTGAGTTAGTTATTGCTATTTAGTAAAAGTGGAAAATCTTAAATATTCTTGAGTGTGTTGGCATATAGATATTTGCATAATCTACATAAAGATTATCTGTAAAGTGAGATGTAAAGAGAAAGTGTGGGTGTGTGTACAGTTTGTAAATGATTACATATTTAAGTCATTAATTTCATAAATATTTGGATGCCTCTGTGCCAGGCATTGGTTCATGTAGCAGTGAATAAGAGAGAAACATTCCTTATTCTCAGAGAACTTCAATTTTAGTGGCAAGAGATGTAAAACAGATTTATGTTAGATGGTGATGAAAGTGTTTTCAGAAAAGATAAATATAAAAGAAGAGGACAGAGAGTCATGGGTCTAGAGTGTGCACTCAAAACATTTTATATTGTCTAATCATCTTATGCCAAGAATTCTCAATTTTTCCCAACTGAGTTTGCTAGAAGGATGGATACATTACCATCAATAACAGTAGCACCTTAAGACTATGATTCTCTGTCAGATAAGGCAGAGCTGAGAGGCAAATGAGAATAGGAACGGGAGTGGGAGATACAAGTACAGTTTACCCTTAAGCATGTGTGAGTTAGAGATACTGACCCCTCATGTTGTTAAAAAATATATGTATAACTTTGGACTCCACTAAAACTTAAGTAGTAATAACCTACTGTTGACTGGATGCCTTACTGATAACAGAAACAGTCAATTAACACATATTTTTCATGTCACATGTATTATTCTGTAATTCTTACAGTAGAGTAAGCTAGATAAGTAATGTTATTAAGAAAGTCATAAGGAAGAGAAAATATATTTTTCATTAAATAGAAGTGGATCATCATAAAGGTTTTTATCCTCATAGTCATGTTGAGTAGGCTGAGGAGGAAATGGAAGAGGAGAGGCTGGACTTGCTGTTTCAGGTGGCAAGGTGGGAGAAAATCTATAAGTAACTGTCTATAAAAGTAGATATCTATAAAATATCTGTTTCTTGTAAAAATTTATAAGAAAATCTGTAAGTAAACCTGTGCAATGAACCTTGTTGTTGTTAATTGTCTG
Source organism: Homo sapiens (assembly GCF_000001405.40). NCBI lineage: Eukaryota > Metazoa > Chordata > Mammalia > Primates > Hominidae > Homo > Homo sapiens. Next base: position 96,001,650 of record NC_000013.11, on the reverse strand, counting down.
TGTTTGTCTTTTTTAAATGTTCTCCCAAGTGGTTCTAACATGCCCCTGGGGAGCTATGCCCATCTGTTGTGAGAATCTGTCTCAAGTTATTATTTAGAGTTTCATGCGCGTCCGTGTGAAGAGACCACCAAACAGGCTTTGTGTGAGCAACAAGGCTGTTTATTTCACCTGGGTGCAGGCGGGCTGAGTCCGAAAAGAGAGTCAGCGAAGGGAGATGGGGTGGGGCCGTTTTATAAGATTTGGGCAGGTAAAGGAAAATTACAGTCAAAGGGGGTTTGTTCTCTGGAGGGCAGGAGTGGGGGTCGCAAGGTACTCAGTGGGGGAGCTTTTTGAGCCAGGATGAGCCAGGAAAAGGACTTTCACAAGGTAATGTCATCATTTAAGGCAAGGACCGGCCATTTTCACTTCTTTTGTGGTGGAATGTCATCAGTTAAGGTGGGGCAGGGCATTTTCACTTCTTTTGTGATTCTTCAGTTACTTCAGGCCATCTGGGCATATACGTGCAAGTCACAGGGGATGCGATGGCTTGGCTTGGGTTTGGGCTCAGAGGCCTGACATAGAGAATGTGACCATTAAGTGTGCTTCTGTGAAATCATATTAACTATCTGGGCATTTAGTAACATCAAATTATAGCCTTATATTTAATGAATGACATCTTTTATGTTCAAAATAACTATAATGTAAATCTAGTCAACATGTAATTCTAATAAAAATAGACATATTTATGCTACATTTTTAACATATGCCTTTTTGTGGGGGAAATAGAAAAACAAAGATTTTTTTTTTTAACCTGTTGATTTGGTAGTTTGGTTTGCAAATCCAAACTTACTAAAACTACAAAATTACAATTCAAATTTTATATCAACACACTTCCAAATGAGGAAAGTAAATATGAATTTAGGAACATTTTTATTACTGAGGAGCTAATAACTTTCCAGAACTGATAATGGAAATTGGCTATGTGAAATTGCATTTCTTTTATGAACTATAACAAGATATACGGCCTTATAGTTTCGATTCACTTAGCCACCAACTGATTGGTCTTTTGACTAGATATTCAAAATGTAGTTTTAAATTGAGCTGTTATGAAATTGAAAACTCTAAAAAATTTTCATCTTTGTCAGATTACTGTAATTAGAAATAACCCAGTTTCTACATGCTATCTTTCATATAATGTGGGCCTGAGAAATTAGCAAATTAAATTTTAGTGTGGGCAGCAATGTTAAGTATTTGTCTGAATAGCTGAAGCTAACTTTTACATATTCTTACCTGGAAATAGAACAGGCCAAAGAACAGTCACTCTGGCCATATACATATCAATAAGGCTTGGTAGAAAGTTTAGGGAGGAAAGAAGAGAATACAAAGAATAACACACTACTAAAGTTCTCCTTCCCTCCAATCTCTACCTTTTCCTCTATCATGCAAAACTGTCCCTGTGCAAACCTGAATTAAGCAAAGACACATGGCTTCTTCCAGGGAGTTTGCTGAGCTCTAGGTTAAAGTTGTTTTCTAACCCCTTGAGATGTGCCAAATGATAATGGTTGCAGTACAGCCAACAAGAATTTCAGTCTGGAAGCTGGAACAACTTTAAAACTATTATGTGTGTTCATCCAGGTTTCTTCCTTTTGAATAAAATATGGTGACTTCTCTTGTTTGATGAGGTAATCTCTAGGAGTACATTTAATATTTGCCCTTTGTAGAAAGAATAAAATAAAGGTACTAAAATTCTGATCATAAACATTTCAGACCACTCTGTTTTAGTGAACTGTAGCCCCTTATTGCAAGAACAGATGTTAATTTGTGGCATTTGGTATATTTTAATCATTGAGAAACAAAGAAAACTTTTATCAGGTATTTCACGGCACTAACTTTTTTTGTCTCCTTTGCCACTACTTTCCAGTGTTTGCTTTTGGCAGCACTCTAGTCCTACATCTAGACAACCAGCAAGTGAAGAGGATTTTTGGTTTAGCAAATCTTTTGGGGGTCCCCAAAAAGGAAAACAGTTTTGTTGAAACTTGTCTGTTATTGGATCCTCTGTTTAATTAACTCATTGAAGACATGTTATAACAGGAAAAGATCAGATATTTATTATTTTAATTGTAAAAATTAAAAAGTAATTAAAACAGTAGTCATGACAAAGTTTTTACAGAGTAGTCATTAACCAAATTCTAGTTCCTTGATAGACTAGAGACAATATAAACAACCCCCAAATTTTTCAGAGTGATTAAAAACCTTCAATATTAGTAATTTACCCTTATGTCCAAATACATCGTGGTACTGACTTTAAAACAAAATGTTTGACTAACTCTTTTCGCTTTTTATAAAATAAATGTGTTTGAACAGAAACCAAGCTCACGGAAAATGTACTTATCTGGGTATGGTGTGGAGCTAGCAATTAAGAGTACAGAATACAAAGCACTGGATGATACCCAAGTTAAAAGTAAGTTCTCTATCTCAGTACTTGAGTAGAATGAAAAGTTGGAGGCTTTTACATACTTTAGTTTTTTAAAAATTTAATGAGTATAATCCTACATATGTTCATTTGAGGCTAGAGATGGGGTGGACATATTCTTCATTAAAATTTGGAATTAAATTTTCAGCTGAAAGAAATGTATTTAATATTATTGGTTATCAAAATTTCTTTAAAAATATGAAATCGTATGTTATTTTGCTGATACCCGATGGGCTCCCAACCATTTCAGCACCATGTAACAATTGATAGTATATGTAAGGTACACTGTGGCAATAGATGAGGCTGATTATTGCTAGAGGTGACTGGCATAGGCATCTGGGTCTCGCCCATGTAAGGAAGTTTTGTCTGAAATATTTATTTGAAATGAAATTAGGATGGTAGTTTTTTTTTTTCTATCCTGAAGCAGGATGAGAGAGTCCTATGAATTGTTTAGATGAAGTAGATTCATTAGATTTGTGATCTACTAACCAATATCTATCTGTATTTTATGAACTAAATGCATACTCTAGATGAAGAGACTCTGAAGACTTAAATAAACTAAACAAGTTCTCAGAACACTTATGGAAGTCTTTTATTACCTGGTTCATGTCAAATTTATTTATGCCTGATTCTTGGTCAAGAGTTTTATGTTTATTCTCTATATGCACTCAGATGAGGCTCCTGCTTCAACTTTGTTTTTTCATATAGAGGCCCTGCCTTGATCACAGACTTCTCTCTGGCTCCTCCTACTGAATGTGCTTCAGATAAAGATCGTATTACTGTAATTTAAATATTTTTGGTTAAAGAGTTACTGAAAAAGTATAGTAAAAATAATACTCTGATTTTATGTATTTCTCTATAGCTTGTGTATAGCTCTACAATGCTTTATAATTTACTCTCTTGTAGTCACGATAGCAATTTAAGGCATTTTTAGCTTTAAAAAGTCAGATGGTCACATATGTATCATCTGTATTATTATGCACTGCATTCTGTCATCAACCTTTTACACACACTTGGAATATGTCTTCGCCTGTCAATTCTAGTTGCCACTCCTTAGTGCAGTTCTTTTTTTCTCTGTATACATGTATCAGACCTTTAACTAGCCATCTCTCTGATCTTAGGTCTTCAGTGCCCTTAATCTCACCACCCCTCAAAACAGATTAATCAATCTAATCTCCACAGTACTTTCCAAATGAACTTCTGATGTTGAAAATCTGACTTTGTGATTCCACTGGTTAAATCCTTTAGTGGCTCCCTATAACCTCTCTCAAAAATTCAGAACATAGCAAACAAAGCTTTTCACAATCTGATTTCTTACTGCCTTTTTACTGTCCTTCAGCCCTCTCTAATTTGTGTCCTCTTGCCTGAAACACTAAACTACTTACTATTTAGAATAATTTTCTGTTCCCTGGATGCTTTTATGCATGGGCTCCATGGGAAGTCTTTATGACCTCTCCTACATTCATCCCTTAGCATATGCTGTTCCTTTTGCCTACCGCTGTCTTCACTTCTTTCATTTCTTCTAAAGACTTCACATCTTTTTCTTTTTTTTCCTGAGATGGAATCATTGCTCTGTCACCCAGGCTGGAGTGCAGTGGTGTGATCTCAGCTCACTGCAACCTCTGCCTCCCGGATTGAAGCAATTCTCTTGCTTCAGCCTCCTGAGTAGCTGGGATTACACGCGCCTGCCACCATACCTGGCTAATTTTTGTATTTTTAGTAGAGACGAGGTTTCACCATGTTGGCCAGGCTGGTATTGAACTGACCTTGTGATTCACCCACCTCAGCCTCCCAAAGTGTTGGGATTACAGGCGTGAGCCACCACACCTGGCCAGACTAATAAATATATCAGTCTGTGCCTCTGAGATGGCTGCCTATCTTGCTGCTCTGTTAGAGAATGCTCTTCTCTTTTCTATATCCCATATCTTTCTGTGCCTTCTTTTAGAAAAGTTCATGGTCTGTATTTTTTGTGTCTCTGTTGTTCTTGGTGTCTATCCTGTCATAGACACCTCATAGTAAGCAGTCAATAAATGTTTGCCCAATGAATGAATGAACAAACAAGAGGAAAAGGATGACTAGATCAAAGTACCCAGGGTTGCTTTTACTTATAGTCCTAGAGATTCAGAGTCTCAGAAAAGTAAGAAAGAGTAAGCGTAATTGCTGAGCTCTGATAAACTCTGATAGAGAGCCACCCCACACACTATAAGAGGTCACAGTCTTTATGATCCTAAAGCACCCTTCACATATTACACCAACCAGACTGTATAGTATAATTATTTGGTATGTAAGGGAGAAGGGAAATGACTATAAAATATTATATCTTTATTCTTTGAGACCATGAGTTTTGGTGTCTTTCTAAATGTTCCTTGATTATCTTTAAAGGTGTTGGAAATATGTAGGAACTCATATTTAAACTTAGGGTTTGGACCTCCTGCCTCACTTAAAAGCTAAACCCAGCATTTGTTACAGGCCTTTTGGCTTATTTCTGATTATGAAATAGAACTTGACTATTAACTAATCTATAAAGCACTTTATTATAGTTGCTAAGTATTTAATCAAGCATGTTAAAAAAGATAGCTCACACTTAGGAATGTTAGCCTGTACACATGCATATATATGTATTAATCTGGTCCATGAAGGAAAAACAAGGTAAAACGAATGGAATTTCATTTCATTGTGAGTTCTAATTTTTTTTTTTTTTTTTAGACACGGTCTTACTCTGTCACCCAGGCTGGAGTGCAGTGGCACGATCTCAGTCCACTGCAACCTCCACCTCCCAGGCTCAAGCCACTCTCCTGCCTCCCAAGTAGCTGGGACTGCAGGCGCACACCACCACACCTGGCTAATTTTTGTATTTTTAGTAGAGACAAGGTTTCACTGTGTTGGTCAGGCTGGTCTTGAACTCGTGAGCTCAAGTGATTTACCCACCTCGGCCTCCCAAAGTGCTGGGATTACAGGCATGAGCTGCCGCACCTGGCCAAGTTCTTCTAATTTTTGATTACATGTTCTTTTCCCAGTCTGAAAATATTTTTGTTGTTTTTTGGTTTTGTTTCCAAAATGTAGCTGTGACTAATACTACTGTAGAGGATGAGACTGAAACAAATGAAGTTCAAGGATTTCTCTTTGGGAAACTAAAGTAAGTCTGAATGGAAATGAAATTGGTATTATTATACCCATTGGTTTTTAAGGAATTAATTTGATATACTGTTTTGCCATATGCTTCACCTTTCTTTTATGTAGAAAGTACAAACACACACACATACGATTGTTTTTATTTATTACAGAAGTAACACATGGCTAATGTCAAAAAGCTACAGAAAGCAGAAAAGCACATTTAAAAATAATCACTAATTTCACAATTAAAGAGATAACTCATAATGTTTTGGTGTACAGTATGTTTTTCCAGTCTTTCTGTGAATATTTTTATAGCATCAAATAAATGCATACACAACATATTGTTTTGCACAGTAGAACCATAGTGTGTAGCTGTTTTTTTCACATCTTGTGGATAGTCCATCATTTATTGAAACAGTCCCATAGAACAGGACTTTAAATTCTTTCCCTACTTTTTCATTTAATTTTTTTTTTGTGTACCAGTTTGTGTGTATTGCAGATTTTCCTTAGCACAAATTTCAGGAAAATAGTTGATAAAGTATATGTGCTTCTTGAAATTTTTGATTCATACTTGTAAACTACCCTCATAAAATTGTACTAACATGGACACTCACCCCAGAATGTGAAATGTGTTCACTTCCCAGAACTTTAATTAATAACCACTCATACTATTTTTAAAATCTTTTTCAGTTTAATAAATGAAATGTTGTTTCTTTTTTTAAAAAAGTGTATTTAATTCACTGGATTGAACCAATTTTATAATTTGTCTCCAAGAAAGTCAACTATTGGCAGTCTATTATTGCAAGGATTAACTTTTTTTCATGTTTATTGGCCTTGGAATTTCTTCTTGAGTAAATTGCTTATTCCTAACTTGTGCTCATTTGTTCTTGCTGTGTTTATCTTTTTTTACTAATTATAACAGCTCTTTATAAAAAATTCTGAAACCTTTGCCACATATTGAATTACTTACTGTCGAAGTTTATTTTCATATTAATCTTAAAGATGGAAGTTTTTTTCATTAGATACAACTGTTATGTTTACATTGAGAGTGGGATTTTATTTCTGAAACTCTGGTGGTATCCCTGGGATAACTAGAAAATTTGAAATTTAAGACTTTCGATACCTATGGTTGGTAACTGTTAAATATGCATGTTTTTCTCCTTTTACCCAGAATAAATTATTTGTCCCATAAATAAAGTTCATTTATAGAATGGCTAAACCTCAAAGACATGAAACAACAAACATAAGGCAACAAATAAATTGTTAAATATTTATTAGCCTTGTAGCATTTTTTGATCCTGTTCTTCATTTGCACTATATGGTGCTATCACCATACAAATTATGATTTCCCATATTCGAAAGTAGTACTTTTCTTTATTCTAACACAGCTGCCATAAAAGTCAAGTAAATAATTGGTATAGTACATACTTGTTTAGGAAGTTTTTAAATTTGGAGAGAAAAAATAATATAATTTAGTAATAAAGCATTTTAACAATTCATGGAATATAATAAGCATTAATGTGTTTGTTAAACATGAATAAAATAAATGAAAATTATAATTATTAAGTTATTATTTATTAAAATAGTTTCACAAAATGCTGCCAAGAAAAAACTGCCTAAATTGAATTTCTTTTGAGGAAAAAAATTAAGTAAATCATTATTTTTTAAAATAAATATTGTAATAATGTTAGCTAATATTTACTATTTTTAAACTCAGTGTTATTTTTACTGTTTTTTAATAAATTAACTTGGCAAGCTGTGGTAAATATTCCTCTTTATTATATTGGTTTCTTTATTTTTAGGGAGTTCTAATACATCTGACATTCATAAAGTATGAGATACTTAAAATCACTTTTCATATGATAAATTTGACTTAGTGTGCTTAGAGAAACAGGAGTTGATAAAGTTCTGACAGAAAACTAAAAACTTTATAGAATCTAGAACTTTACTGATCTAATGAGTTACAAAAATCATTGATAATATTGGACCTTTAGCTTGAACAAATGTATAGCCCCAAAGAAAAGAAAACGTTTATTACTCAAATTTTCTGTACTACAGATTACCATTTCATATACATATATAAGTAAGCTTTCAAAAATTAAAGTTATACCCCCCCCTTTTTTTCCTGCCACGCTGATTGAAGACAAGGAATAGCATGGTGAGTGCTCTATGAATACTCATGAATGGGGATGGCTGTAATTTCATGTACATTTTCCCTTATTTACAAGTGAAAGTTTATGATTTCTTTATCCAGGCAAAATTAATTAAAGAAATATTTTTATTAACACCTTTAGTTCTTGTTTAGTATTACAGTCATTTATGAAGGACTCTCAGGGTGGTTCTCCTGGTGATGAGTAGATAACTATAGACAGTAAGGATAAGATTTTTGGAGACTATGCTAATTTATATGGATAACTATGTTACATTTTTAAAGTATGTTGGCCAGTCAGTATACTCTAGTGGCCTTAAAATGTTAATACAGCTTACAAAATGGTTTTATTCTAAGTAAGGTATTTATTTAGCAGCTAACAATACATTTTTATCCCATTTTCAGCTATCTCAACATCTTGGAATTTATAGTTCTTTTCTCTTTTGAATATAACTTTTTATGGGATTAAATTGCATTTTCTCCAAAAGATCACGTGGAACACTGGGCTATTTTAATTTTAATTTAATTTTATTTTATTTCAACTTCTATTTTAGATTCAAGGCATACACGTGCAGGTTTGTTACATGGATATATTTTGTGATGCTGAGGTTAGGGGTATGAATGATCCCATCACCCAGGTAGTGAGCATAGTACCCAACAGGTAGTTTTTCAGCCCTTGCCATCTTCCCACTCTAATAGACCCCAGTATCTATTATTCCCATCTTTATGTTCGTGTATACCCAATGCTTAGTTCTCACTTATAAGTGAGAACACAGGGTATTTGGTTTTCTGTTCCTGTGTTAATTCACTTAGGATAATGGCCTACCGCTGCATTCATGTTGCTGCAAAGGGCAGGATTTTCCATGGTGGTATATGTATCCCATTGTCTTTTTCCAGTTTGCCATTGATGGCACCTGGGTTGATTGCATGTCTTTGCTATTGTGAATAAGTGCTATGATGAACATATGAGTGCATATGTCTTTTTGTCAGAATTATTTATTTTTCTTTGGGTGAATACCCAGTAATGAGATTACTGGGTTGAGTGGTAGTTTGAAGTTCTTTGAGAAATCTCCAAACTGCTTTTTGCAGTGGCTGATCTAATTTACATTTCCACCAACAGCATATAAGCATTCCCTTTTCTCTGCAGCCTTGCCAGCATCTGTTACTTTTTGACTTTTTGATAATAGCCATTCTGACTGGCGTGAGAGGGTATCTCGTGGTTTTGACTTGCATTTCTCTGATGATTAGTGATGTCGAGCATTTTTTCATATGTTTCTTGGCTGCTTATATGTTTTCTTGTGAGAAGTGTCTGTTCATGTCTTTTGCCTAGGAAACCCTAAAGACTCCGCCATAAGGCTCCTAAAACTGATAAACAACTTCTGTAAGTTTCAGGATACAAAATCTGTGTACAGAAATCAGTAGCATTACTAAAAGCCAATAATGTTCAAGCTGAGAGCCAAAACAAGCAGGCAATCCCATTTACAATAGCCACACACCAAAAAAAGTATGTAGGAATACATTTAACCAAGGAGGTGAACCATCTCCACAAGAACTACAAAACACTGCTGAAAGAAATCATAGCTGACACAAACAAATGGAAAAACATTCCATGCTCATGGATTGGAAGAATGAATGTCATTAAAATGGCCATACTGCCAATCTACAGATTCAGTGCTATTCCTGTCAAACTACCAATGTCATTTTTCACAGAATTAGAGGAATCTATTCTAAAATTCATATGGCTATTCATTTTTTTTTCTTTTCTTTGAGACGGAGTCTAGCTCTAGCTCTGTCACCCAGGCTGTAGTGCAGGGGAGCCATCTCGGCTCACTGCAACCTCTGCCTCCCGGGTTCAAGCAATTCTCCTGCCTCAGCCTCCTGAGTAGCTGGGATTACAGGCGTCTGCCACCACTCCCAGCTAATTTTTGTATTTTTAGTAGAGATGGGGTTTCACCATGTTAGCCAGGATGGTCTTGATCTCCTGACCTCCTGACCTCGTGATCCGCCTGCCTCGGTCTCCCAAGGCTATTCATTTTTAAAAGGGAATACTCAAAATTAGTCTTCCACAGTGACTCAGTGACTGCTCATTTCAAAGCAAAAATCCTTTGAGGTACTTTATGAATAATATATATGTTGCCTAAATTATATAAAGAATTTTAGCAGTGAAAGTTATTAAGATGATGATTAAATATGAAAATTGGTATAGTAGCTCTTATAAACTTATAATCTGATAACTTAAAAATATTGAAAAAGGAAATGTTTGCTTAATTCATAGTGAACTTCTTTTAGAAAGAAATGCCATTGTACTTTTATTATCATAGCAATTTTGATTTGTTTTCAAAACATGATCCCACATTGTAGTAAACCTGTAAGATATTGACACTGTACTATATATATTTATTCGTAACTATAAGATTACCATATTTATGTATATTCTGTATTTTTTATTTCACTTTTCAAAGGCTTGTCTATTGACTATTGAAAATACGTGTTTTCAATGAGACACCATCTCACACCAGTTAGAATGACAATCATTAAAAAGGAAACGACAGATGCTGGAGGGGATGTGGAGAAATAGGAAGGCTTTTACACTGTTGGTGTGTGTGTAGATGAGTTCAACCGTTGTGGAAGACAGTGTGGCAATTCCTCAAGGATCTAGAACCAGAAATACCATTTGACCCAGCAATGCCCATTACTGGGTGTATACCCAAAGGATTATAAATCATTCTACTATAAAGACACATGCACACGTATGTTGATTGTAGCACTATTCACAATAGCAAAGACTTCGAACCAACCCAAATGTCCATCAATGATAGACTGGATAAAGAAAATGTGGCACATATACACCATAGAATACTCTGCATCCATAAAAAAGGATAAGTTCATGTCCTTTGCAGGGACATGGATGAAGCTGGAAACTATCATTCTCAGCAAACTAACACAGGAACAGAAAACCAAACACCACATGTTCTTACTCAAAAGTGGGACTCGAACAGTGAGAACACATGGACACAGGGAGGGGAATATCACACACCGTGGCTTGTCGGGGGTGGGGAGCTAGGAGAGGGATAGCATTAGGAGAAATACCTAATGTGGATAACGGGTTGATGGGTGCAGCAGACCACCATGACACGTGTATACCTGTGTAACAAACCTGCACGTTCTACACATGTATCCCAGAACTTAAAGTATAATAAAATGAAAATATGTATTTTGTAAGTTGTGCTGATAGTAACTTTTTTAAATTGTATTTCTCCATTTAAATCTGAAATGGCACCATGTCTTGATTTCATGAGTGATAGAGGAAAGAAGATTACAGTTTAGATTGTGTGTATAGTAAAATACCATTCTACTACATCATTATTTGGCTCTCTAAAAGATGCCTAGAGATGTTTAACAATGGGTAAAATTATCTTATTTTAGTTTTTTATAAGAATCAAAGATGGAACTTTTCAGAAATAAACTCTGATTGTATGAGGCATTTTTGACTTTCCTTATAGTTTTTATTTTCAATTATAAAAGCAAGGCTTGCAATTTATAAAATGTTAAACAAAAAGTATGTAATATGAAAACATAAGTCTGCCCTCATCCTTGCATCGCTTACAGTTGACACTAACAATTGAGAGTATATTCCTCCAGATTTTGTTTTGTTTCATATATTTAATAAAAGAGACCTGTATATCTTCCTCATTATTTTTAAGTTCCGTGAATATAGCTGTATCACAATTTATGATTATCTTAATGATGAATGATTCATTTATGTCTAATTACATGGAATATGTAATTTCAAAAATATGCTGTTTGTATAATGGTTTGTGATAGGTGATGCTACTTAACATCACTTAATATTTTGATGCAGAGAAATATATTCAGATCTTAGAGATAATCTGACAGCATTCCAAAAATACCTGATTGAGAGTAACAAACAAATGATGCCTTTGAAAGTCTGGGAACTACAAGGTATAGTATTTTGAGATACTTTAACACAGCATTTTGGTAACTGATCTGTTTTGTTAAATAAGCTTTTATATATCACATGATATAGATTATTTTATGGACAGTATTAATGACTAGTGAATAATATAAATTATGATTTTTTGTGGCAATACCTATTTAACAGATCATCCCTCAAGCAAGCTATATTTTTATATTTGCAAGACTTAAAATTATATGAAGTGAGGTTATTCAATGTTATTTCAAAAGTATATACTGATTTATAGGTTAGTCTCAAGTATTAAATCACATTTGTGGAGACTATAACTGATTAAAAGTCCTAACTCCTAGGTAAGGAGAAAATGAAACTTAATCTTGGTTTTCTTCTTTTTGAAATTTAGATCCTGTTAAGACTATTGCATGTTTCATTGATAAATGTTTAATGGAAACATCAAATGGAGGACATGCAGTTTTACAAAGTTAGGAACAGCTTCTGTACTGAAAACCTACAAGCAGATATTTTGTGAACAAAATTTGATTTGGTTTGAACTTTTAAGTACTTTTCAATTTATAATTTTTCTTCTTTATTTGTAATGATTTAGTAGGTCATGGGGACATGTCATCTTTCTGCATAATCTAACTTTTGTCATCTTTTATCAACTTTTAAAAATATAACAGCTTAATAAGCTCTTTTGTTAAATAAGCTTTTATATCTCAGATGATATAGATTATTTTATAGACATTAGTGATGTAAATAATGACATTACTATAATAATACTATTCATACTAATACGTTCACATACTATTCAATTTGCCCTTTTAAATTCTACCATTCAATAGTTTTTAGCATATTTTTAGAATGCTGCCACTCTTAACACAGTTGATTTTAGAAAATTCTCATCATCCCCCCAAAAAACTAACACCCTCATTAGCAGTCACTCCTCATTTCCCAACTCCCCAGTTGTAGGCAACCACCAATCTACTTTCTGTTTTTAAAATAACAACTAAAAGGATATTTACAGGCCACTCTCACTAGTATAACTTACTTATAACATACAAATAATATTTTATATTTCATCTGGATTATAGTTTACAGAGTCCTTTCATATAAACTATCTTATTTAAGTGCCAGTTACCACACAGCTAATAAGTGAAGATTTTGGTCCAAGTAAAATTCTTTATACTGTACCATATGGTATCTAGGTAAACTTTATATACACTTAACAGAATATTGAATGTTACATTTTAAAATTATAGCAGAATGTGCAAGACACAATCTATTAAGTTTTATAACTTCTGCTATTCTTTACCTACCTAATACAAATGTTGTATCAACTAAGCCCTGTATCATTAGAAAATCAATATATCAATAGAAAAATCATTCAGCAGAATGAGATTCAAGGCCATTGTTATGATAGATTTACTGTAAAGAATCTACCTCTTTGAACTGATAGAATCTATTCTCCCTGGACCCTTCTGGTGTACAGTTTCCTATTTAATGTCTCATCTAGACCTCATGCTTAGACCTCCTTTTATTATACCACAGCCCTTGTGACTGTTCTTTCACTTGACATCATGATAACACTAAACTGAGGTAGTAGTTTCAAATTCATTCTCAATAAGGTTACTGAGATAATCTTTCTAAAATGAAAATCTGATTTTGGCCTTGTGTCAAATCAGCCAGGCTTTATCACTTGTACATCCCTGATCAAATAGTGGCCTTACATTAGTCCCCACAGGAAAATGTTGGCACACACAAACTAAAAAGTTTAATAAAGGGACTTTTTACAGAGACAGGCATGATTGAGGGAAACCAACAAGGAATGGATTATTCGATTCCAGTATTTGCAACTAGATGGAAACATTTTCTACCCCTAATCTTGAGGGAGCAAGAGGAGAGAGTGGTTACCAAAACCTGGAGAGTGTGTCGAGAGAGCTGCTTGACACAGCAGTAGTACCCCGAGGGACTGTCCTCTGTGTATCAAGGAAGGGATCTGGGTAGTAACTATTCCACTCCTTACTCTTTTCTTGCTTACTGATCCCATATTAGTTACTTGGATTGGCTGAATCTAACTAGAAATCTGAGGGCAAGGGAGCTTATTGATGCAGTTCAGATAGGCCAGCCTTTTGGGGGCCCGGAGCAGGAAAGAGTGGATGCGGGGGGCAAACAAAGTATGCAGTCCTCTTCTCTGAGAAAGTTCTGTTTTTCCAAGGTAAATACTTCTGGAGAGACTTCGAATGTAAGAAGGGGTTGATAGGACTAGCTAGCCAAGTCATTTGCATCATTAAGGACTGATTTCATGCACATCCATTAAAAGTATTAAGTTTAAACCCCTTAGCATGGTTTGTGAAGCTCTTGTCTAAGTTCTAATAGAGCTTATATTCCTAAATCCATAATTTCAGATAGTCTCTTTCTAGTATCTTCAATTATTTTTAGATCCTTTTTTATGTCTCTATTTTAGCACTTTTTAAAAAGTATAATTATGTTTTAAGCCTCCTTCAAAATGTTCTCTAAGGGGCCTTTGCATAATTTAGAAAAGTATAAGTGATGGGGTGTTTTTGAAGGCCTTTAAGCAAAGAGTATGCATAGTCAGCTTAGTTCTAGTTGACTCCCTAATGTCTGTGTAAGATGTATTTCAATGGACTAAAAGCAAGAAATCTAGGTAGACATTACTGAAATAGTGATAGAAGGCATATAAATATTTAGAAGGTGAAAAGGAGTCAAAGATAATTCTAGGATTTCTAGCTTGAGCCTGAGTAGAGAGAATATATAAAACATGTAAGCAGACTTTGGGGCTGAATATGGGACTCAGAAATAATGAGACTAGTGTTGAAAGGTTGATTTAAAGTCATTGTAAGATATCCAGATGGTTAGGTTCAGTGGTGGGGTGAGTATCCTGTCCTTAAGCTAAAGGAGAAACAATCTGCCTCACTGTTGAGGTAGGTAATGAAAGAATTTAGTTTTAAATCTTTTCTGACTCTTGACAAAGTAATAATACTAAGATGAATTCTTCTGACATGTTTGAAACTAACCACAGTTAGCAACACACATTTTTCTTTTTATAGGATTGTCATATCAGATAAAATAATACTAAGTTTAGGATTTTATTTCAGCACAAAGGTAAAACAATGTTGAAAGAGAAATTGAATGTTTCTATTTACTGAGTTAAACACAGTGGAGCTTTCTTAGAGGTCTTTTCAGAATTGGCTCTTTAAAGCTCTTTTTACTCCTCTTCATTATTCTTTTGACTTTTTGTCATATGTTTCATTTAAGTATAGAAAAAGCTTTGCGAGAGCATTTCTTTTCATATATCTCTCTCGAAATTATACTGTAATTTGTGGAAACAAGAGGTATTAAATAGTCATTCATAAAAGTATAAAGCTTATATTTGGAAATAAGTGATAACTTTACATTTAAAACTTTTTAAAAATGCAGATGTAACAGTATTAACATGTTTGTATACTAATACTTGGCAAGAAGAATTGAGTCAAGTATTTCAATTTCATGGAAATGTCTATAAAGGTCTAATATTATGCTAGATTCCTTAATAATATTTTTCCTTCCAGATCTTAGTTTTCAAGCAGCTTCTCAAATAATGTCCGCTCCAGTTTATGATTCCATTAAATTAATGAAAGACATTTCACAGAACTTCCCCATAAAAGCCAGGTATGTTAAAGTTTATAGGTTTCATTGCAGCTATAACTCTTTCTATTAAATGAGTTTTATGAAAATAGCTGATTTCATTTAACATGAAGGTGTCAATTAGTTCTAGTATATATAGCTTTTGTGAAATCAGGGCCTTTTCAATATATATATATTTTTTGATTAGAGCAAAATATTGGCTTGTGCATACATGTGTGTATGCACTGTAAGGTAGAACTCTTGTTAGAGGCAAATAGGAAAAAAAGTCCTAAAAAATTTTCTAAAATCATGCATAGTAATCTAAGGAAAAACTTGTTTAAGCAATAAATAATGAAGGAGTGTTTTTTCTTTCCCTTATGGAGGATGATAAAAAGTATTACTCTAAGTAGGAGGTCTATGCCCAAAGTACTGCCAAATCATATTCTTACCCTTTCAGAGTCCAAATGATTGGTAATGTCTTAATTGGATGAATATTGTGTGGAGTACTTTTTTGCCAAGAGGATGTCTCGTTGAACTGCTTCCATGAATACTGATGTTACATTAAACATATATTCCATTTCAATAGGAAATACATTTGCATAGCTTAAAGAGACCGGTGCATGCAATGCAAGTTACCACGTATTATGAGAATTTGCTATATAACACAACTTTGATGCAATTGTATTCTGGTTAGGGATGACAGAGTATAAAATTAGCAACAAGTAAAATATGAGTTAGCTTATACTAAAGAGATAAAATATGTGACAAGTCGCAGTGCATGGGCAACAATGGTGTTTTACTGAGAGGAATTGGAGAGCAGTCTACTAGCTTAGCATACCTTCCTAAGCATAGAATGATTGCTATGCCTCTTATTGTCCCAAACACTATTTTGTACATTTATTCATCATACAGATTACAGAATCTTCAATATATGTATTCTTTAATTTTGAAAGTAAATAAATAGTACATGGTTGGCTACAAGATACCAAGGATTTTTTGGTGGTACCTTGAAATAAAGGAGTTTGTTTCCTTATTTACAGATTAAGAATGAATATATTGATATGCCTCTTTCAGTCAACTTTAAATGTCAAGAATTTGAGAAGTCGTCATTTATATAATAAAACATGAAATATATATGGGTGTGTATAAATGTCATATCTGTTTAGCCATAATATTTTAATTAATGGCCGTTATAAAAATTATTAGATCAAATACAAATAAAGTAAAATAACTTTAGTCTTGATCAGACAGTTGATTAGCTCTATTGATGCTAAGTCAGTATAACTGTTCAGAGGTTCTGATGCAAAACTCTGCTGTTAATCTGTAATTAAGAAAAAATTATAAAATATGCTAACATTGCTTAATGGCTAAATTGTAGGCTTGAGCATATCTCTAAAACCACTTGGTAGACAATCTGTAAATGTTTGTTGAAATGAAATATTTGCTAAATAAATGAAAAATTTGCCTTATTAAATTTTTAATTGTAATTTCTCACAATGCTGCCAAACTTTAGGAAATAATATATACTTATTGTGGGCTGTTTCAAGGTACACCTTTCTACTTGAGTTTTCCTTAAAGCAGAACTTTGCATTAACAATCTTTTAATTTTTTAATTCTATTTATAAAATTTGTAAAAGCTAGTCATGTTTAGGAATTATCAAGTTGAATACAGTCCATAGGAACTGTATTTTGAACACTTCTGCTGTCTTTAAATTATAAGTGAATTATAAACTCTTCAAGAGTGAATAGGCTGGGTGCAATGGCTCGCACCTATAATTTCAGCACTTTGGGAGGTGGCAGTAGGAGGGTCACTTGAGGCCAGGAGTTTTAGACCAACCCGGGCAACATAGGAAGACTCCATCTCTAGAAGAAAATTGAAAAATTAGCTGGATGTGGTGGTGTGTACCTGTAGTCCTATCTAATTGAGAGGCTGAGGCAGGAGAATCACTTGAGCCCAGGAACCCGAGACTACAGTGAGTTGTGATCATGCCACTGCAGTCCTGCTGGGTAGAAGAGTGAGACTCTGTCTCTAAAAAAATGTTTTTAATAAACAAATTGAAAAAATTGAAAGAGTGAGTGATGTAAAGCCATGATTTCAGTTTTTTAGAACATTTCTACTCTGGTAGGTTCCCAGGTTAACTAAAAAATTCTTCATGTACGTATATTCATGTACTTATACATTGGTAATTTCATACAAAATTTCTCTATTGGGCAAAATAACGCAAAACAGCTTTTTCAATGAAGTGTTTTCAAAAAATAAGTCATAGTAAATGATGACAATCCATACTGCATACAGCTAGTACACATGAAATTTTGAGAACCTCCATTCCACTTGAACCAAATACTTTTGTCAAATGAAAGCTAAATTAGGCCATATGGAAATGTATACTTTTCAGTCACAAAGGATTTGGAGTTTTTAGCTTCTTATCCAAAGTATTAGATTACATTGGGTTATATAGATCAGTTCTAAACATTTAAGGAAGGATCAATTATATTAGTATTCATTTTTCCAGATCTCTAACCAGAATTGCTGTAAATCAACATATGAGAGAAGAAATAAAGGAAAATCAAAAGGTTTGTTTGAATTCCTTTTTTAAAACATTTACCCAACTAATATCACTGTTTCTGACTTTGGATCTTCAATATTCATACAAAAAAGGAAATAGTAATTTGTGCTTTTTTGATTATTAAAACAGTCTGGGTTCTTCTATTTTTATACTGTGGACTATATGAGCATTTAATCAGCCAATCTTTTCTGACATACCTTCTACTTATTTCACAGTATATTCCAGAATTTCTTCCGAGGTAGTATGGTTTTCTTCATAGGATAAAGAATAAAGGCTGTGAGTTAATTATTCTGTTTCTTGTAATTAGTTTTGCTTAAAAGCTTGTGAAGACTGAGTCAGTGTTAGACCACTGGAACGGTAGAATCCTATAGCAGATAGAATACAATTTATCAGTGGTTTGATAAGATTCTGCCAAATGGTATCTTAAATTATCCATAGACCCCAAATAATTCTAGTTGTGTTAATATTTGTAAAGTGCTTACACCACTGCCTGGCTTTATTACATAGGACCGGTTTGGCTTTAAGTAGTATCATACCAGACTCACAGGGCCCTAAACACTAGGAGTTCATTTTTCTCACTTCTTACCTGTATTTAAAGCCAAAAGAGGCAGGGTGGATGGTACCAACCACATTTATCCTCACTAAAGCCTTCTTGGAACATTTTAGCAGACTGGTTTCTATCTCATTGGTGAGGATTTTGCCATGTGGCCACCTTAGGCTGCGCGGGAAGCTAGAAAAGCTAGTGTTTACTTTTCTAATAACGAAGCAAAGGAGAAGTGGCCTGGGTATGGTGCTAACTTAGCCAGCCAGCAGTGCCCATCATACTGAGACAGAGTGAGCTGTCAACAAATGTCAGCTGTTTTGATGACAACTACAATGATGGTAATGAAGAAAAAGATGCATAGTTCATTGGAGAACAGGTGTTAGGAACCACAACACATCATTCCTACCTGGGACATTCTTTGCCTCATTGACCACCTTACAAATTCCTGTGTATCCTTCAAAACGGATTTGTGGTATTGGTCCATTCTATGATGTTCCTAATTGTTCTTACCATTCTTCATGCAGAATGGATTGTTTTCTTATGACACACAAAGGAGTGGGTTTGGGAGTGGAGGCTTAATACGCAAAAGAAAGAGAAAGGAGAACAGCTCTCTCTCTCTTATGAGAGAGAGGGGCACCTGAATGGGAATTCGGGCTGCCTACAGAGTGCACTGGATTTTACAAATAGGCTTGAGGAGGCGGTGTCTGATTTACATAGGGCCCACAAATTGGTTGGAGCAGGTATGATGTTTTACATAATGCATGGGGAAGGCTGACCACTCCACCCTATTATGCATATGGGCTTTCCACTTGGCTGCTGCCATGTTATCTGCTTCTTACTGTACATGTGGACTGGAAAGAAGGGAAGATGGAGCTGCCGTTTTGAACATGCCTGGTCCCAGGTAACCTGTTCCTACTGGCACAATGCCAGCATTTACCTATGCAAGCTTCTAGCTTGCTTGCCTGTGTCTGCAGCTCGATTTTACAGGCTGTTCTTTGTTAGAAAATAAAATGATTTGGGGGCGGCTTTTCATTAAAAGGAAAACCTTACCGAGGACTCACTATCTGCCTAAATAATTTCTTCCTAACTGCTATATCAGAACCATGCTGGCAACCTGAGTATGCCAGCTTACTCAGGGCCACTATGGCCATCACCTTATCTACCTGTCAGCCATTTGGAATTGGCAGTGAAAGAGTTTTGAAATGAGCTTTGACTGCAGAGCAAGAAATCTTGAATTTAGTAAACTAAATAATCATGACACTGCAGATAGTCTTCTTGATCACCTACTACTTCCAGAGAACACTGAAAAGAGAAAGACAAGGATGATAATGTCTTTCATGTAACTAATCTAGGCTAAATGGGTATTTGGACTAGCAGTCCATGTTACCCACTAGCTCATGAGATGTGGGAGAAGTAATTAAAGAAACTGAAGTTCCAACCTTGGGGAAGAGGGTGGTTGTGATGAGAAGGTAAGAAAATCTTGGACTATTCATTGCAATTGCATTGCACACGGATTGGACACGAGAAAGCCCTGGAAATGTGTTTCTGTTACAGCATCTCATCCATACAAACCGAAAAGTACATTTCCTGCAAAACATGTAAACAAAATGTTCACCGAAAAAAGAAGTAATAATGGTCTTTTTTTCTTCTTCTTCTCATGCTGCAGTTTATTTACACCAGGTCAATTGCTCTGGTGTAAATTACACTTTTTAAGGATTTACTTAAGAAATTTGAAGGATTTTCCTCTGGGTCTGGGACTAAACTAAAACAAAAGTGTCTTTTTTTTTTTTTTTTTTTTTTTTTGAGACGGAGTCTCGCTCTGTCGCCCAGGCTGGAGTGCAGTGGCGCGACCTCGGCTCACTGCAAGCTCCGCCTCCCGGGTTCACGCCATTCTCCTGCCTCAGCCTCCCGAGTAGCCGGGACCACAGGCGCGCGCCACCACGCCCGGCTAATTTTTTGTATTTTTAGTAGAGGCGGGGTTTCACCGCGTTAGCCAGGATGGTCTCGATCTCCTGACCTCATGATCCGCCCGCCTCTGCCTCCCAAAGTGCTGGGATTACAGGCGTGAGCCACCGCGCCCGGCCAACAAAAGTGTCTTAAGCATAATTTTTCTCACTTGGGGGTACTGCAGAGCTCCTGGCTTTACTTAAGGAGATAAAGAGGATATGACCTTCGAGTAGAGGAGATAAGAAACATTTAGTTTAAAATAAATACATAAATAAAAGAAACATCCTGCCCACAAATATAAAAGGAAACAGGAAGAATCTTTGAGATGGAGTCTTGCTCTGTCACCCAGGCTGGAGTGCAGTGGCATGATCTTGGCTCACTGCAGCCTCTGCCTCCCGGGTTCCAGCAATTCTCCTGCCTCAGCCTCCTTGGGTAGCTGGGATTACAGGTACACGCCACCACACCCGGCTAATTTTTGTATTTTTAGTAGAGACAGGGTTTCGCCATGTTGGCCAGGCTGGTCACGAACTCCTGACCTCAGGTAATCTGCCCCGCCTTGGCCTCCCAAGAATCTTGATTCCAAAGCGACATCCAGCTCTGAAGAGCACACACTGTGGATGCTGG
Organism: Homo sapiens; assembly: GCF_000001405.40. Classification (NCBI taxonomy): domain Eukaryota; kingdom Metazoa; phylum Chordata; class Mammalia; order Primates; family Hominidae; genus Homo; species Homo sapiens. The sequence goes on along the minus strand of NC_000013.11, from coordinate 95,980,695 downwards.
GCTGCTCCATCTTCCCACTAGAGGGCGCAAAGGCTTTAGTTAAAAACCAAGCCAAACCCAAACCATCTACTTTGATCAGTTGTTTGTTTTAATTTCAGTAGGTTTTTTGGGAACAGATGGTGTTTAGTTACATCAATAAGTTATTTAGTGGTGATTTCTGAGATTTTGGTGCACCCATCACCTGAACAGTGTACCTGGTACCCAATGTGTAGTCTTTGATCTCTTGCCACCCCCCGCCCTTTCCCCCGAGTCCCCAAAGTCCAATGTATCATTCTTATGTCTTTGCATCCTCAAAGCTTAGCTCCCACATATGAGTGAGAACATATGATGTTTGGTTTTCCATTCCTGAGTTACTTCAGTTAGAATGATAGTCTTCGATTCCATCCAGGTTGCACAAATGCCATTTCATTCCTTTTTATGGCTGAGTAGTATTCCGTGGTATGTATAGGGTATTTGGGCTGATTCCATATTTTTGCAATTGCATATTGTTCTGCTATAAACATGCATATGCAAGTATCTTTTTCATATAATGACTTCCCCCCCACCCCTCTGGGCAGTTACCTAGTAGTGGGATTGCTAGATCAAATGGTAGATCTGCTTTTACGAATCTCCACATTGTTTTCCATAGTGATTGTACTAGTTTACATTCCCACCAACATTGTAAAAGTGTTCCCTTTTCACCACATCCGTGCCAACATCTGTTACTTTTTGGTTTTTTAAATTATACCCATTCTTGTAGGAGTGAGGTGGTATTGCATTGTGGTTTTGATTTGCATTTCTCTGATACTTAGTGATGTTGAGCATTTTTCCATATGCTTGTTGCCCACTTGTATATCTTCTTTTGAGAATTGTCTAATTCATGTTCTTAGCCCACTTTTTGATGGGATTTTTTTTTCTTGCTGATTTGAGTTCTGTGTAGATTCTGGATATTAGTCCTTTTTCGGATGTGTAGATTGTGAAGATTTTCTCCCACTCTGGGCTGTCTGCTAACTCTGCTGTCCTTTTTAATTTAAGGTCTTTAAATACATAATAACAATCTTTCCTTACTCATAATAAGAAGAATACAGATCAGAATTAAACTGAGAAAGAAAGATTTCAAAAAGTTGGCAGGGCATTCTGTAAGCAAGTCTGTATTTTTTTTTTTTTTGCGTAAGAGACCAGGGGAAATGAGAATATATATTTACCTATTCTAGTTTTTGCATGAAGAAATACTAGAGGATGGAGAAGAAACTTTGGGAGAAAATTTTGCCTATAAGAGCCAGGGATGAAACGGGTGAAGGGTGCCAGGATTGGCATAATTCTTCTAGTGTAGCTTTTTATATAGTTTTTGACTTGGGACTCAAGCAAAGATTATTCAAAAACTATGACTATGCTCAAGTTGTATAACTGAATTTGAGTTTGGTTTTATTTAGGAGACAACTGCTTTAACTCCAAAGTACAGCAAATTTCCTTTGGAAGTTCATAATTGTTGTTAATTTGCTGTGAGTGGCCAGAATCTGCTTTTGGTGATTTTAAATTGTCAACCCAACATACGTCTTTGTTGTTTATTGCAAGAATTGTTATAGTCCATGACATTTTTTATTTGCTTCAAAATAAAATGAGGATATGATCAGGTGGTCAGGTAACTTTTTATGATTCAGCAGAGTGGAACAAATAATTTCAATTACATAATTGCTTAATGAACCAAATGCAGATACTTGAATTAACTAAAATGCAGATATTCAAATAAAGGATTGCACCTTACCCAAATAAAAGTTGATGTTGCTTCTAATTATTTCTAACTACTTTGTGTGAGAATTATACAGAGTTCTGGAGACATTACCTATATTAGAACATCATCTCTCAAAACTACATCTGTAAATCATACTTTTTAAGTCTTATCTTGTCTTATTCCTTATTCTGAAAATGACAACATTTCTATTAAGATTTATATCTGATTTGACTTCAAATTTTAATCGTAAAGAATGAAACTAGACCCCCATCTCTCACCATATACGAAAATCAAATCAATAGGGGTTAAAGACTTAAATGTGAGACCTGAAACTGTGAAACTGCTAGAAGAAAACATTGGGGAAATGCTTTAGGACATTGGTCTATGCAAAAATTTCTTGAGTAAGAACTGAAAAGCACAGGCAACCAAAGCAATTTGGACAAATGGGATCATATCAAGATAAAAATGTTCTGTACAGAGAAGGAAGCAGTCAACAAAGTGAAGAGAAAATCTACAGAATGGGACAGAGTATTTTCAGATTATTCAACAGTCAAGGGATTGATAACCAGAATATATAAGGAGCTCAAACAACAGCAAAACAATGAATAATCTAATTTTAAAATAGGCAAAAAATTTGAATAGGCATTTCTCAAAAGAAGGCATACAGATGGCCAACAGTGATGCTCACCATCACTAATCGTCAGGGAAATGCAAATCAAAACCACAATGAGATAGTGTCTCACGTGTTAAAATGACTTTTTTCTTTTTTGTAAGTTTGCTCTTTTTTTAATTTTAATTTTACTTTAAGTTCTGGGATACATATGCAGAACATGCGGGTTTGTTACGTAGGTACACTTGTGCCATGGTGGTTTGCTGCCCCTATCAACCCATCATCTAGGTTTTGAGCCCTGCATACTTTAGGTATTTGTCCTAATGCTCTCTCTCCCCTTGCCCCCTACCCCCTGGCAGGCCACATGTGTCCATGTGTTCTCATTGTTCATCTCCCACTTATGAGTGAGAACATGCAGTGTTTCACTTTCTGTTCCTATGTTAGTTTGCTGAGAATGATGGCTTCTAGCTTCATCCATGTCCCTGCAAAGGACATGAACTCATTCTTTTCTATGACTGCATAGTATTCCATGGTGTACATGTGCCACATTTTCTTTATCCAGTCTATCATTGATGAGCATTTGGGTTGGTTCCAAGTCTTTGCTGTTGTAAATAATGCTGCAATAAACATACGTGTGCATTTGTCTTTATGGTAGAATGATTTATAATCCTTTGGGTATATACCCACTAATGGGACTGCTGGGTCAAATGGTATTTCTGGTTCTAGATTCTTGAGGAATCGACACTGTCTTCTACAATGGTTTAACTAATTTAAATTCCCATCAATAGTGTAAAAGCATTCCTGTTTCTCCACATCCTCTCCAGCATCTGTTGTTTCCTGACTTTTTAATGATCACCATTCTAACTGGCATGAGATGGTATCTCATTGTGGTTTTGATTTGCATTTCTCTAGTGATAATGAACTTTTTTTCTTATGTTTGTTGGCTGCATAGATGTCCTCTTTTGAGAAGTGTCTGTTCATATCCTTCGCCCACTTTCTGATGGAGTTGTTTGTTTTTTCTTGTAAATTTGTTTAAGTTCCTTGTAGATTCTGGATATTAGACCTTTGTCAGATGGGTAGATTGCAAAGACTTTCTCCCATTCTGTAGGTTGCCTGTTCACTCTGATGATAGTTTCTTTTGCTGTGCAGAAGCTCTGTAGTTTGATTAGATCCCATTAGTCAATTTTGGCTTTTGTTGGAATTGCTTTTTGGTATTTTAGTCATGAAGTCTTTGCCCATGCCTGTGTCCTGAATGATATTGCCTAAGTTTTCTTCTAGGATTTTTATGGTTTTAGGTTTTACATGTAAGTCTTTAATCTATCTTGAGTTAGTTTTTGTATAAGGTGTAAGGAAGGGGTCCAGTTTCTGTTTTCTGCATATGGCTAGCCAGTTTTCCTAGCACCATTTATTAAATAGGGAATCCTTTCCTCATTGCTTGTTTTTGTCAGGTTTGTCGAAGATCAGATGGTTGTAGATGTGTGGTGTTGTTTCTGAGACCTCTGTTTTCTTCCTTTGATCTATGTATCTGTTTTGGTACCAGTACCATGCGGTTTTAGTTACTGTAGCCTTGTAGTATAGTTTGAAGTCAGCGTGATGCCTCCAGCTATGTTGTTTTTGCTTTGGATTGTCTTGGCTATACGGGCTCTTTTCTGGTTCCATATGAAATTTAAAGTAGTTTTTTCTAATTCTGTGAAGAAAGTTGATGGTAGCTTGATGGGAATAGCATTGAATCCATAAATTACTTTGGACAGTATGGAAAATGGCTTTTTTCTAAAACAAAAAAAATAACAGATTCTGGGAAGGATACAGAGAAAGGGGAACCCTTGTGCACTGTTGGTGGGAATGTACATTAGTAAAGCCACAATGGAAAACAGTAGTATAGAGGTTCACAAAAAAAATGAAAAATAGAATTACCATATGATCCAGGAATCCCACTGCTGGATATATACCCAAAAGTAAGGAAATTAGTATATCAAAGAGATATCTGCACTGCCATGTTTATTAAAACACTATTCACAATAGCTAAAATATGGATTCAAGCTAGGTGTCCATTAATGGATGGGTGGATAAAGGAAATTTGGTACATAGACACAATGGAATATTATTTAGTCATAAAAAAGAAATCCTGTCATCTTTAGCAACAATAGAGGACATTATGTTAAGTGAAATAAGCCATACACAGAAAGACATACTACAAGTTATTACTCATATGTGAGAGCTAAAAACACTGATCTCATGGAGGTAGAGAGTAGAACGATGGTTATTGGAGGCTGGGGAAAATGAGGAGGGGTTGGTTAATGGGTGCAAAAATACAGTCAGGAATAAGATCTATTCATTAGCATAATAGGGTGATTATGCTTAACATTAATTTATTGTATACTTTAACTGGAAGAGTGGATTTGGAATGTCCCCTACATTAAGAAATGGTAAATATTTGAGATGATGGATATCCCAATTACCCTGCTTTGATCATTACACATTATATGCTTCTATCAAAATATCACAAGATCTCCATAAATGTGTACAACTATTATGTACCCGTGAAAATTAAAAATAAAATTTTTAAGAAAAATTTAAATTTCAGAGTGTGTATCATTTCACCTTAGGAACACCCAAACATGTTTATAAACCATTTTAACATTGTAAATCTCAACCAGTCTTCTGAGATCCAATCAATTGGAATTTCTTTAGCTTCAGGTAATAGCTCAGCTCCATTGGTTATTAAAGAGACATATTAGAATAAATGGGTTCCCTCTTCTTTAAGGAAAAATGAGCTTATATTTCTTCATTAGGATTTGCATTTATTTCTGCTCAAGCCTAAGAGGGCTGCTAGTTTCATTGCACTTTAAATACAAAAATCTAAGTTTTTTGGACTATAAATATAGTATGAAATCCAGCTCCAAACCCATATGAAAATAAGCTAGAGGCCATGAATTCATTTGGGAGACTTACTCTTCCTCCACCAAGAACCAAGGTGAGGTAGACAAATTTCTATGCTGTTACTGCAGAGCATTTTGTTTTCTAATTCACCTTTTCACCATAAGTGTAGCACTTTATGTGTGCATAAGGATATCTGGATGTGGGTCCTGGATTTAAATTTCTTGTTCTTCTGAGATTGGCCCTTAAAAACCCAAATCCTAGGTCATCTAGGAAGCTCTAAATTTCCTCCAGGCAAGGTCTTTAGTGTTTATTTACATCTCTATATTCATATTCCTACTTCCTCTCTGTCCTTAGGTGAATACTTTCTTCAACTCAGAGCCGCATTTAGGGGACATTTTTCATATTTATTTTTTTGAGACAGAGTATCGCTCTATCATCCAGGATGGAGTGCAGTGGTGCGATCTCAGCTCACTGCAACCTCCACCTCCTGGGATGAAGCGATTCTCTTGCCTCAGCCTCCCGAGTACTGGGACTACAGGCATGCACCACCACACCCAGCTAATTTTTCTATTTTTGATAGAAACAGGGTTTCACCATGTTGGACAGGCTGGTCTCATACTCCTGACCTCAAGTGATCCACCAGCCTCAGCCTCCCAAAGTGCTGGGATAACAGGTGTGAGCCACCGCACCCAGTCTCATTATTAATATTTAAATCTAGCATTTTGATACTTTTAGTAAGAAAATGTTTGGATCTTTGGTTCATCATGTTGCTAGAAATTGAATTCTTACTCCTCATTTAAGAAAGGCCACCTTAAATTACATACTCAAATATACACTAGTTTTTCAGGACTTAAGGGTAACTCTCTGGGGCAGAGGAAAGAGAAGAATTTGTAATTACTTATCTCTGATAGGCAAACCTCTTCTCTCTGACAGTGTTTGAGCAAGCAGACTTGCTGAGTTCAGTCTGTTACCTGTTTTCTGAGCATTATTGTTCAAGGCCCTGGGCCTGACATAAACAGTCTTGAGGGATTTAGCAATTTAATATGGATCTGCATGCTTGGTGTACTTTGTACTTACAATTGAGCTCCACTAAAACGAATGTATGAGGTGCTGGAGAAAGCTTCAATCAGGGTGTGTGAAGTTTCGATGCCAGATTGGGGGAAAACAGCAGGAAATATAAATTCACTAGGCATCTGTAGATTTTGAAGTTGGAATATGGATTTCTTAATTAACTTTGATAGGCACATCTAAAGTAGCTAAAGACAAATAAAAATTTTACCTCTGAACCTTTTCATATCAGGGTTTAATCTTTTGCCAGTATTCTGTATAAAACAAGTAGAAATACTTTAAGTTCTTCTCCCTCCTCTGTGTGTAGCTCATCTGTTGAGTGATAATCGTACAGAAAAATTCACCATTGTCAAGCTTTCTCTGAATCTCTTCAAGTTAGTTGCTTCCTCTGCCTTTACAGAGTAGTTCACACAAGTCCCTATTATGTGACTTATCATATGATGTTGAAATACACTGGTTGTTTTTCCTCCTAAATATATTTGCCTACCCTGATAATAACAGCTTTCATTTGTGAGCACTTTATAGGTGACAAGACATAGATGTATATTACATTTAAACTATAGCAAACATGTGAGATAGATATAATTATTCCCATTTTATAGATGAGGAAACTGAGGATTATGAAAGTGATTTGAACTTGCCCAAATCTTAACAGCTAATAAGTAGAAAGATCAGGATTAAACCAAGCATGATCTTCACACTGTGATCTTGACAACCGTACTGGATACTTACACTGTGATCTTGACTACTTTGCTTTAGTGACAAGAACATCCCCCTTTTTACTTTTGTTAACTGTTCTAGCGCCTGGAGATGTTTCTAGAACATAGCAGGCACTCAGGAAATGTTTACTGAATGAAAGACAGTGAAAAATCAAATATAGCTTTAATGGAAACTTTTATGAATTTAGAGTGAGCTCCAAATATTTACACATAAATCAAAGTTTTACTTTTGGCATATCATTGCCTCAAGAAATAGGAATGTGCCAACTAGCAAATTGTATATGTACACATACACACACTATATGAAATGTAGATAAGTAATTATTGTAACATTAGAACTGTAATATCATGTATTGTAAAATCAGAATATTCAGGTATTGAATTTTATCTCTAATCTATCTTAAGATTCCCCCCATCACTGAGATCAGGGCTGGGCAAACTGCTACCTTTAGGCCAAATATGGTCTGCCACCTATTTTTATAAATAAAAGCTTAATTTTTATTTTTATTTATTATTTATTATTTTATTTATTTTTTTGAGATGGAGTTTCGTTCTTGTTGCCCAGGCTGGAGTGCAATGGTGCAATCTTGGCTCACTGCAACCTCCGCCTCCTGGATTCAAGTGATTCTCCTGCCTCAGCCTCCCAAGTAGCTGGGATTACGGGCATGTGCCACCACGCCCAGCTAATTTTTTGTGTTTAGTAGAGATGGGGTTTCACCATGTTGGTCAGGGTGGTCTTGAACTCCTGACCTCAGGTGATCCACCCACCTCGGCCTCCCAAAGTTCTGGCATTACAGGCGTAAGCCGCCACGCCTGGCCTAAAAGCTTAATTTTTACAATAAACATTGCAATGTCCATTTGTTTACATAGTATCTAAAGATACAAAGGCAGAGATCAATAATTGCAACAGAGACTGTATGGCCTGCCAAACCTAAAATATTTACTCTCTGACTCTTTATAGAAATAATATGGTGACCCCTAATATAGGTCACTATTGTTCTATCACTGGTTAACTATTGCTTTGCTCTACTTCAAGGATCTTCAAGTTAGATTTAAAATTCAGCCAGGCGATGCTCGTCTATTTATAAATGGCCTTCGTGTTGATATGGATGTTTATGACGCTTTTAGGTAAGTATTAAATTATTGCTGTAAATGAACTATGGTTTATATAAAAATAAACATTGTCTTGAATTTAGTGTAAGTCAAAATATGAAGATCACTTTAAAGATAAATACATGTTTTTGATTGTACAAAACAGCTTTCTTCTACCAAAATGGGCAAGCCCAAAGTGTCTTAGAATATCAGAACTGGGAGAAACAGTCAAGATATTTGTTTGGATGAGGGTTAGACCTATAATTACTTTGTTATTCTAAACTGTCTCTTATTGAAGAGTAGATTGATGATTTGCAGAGAAGTTATTTGGAACTGGACTGAACAACCAGATACCAGATAAGGACTGAAGTCAACATGGGGTATTTCCCCAGAAGACAGAAATTGACAAGAGGAATTTAAAATGCTTGTATTTGAATGCTGGATGCTATCTGGTTTCTTGTCAAAAAAAAAAAAAAAAATTCTTCAAAATTTTTTTGCTCAGAATTTTGAACAGGACAGAATTAGGAAGTCCTTGCTTTATCAATGGTCACTCACCCAAAATTACAGTTGTGGGCCAAACAGAAGAGTTACTTTTATAGAGAAACATAAAACTACATTAAAATTAATATTTGAAACATTAGATGAACTTAGGATACATGATACTTTAATTCAGATGTTCAGTTTTAATTCAATTGAATATACTTTTGTTGAAGTGAAATTATTTGAATTGTTTATTTAAATTCTTACCAGTTTGGAAATACGTTGGAAAATATATTGGAAAGACTGAGAAGTAGTTTTACTGAACATTTTTTACAGTTTTATCTCAAATGGGGCTTTTCTCTTTAGTTACTTGAATTCTTGGACCTAGTATTGTAAAAATAATAAGATAGATACATATAATACACATAGAAAGAGTAGAGAAGTTTGTAAATGCTAGCCTGTAAATTTCAGGGGAACAAAAATTATATATGTGCCCAGCAGCAGTGAAAACAGGTTTAAAGGAAGTAGTGAAATGGTATGTAGATTTTAGAAAGTTTTCTAAGGTAGTGTATGAGGAAATTTTTATGGCAGGAATATTTTCACGTATAATTTAGGAAGGCTGTAGGTTATTAAAAAAATAAAACCCCCCAGCTCCTACACCTGGTCATTAGTGATTTGCAGGATGTGTGCTACATTGTTATTCCTCATTGATTTGATCACTGCTTAGTGCTACCATGATTCTCTTAAAAGAGGAAGAGACAAAATGTGAGAATATTTGTGTCTTCAGAGGATGTGGAATAAAATTAATGCAAAGAGGAAGATGAATGGAAGAAAATAAGGAAATGGAAGTAAAATGTCATATTACAGAGACATTATATATAGAGAGGTTTTATGCAGCCAATACTTTGGAATCGTCCATGTGGGGAAAGAACAGGAGTAAAGGATTTATTTTGTGCTCCCTTCCTATCTCCTTTCAGTCATTGCATTACTGGGTTGTGGAGAACCAATAACATGCCCCATACATGGCCCAGCCCTTCTTGCTCTGATCCTGAGAGTAGCGGGAGGAGCCAGAGCCTCCATGGGTTAGGATTAGATCAGCATTGGTTCTATAAAGGCCTACATCTCACCCCCAGGGAGACTGAGACAGTAAGAACATGTGACTTTGACTGGGGAGAAAGGCAAGTAGGACTGATGAAGTCCATAAGCAGGGTCTTATATATCTACATTAAAACATTCTGTTCTAGCCCATTAAAGAGTCCCTTTTATATTTTTGCCTCTGAATAGTCGCCTCAGCCACAGACTTGATGAAGAGTAGTTTAAACATTTAGATTCCCCAATTTGTTGTCAATGGGGTTATTGTTGATGTTGTTGTTTACAGTAATACTTTCTATTATGTTTAAGAACTTTCAAATTATATGTAATAAAAAATTTAAATTTGTATTCAAACACACGTGAACTTCATGATTTAATGGAGCTTCCTCTGTATTAGAATTTTATACTTTATGTCTTGTTCGATCTTACATTATTTTTGTAGTAGGTTTGTCAAAAGAGTGACCTAATATTTTTTTTCTCATTTTTGGCTTTCTCAGGGCTGATCATATCCTCACTACTTTGATAAAGAATACAATAGTCTTTGTTGTTTTATCTTTTATATAATAATAAGTTTTTACTACCACTAAAATTATGTAAGTTTACTCTGGATAACTAATTAGAACTATTTGCCTTATTTCTTAATGAGTTTAATATATTTTTCCTGCTATTAATGAAGATACCAAAAAATCTCATTTCTAATGCTTTAAGACTATCAAACTTTAAAACATTTGTTTTTAATTTGGAAAATCAAAATAAAACTGTTTTTTCTTTGAATATATAGTATTTTGGATATGCTGAAATTAGAAGGAAAAATGATGAATGGCCTTCGCAATCTTGGGATCAATGGGGAAGATATGAGCAAATTTTTAAAATTAAATTCACACATTTGGGAATATACTTATGTATTAGATATTCGACATTCTTCTATAATGGTAAGTGCTTATGCTATTCCTTGTTCTAAAACCTGTAGTATACTTAAGGCTTAACATAAAATGAAGTATCGGCAGGCCTGATGATAAATGTCAGCATTTTGGAACAGTTCTCAGTGAAAAGAGAAAGTCAAACTATAGACCCATCTCCTCTCCCACTTGCAGCTTCCTTCTCCTTCTTCATAGTCTCTGTTTTGTCACAAGAATACCTACTCAATCTCATTCAGTGTCTTTTCCACCTTCAGAGATAACAACAGAATAACCACATGAACAATAACAACAAGACACCAAATACATGGTTAAAATCTGAGGTGTATATAAAAGTGCTACCTTAACATGATGAAAGTCCTGCCGAAACAATTTGCAGCGGCCTCCAAAGGTTCTGGTGTGTGTATTACAGCCCAAGTGATTTTTGTGAAAAACATTTGATCATATCACCCTTTCTTGCTTAAGCAGAGAAGTGGTCTTCAGTATGGCCTATGAGGCTGCAGATGGCTGCTGTCACCTTTCATTTCTTAGACTGTGAAACGTTCTTTTCACTACTATCCTTTGTCTCATGCTTAGAAAGCACTTTTTTTTTCTCTATCCAGTTAACTCCTATTCCTTTTTCAAAGTTAGGTTGAAATAGCCCTTTCTGAGAGAAACTTTCCTTAACAATCCAGATGGTTTTTTAAATCTACATGTTGTGTTAAGAGAATCCCCAGAGACCAACCTCTAATCCAGTGATTTGCTAGAAGGACTTGCAAGACCCAGAAGTTGTTATATTCATGGTTATGGCTTAGTAGAGCAAAATGATGTGAAAAAATCAGCAGGGGTGAAGTCCAGAGTAAACCAGGTATAAGCTTCCAAGAGTTCCCTCCTAGTGGAGTTGTGTGCTTAATGTGATATATGACAATGTGGGCAAAGTGCTTCCTACCAGGGAAGCTCACTTACTTGAGCCTGAGTTCAAGATTGTGAGAGACGATCCATCATGTAGACATACAGTGGCTCTCTGTACCTGCCATCAGTGGCTGAATCTCCGGACTGAGGAAAAGCAGATGTTTATTATAACTCAGATTGTATAAACTCTTTAGACAAACTGCTGGAACTGCTGCAGCATGGCTCAGGTTCCTAACTGTGCAAAACACTCTTTTATCAATCAGAACATTCCAAGAGCTTAATTATCAGGACCCAGTCAAGAGACAGTCATGTAAACAGACCCTTCTTGGGAATATCCAAGGTGTGAGCAACCCAAGCCTCTTGAGTTAACCCTTTCATACACACACACGTATATGTGTATAATGTGATTCTTCATACATGTATACATGTATGGGTATAGCACATGTATTAGGCCATGCTTACCTTGCTATAAAGAAATACCTGAGACTGGGTAATTCATAAAAAAAAGAAGTTTACTTGACTTACAGTTCTGCAGGGTTTATAGGAAGCATGGTGCCAACATCTGTTTGGCTTCTGGGAGCTTTAATTCGCAGCAGAGGGCAGAGAGGGAGCAGGTATCTCATATGGCAAGAACAGGAGTGAGAGAGAGTGTTGGAGGGTAGGTGCCATACATTTAAGCAGCCTGGTCTTGCTAGAAGTCACATCACAAAGACAACACCAAGACATGAGGGATCTGCCCCCATGACCCAACACGTCCTATCAGGCCCTACCTCCGGCATTGGGGATTACAATTCAGCGTAAGATTTGGGTGGGGACAAGTATCCAAATTATATCAGCACATATACATACATTATATGTCAGAACTATTAATCCATTCGTATACTTAGCACAGTTATAGTTTTACATTTATCCTGTGATGCTTTTATATCTGTTTTTTATTAGGCTATATATAAAGTTCTTGAAGGTAGAAATTTTTTCATTTTTTCTCTTACCATTATGTCCCTGGTTTTAGTGGTACTCAATAAATATAAATATTCCCTAAATGAATAAGTAACTATTTATCTGAAAACAACAAAAAACATCATTTTTAATGATGAAACTCTGGAAGCATTACAATTACAACATGATCAATATAATTATCCTTAAGATTTAATATTATTATAAAAGGAGTAACTGTTAGAAATGAGGAAATAAAAGTGTTGTGTGACAAGATTGTATAACTGAAACTCCTCAAAGAAAGCTATAATAAAAGGCTTTAATAAAATGGGTTTGAAGTGACATGATAAAGATCAAAAGCTTTTCTTTCAAGATCTATTTGGAAGATAATGATTTATTTACAATAACATAAAAATGTAAATACCCTAATAATAACCACTATGAAATAATATCTCAATACCTATTGATAAAAACTAGAATTTAACTGAGGACGTGTAAATCAGCATATCCTTTTAAAAAGTTATGCCTGGCCAGGCACAGTGTCTCATGCCTGTAATCCCAGCAGTTTGGGAGGCCAAGGTGGGCGGATCATGAGGTCAGGAGATTGAGACCATCCTGGCCAGCATGGTGAAACCCCGTCTCTACTAAATGTACAAAAATTAGCTGGGTGTGGTGGCACGTGTCTGTAGTCCCAGCTACTTGGGAGGCTGAGGCAGGAAAATCGCTTGAACCTGAGAGGTGGAGGTTGCAGTGAGCCAGGATCGCCCTACTGCACTCCAGCCTGGGCGATAGAGCGAGACTCCATCTCAAAAAAAAAAAAAAACAAAAAAGTTGGGGGTGCGCGTGGGGGCTGGGCGTGGTGGCTCACGCCTGTAATCCCAGCACTTTGAGGAGCACGTGGTGGGCAAATCACAAGGTCAGGAGATCAAGACCATCCTGGCCAAAATGGTGAAACCCTGTCTCTACTAAAAATACAAAAATTAGCTGGGTGTGGTGGTACGTGCCTGTAGTCCCAGCTACTTGGGAGGCTGAGGCAGGAGAATACGTTGGACCTTGGAGGCAGAGGTTGCAGTAAGCTGAAATGGTGCCACTGCACTCAAGCCTGGCAACAGAGCAAGACTCCATCTCAAAAAAAAAAAAAAAGGTTATGCCTGTGGTGCCCTTATAACGATACATAGTTTGTCTAGTAATTTCTCTCCTGGAAACTATCATAAAAAAACAGTGGGAAATGGAAAAAAAGCTTTGTGGCCAAAGATATGATTATCACTACATATTTTGAAAACAAAGTAGAAACTAGTTATCTAACAGAGAAGCGTTATAAATTTTACATTCACACAATCGAGTATTATTGACATGAAAATTATGTTTATAAATATGACTTAAGATAATGATTCTGTTAAGTAAAAAATATAGAATTATGTCATGTAAAAATATGGGCAGAAGATCAGAAGGAAATATATCAAAATTTAAGGCATTAATGGGTGATGTGGTTTAATGGGTAGTTTTAATTTTTTTCATCATGTTCTTCTGTGAATTCCAAACTTTTAACCATGGGTATGTATTATTTACATGATCATAAGAAAATAGTTTTTTGGTTTTTTAAATTGATACACAATATTTTACATATTTATGAGATTCATGTGATATTTTCTTATGTATGTAAGGTGTGTAATGATGAAATCAGTGTATTTGGGGTATCCGTCACTAGCAGTATTTATCATTTCTATGTGTTGGGAACATTTTAAGTCTTTTTTTCTAGCTACTTTGAATTATGTAATATATTGCTGCTAACTATAGTCACCCTACTTTGCTATTGAATAGTAGAATTTATACCTTCTATCTAACTGTATAGATAACTGTTTGTACCTATTGACTAACCTCTCTTCATCAACCCCTCCCACCAGCATGCCCTTCCCAGCCTCTGGTATCTATCATTCTACTCTAACTCCATGAGGTCAATATTTTTATTTCCCACTTACGAGTGAGAACACAGGATATTGGTCTTTCTGTATCTGGCTTATTTCACTTAACACAGTGACCTCCAGTTTCCTCCATGTTGCTGCAAATGACATTTCATTCTTTTCTGTGGCCAAATAATACTCCATTGTGAATATATACCACATATTCTTTATCCATTCATCTGTTGATAGACACTTAACGTTGATTATATATGTTTGCTATCGTGAATAGTGCTATAATAAACAGGCAAGTGCAGGTATCTCTTTGAGATGTTGGTTTCTTTTCCTTTCAAAAAATACCTCATAATGGGATTGCTGGATTGGATGGTAGTTCAGTTTTTAGATTTTTGAGGAATCTCCATAGTGTTTTCCATTGTGGTTATACTAGTTTACATTCCCAGCAACTATCTATAAGAGTTCCTTTTTTCCACATCCTCACCAACACCTGCTATTCTTTTATCTTTTTAATGATAGCCATTCTAACTGGGGTAAAATGATATTCCGTGTCACTTTTATTTACATTTATCTAATAATTAGTGATGTTGAACATTATATACTTGTTTGCCATCTGTATAATTTCTTTATTTTTTTCATTATTATTATACTTTTAAGTTTTAGGGTACATGTGCACAATGTGCAGGTTAGTTACATATGTATACATGTGCCATGCTGGTGTGCTGCACCCATTAACTCGTCATTTAGCATTAGGTATATCACCTAATGCTATTCCTCCCCCCTCCCCCCACCCCACAACAGACCCCAGAGTGTGATGTTCCCCTTCCTGTGTCCATGTGTTCTCATTGTTCAATTCCCACCTATGAGTGAGAACATGGCGGTGTTTGGTTTTTTGTCCTTGTGATAGTTTACTGAGAATGATGATTTCCAATTTCATCCATGTCCCTACAAAGGACATGAACTCATCATTTTTTAAGGCTGCATAGTATTCCATGGTGTATATGTGCCACATTTTCTTAATCCAGTCTATCATTGTTGGACATTTGGGTTGGTTCCAAGTCTTTGCTATTGTGAATAGTGCCGCAATAAACATACATGTGCATGTGTCTTTATAGCAGCATGATTTATAGTCCTTTGGGTATATACCCAGTAATGGGATGGCTGGGTCAAATGGTATTTCTAGTTCTAGATCCCTGAGGAATCGTCACACTGACTTCCACAATGGTTGAACTAGTTTACAGTCCCACCAACAGTGTAAAAGTGTTCCTATTTCTCCACATCCTCTCCAGCACCTGTTGTTTCCTGACTTTTTAATGATCGCCATTCTAACTGGTGTGAGATGGTATCTCATTGTGGTTTTGATTTGCATTTCTCTGATGGCCAGTGATGGTGAGCATTTTTTCATGTGTTTTTTGGCTGCATAAATGTCTTCTTTTGAGAAGCATCTGTTCATGTCCTTCACCCACTTTTTGATGGGGTCGTTTTTTTCTTGTAAATTTGTTTGAGTTCATTGTAGATTCTGGATATTAGCCCTTTGTCAGATGGGTAGGTTGCGAAAATTTTCTCCCATTTTGTAGGTTGCCTGTTCACACTGATGGTAGTTTCTTTTGCTGTGCAGAAGCTCTTTAGTTTAATTAGATCCCATTTGTCAATTTTGGCTTTTGTTGCCATTGCTTTTGGTGTTTTAGACATGAAGTCCTTGCCCATGCCTATGTCCTGAATGGTTTCTTATGAGAAATTCAGATATTTTGCTCTTTTAAAAATAAGATTGTTTATTTTATTGTTGAGTTGTTCAACTTCCTTGTATATTCTTAATATTAGCCCCTGTAGCAATAGTTTGCAAATATTTTCTCCCATCGAACAGGCTTGCTCTTCACTCTGTTGATTTTTTTTCCTTTGCTGTGCAGAAGGTTTTTCCCATTTGTCTATTTTTACTTCTGTTGTCTGTGTTTTTGAGGTCTTAGCCATAAAATCTTTACCTATTAGACCAATGTCCAAAAGTGTTTGCCTTATGTTTTCTTCTAGTAGTTTTATACTTTGGGGTATGTTTAAGTCTTTAATCCATCTTGAGTTGATTTCTGTACATGGTAAGTGATGGTGGTCTAGCTTCATTATTCTGCATATCGATATCAGATTTTCCCAGAACCATGTATTCAAGAGGGTGTCCTTTCCCAAATGTATGTTCTTGGCACCTTTATCAAAAATCAATTGGCTATAAATACATGAATTTATTTCTGGATTCTCTGTTCTCTTCCATTGGTCTGTGTGTCTGTCTTTATATCAATACCATGCTGTTTTGGTTACTGTAACTATATTTTCAAATCAGGTGGTGTGATGCATCCAGTTTTGGCTTTGGATATTCAGGTTCTTGTTTGGTTCCATACGAATTTTAGGATTTTTTTTCTATCTCTGAAAAATGATGATATCTTAATAGAGATTGCATTGAATCTATAGATTGCTTTGGGCAGTATCATCATTTTAATATTTATCTGAACCATGAGCATGGGATGTTTTTCCATTTATTTCTGTCTTTTTCAATTTTTTCTTGTACAGATCTTTTACCTCCTTGGTTAAATTAATTCCTAAGTATTTTTTGCAGCTACTGTAAATGGGATTACCCTTTTGATTTCTTTTTTGGCTATTTCATTATTTGTGTATAGAAACACTACTGATTTTTGTGTGCTGATTTTATATCCTGCAACTTTATTGAATTTATCAGTTCTAAGAATTTTCTGGTGGAGTCCTTGGTTTTTCTAGATATACAATCATGTTGTGTGCAAAGAGGGACAGTTTAACTTCCTCTTTTCCAATTTGGATGCATTTGTTTTTCTTGCCTGATTGCTCTGGTTAGGACTTCCAGTACCACATTGAATAGGAGTGGTGAAAGTGGGCATCCTTGTCTTGTTGCAGTTCTTAGAACTCAGCTTTTCCACAGTGCGTATGATGTTAGCTGTGTGTTTGTCATTTCTGGCCTTTATATTATGCTAAGGTATATTCCTTTGGTGTCTAGTTTGTTTAGAGTTTTTAATCATGAATGAATGTTGAATTTAATCAGATTCTTTTTCTGCATCTATTAAGAGGATATGGTTTTTTTTTCTTCTATTGATGTGATGTATCACATTTATTGATTTGTGTATGTTGAACTATCCTTGCATCTCTGGGGTAAATCCCACTTGATCATGGTGTATTATATTTTTGATATGCTTTTGGATTTGGCTTACTAGTATTTTGTTGAGAATTTGTGCATCTGTGTTCATCAGTGATATGGTTTGGCTGTGTCCCCACCCAAATTTCATCTTGAATTCCCACGTGTTGTGGGAGGGACCCAGTGGGAGGTAATTGAATCATGGGGGCAGGTCTTTCCATGCTGTTCTCATGATAGTGAATAAGTCTTATGAGATCTGATGGCTCTATAAGGGAGAGTTTCCCTGAGCAAGCTCTCTTTTTGCTTGCTGCCATCCATATAAGATGTGACTTGTTCCTCCATGCCTCCCACCGTGATTGTGAGGCCTCCCCAGTCATATGGAACTGTAAGTCCTTTGAACCCTTTTTCCTGTTTAAATTACCCGGTCTCGGGTATGCCTTTATCAGCAGCATGAAAACAGACTAATACAATCAGGAATATTGGCCTGTGGTTTTCCTTTATTGTTGTGTCCTCGTCTGGTTTTGGTATCCGGGTAATGCTGGTTTCATAGAATGTGAGTTAGGAAGAATTCTCTCCTCTTCATTTTTTTGGGAATAATTTGAGGAGAATTTGTGTTCTTTTTTGAAAGTTTGGTAGAATTAGGTAGTAAAGCCATCTAGTCCTGGACTCTTCTTTGTTGGGAGACTTTTTATTACTGATTGAATCTTATTACTCATTATTGGTTTGTTCAGGTTTTCTGTTTCTTCCTAATTCAGTCTTGGTGTGTTGTATATGTCCAGGAATTTATCCATTTCCTCCAAGGTTTCCAGTTTGTTAGTGTATAGTTTTCTATAATAGTCTCTGATGATCTTTTTTGTTTATATGATATCAGTGTGCTTCTTCATTTCTGACTTTTTTGGAGGTCTTCTCTGTCATGGTTAGTCTATCAAGTGGTTTATCTTTTCAAAAAACAAACTTTTCATTTTGTTGATCCTTTGTATTTTTTCTTTAGTATCAATTTCATTTAGTTCTGCTCTGATCTTATTTATTTTTTTCTGCTAATTTTGGGTTTGTTCTTGCTTTTCTATTTCCTTGAGATGCATCATTAAATTGTTTATTTGAATCTTTCTCCTTTTTGATATAAGAGCTTACTGCTACACACTTCTTTATTGGCACTGCTTTTGCTATATCCCACAGGTTTTAGTATGTTGTGTTTACATGTTCATTTGTTTCAAGACATTTTTTATTTCCTCCTTCATTTCTTCCTTGACCCAGTAATTCAGGAGCATGTTGTTTAATTTCCATGTGTTTGTATTGCTTCCAAAGTTTCTCTTGTTATTGATTTGTAGTTTTATTCCATTGTGGTGTGAGAAAATACTTGATATGATTTCAATTTCTAAAAATTTATTGAGACTTGTTTTTGTGTCCCAACATATGGTGTATCCTGGAGAATATTCCATCTGCTGGTAAGAAGAATGTGTATTTTGTAGCTATTGGATGAAATATTGGGTAAATTTCTAAAGTCTATTTCATCAAATGTACATTTTAAATCCAGTGTTCTTTTCAATTTTCCATCTAGGTATTGCTGAGAGTAGGGTGTTGAAGGTTCCAGCTATTATTGTTTTGGAGTCTCTCTCTCTCTTTAGCTGTAATAATGTTTGCTTTATATGTGTAGGTACTCCAGTGTTTGGGTGCATATATGTTTAGGAGTGTTTTAACTTCTTGAAGAATTTATCCCTTTATTATTATATAATGACTATCTTTGTCCTTTTAACTGTTTTTGACCTAAAGTTTTATCTGATAAAAGTATAGCTATTCCTGCTTGCTTTTGGTTTCCATTTGCATGGATTATCTTTTTCCATTCCTTTACTTCCAGTTTATATATCTCTTTACAAGTGAGATGAGTTTCTTTAAGGCAGTGTATGGATGGGTCTTGTTTTTTAATCCATTCAGCCAGTCTGTATCTTCTAAGTGTAAAGTTTAATTCATTTACATTCAAGGTTATTATTGATATGTGAGGACTTATTTCTGTCATTTTATTAGTTGATTTCTGTTTATTTTGTGTGTTCTCTGTTTCTCTCTCTCTCTCTTTAACAATTGTGTCTTGTTGGTTTTCTGTATTGGTAACATTTGAATCTTTTCTCTGACTTCAGTGGTTTGTTCTACCAGTGGTATTTATGTTTCAGGATGGTAGATACCATTCTTTCACTTCTGGGTATAGGACTCCCTTAAGCATTTCTTGCAGGGCTGGTCTAGTGGTGAAGAATTCCCTCAGCTTTTGCTTGTCTGGGAAAGACTTTATTTTTCCTTCATTTATGAAGGATAACTTTGCTGGGTATAGTATCCTCAACTGGCAGGCATTTTCTTACAGGACTTTAAATATATCATGCCATTTTCTCCTGGCCTGTAAAGTTTCTGTGGAGAAATCTGCTGTTAATCTGATGGGTGTTCCCACTAGATGCTTTTCACTTGCTGTTTATAGAAATCTCTCTTTCTCTTTAAATTTTGACAGTTTGACTATAATTTGCCATGGGCAAAACCTTTTGGAATTGTATCTATTTGGGAATCTCTGTGCCTCCTGTATTTGGATATCTAAATCTCATTAGACTTGGGAAGTCTTTTTCTGTTATTTCATTAAATAGGTTTTCTAATACTTTTTTTTTAATCTTCTGGGACAGCAAAATTCAAATATTTGGTCACTTTATGGTGTCTCATATGTCACATAGGCTTTGCTTATTCTTTTTTGTATGTATTTTTATTTGACTGGGATATTTCAAAAGTCTTGTCTTAAAATTCTGAGATTCTTGATTCTACTTGATTTAGTCCACTGCTGAAGCTTTTCAATACATTTTACATGTCATTCAATGAATTTTCTATTTGGTTCTGGTAAATTTCTCACTTATTTCCTGAATTGTTTTTCTGATATTTTTGGATTGTTTTAAAGTATTCTCTTATAGCTCACTGAGCTTAATTTCAATATTTTGAATTGTTTTTCTGGGATTTCATAAATGTCTTTTAGATTGGGATCTGTTGCTGGAGAATTATTGTGTTCCTTTGGAGATTGCTTATGTTCCTGTGTCCTTACGTTGACATCTGTGCATCTGGTGTAACAGTTACTTATTCCATTTTTTAAAAATTTCCATTGTTAGGGGAAGACTTTTTCCTGACCATTTATGGTGTTAGTTGCATAGTACACTTTTTGGCATTGATTCTCAATGTGTGCAGTAGGGTAATCTCTGTATGATTTCTTCATCTGTAAACAGCATCAGTGGTGTCTCTGTTTGCTAGGTGGCTTGTAGCACAGTTGCTAGTGGAGGCTGTGATGAAGTTTTGCTGAAATGTGGGACACCAGTTGGGCCAGACTTAGGGCCCTATGGGTGGCGATGGTGGGTTGAGCCTTGGCCCCCAGGGTGGTGTACACTAGCACCAGTGTTAGCAGGTGCAGGGAGGTTGATTCTTGGGCCTCTAGATGACTTGCTTGGGTGCTGGGAATGACAGTGGTAGGTAGGTTCTTGAGCACCTGAGCAGTGGTTGTGGCACGGGCAATGGCAGTAAGTGGCGGGACAATTCTCTAGGACCTAAGGGTCCATGCCAGTGTTGGCAGTAGCTGTGATGGGCTGGGTCAGCCATTGCCCAGGCCCTGAGGTGATGGTAGTGGCAGGTTGGGTGGGCATGACACTGGGAGGTGTGCTCAGATGCCAATGGTAATGGATTGTGCTGGGTGATCCCCACGTCCCTGGACAGCATGCTTAGGTACTGGGGGTGATAGAACCAGGCAAGATGGTTCTTAGGCCCCATGTTGGTACATTCAGGCTCTGGCTATGGTTGGTGGGCAGCAGGGGAGCGGGATGATCCACCGGCCATAGGTGGATGCTCAGGTAGAGGCAGCAGCAGCAGCTGTGCTGCTGTTCTGCTACTGGAGAGGGTGAAGTCACTTTCAACAGGAGCAATTGGAGGCAGGTGGCTGGGGCATGCTTTGCTCATCCTATGTCCCCCCACCCCAAAACACACACACACAGTTTGCAGCAAATGGAATTTGTCCTCAGGTGCATGGAAATGTGTGATTGTCCCTCTGCTGGGGAGGCAGTGTGACTGCCAGTGGTTCTGCCTTGGCCCTAGCAGGGAATGTCAGTGGGACCCCAGAGATATGGAGATGCGGGGGCTGTTAGGCCCCAGGGCAGGACACAGTCTGTGGGAGCTGGGCTCTCAAAATGATGCCATACTGCAGTGGCTTAGGACTCAGGGGTTTGTGGGACTGGGCATGAGCTCCCTCTCTGGATCAGTGGCATTGTGCAATCTCCAGGTAGCTCCCTCTGTTAGTCTCAGAAGCCCATAAGGGTGAAGGGGCTTTTCCATGGTTAGGTTGGTAGGAGTCCGTAGTGGAAACGTGGACTGCTGAGGGTCTCTCACTTACACTTTCCTTGCATTAGGGAACCTCTCTAGGCTTCCAGCCAATCCCAGCCTAGCAGTCTGCCTTATTTCCCTCTCCTTTCTTGCTTTCGGGTACTCCTGTCACTTCTCTGGTGAATTCCAGTGTGCTCCCTTAGACGACCTATTCGAAGTGTGATTATCTGCTTACTATATTGGTTCCTTTCCATGGAAGAGGCAAGTAGCAGATACATCTATTCAGCCATCTTGAAGCCCCTTCTTAAAAAAAAAAAAAAAAAAGATCTTAAGGGGAAAAATCCTCTCTGAAATTTTTGCTGATTGTTTTATATAAAAATGTAAGGGATTCTCTCTGAAGCATCTCAGTTATTATAGTTAGTTTTGCCTTACTTGAAAAACCTTCCTGCTCATAAACTACCTGCCTTTGGCCAGGCGTGGAGGCTTACGCCTGTAATCCTAGCACTTTGGGAGGCCTAGGCGGGTGGATCATGAGGTCGAGAGATGGAGACCATCCAGGCTAACACGGTGAAACCCCGTCTCTACTAAAAGTACAAAAAATTAGCCGGGCATGGTGGCGGGCGTCTGTAGTCCCAGCTACTCGGGAGGCTGAGGCAGGAGAATGGCATGAACCTAGGAGGCGGAGCTTGCAGTGAGCCAAGATCGTGCCACTGCATTCCAGCCTGGGCGACAGAGCAAGACTCTGTCTTAAAAAAAAAAAAAATTCTGCCTTCTCAGAGCCAAAGGACTATAGCAGCCCGAAAGAAACGCCATATTCCCTGAACATCAGAAACTTCAGATTCAGGATAAATAACAAATTACTAAGTAGTTATCATTTGTGTTTTCTAGAACACGAAGTGACTTGTTATATAGATGTTTGTTACTGTTTTCTACCACTCTTTAGACCGTATTCTTTCATTGGCTAGATTTTACTTTTACTTTGTCTTTAATCTCAATAGCAGATGTCTTTTCTAAAAATGTTATGTCAGAAAAAGGAATGACCTTGTAAGTAATCTTAATACTTGTATCTGATATTTAAGAATTTGTGCTTTTTAGCTTTTGTAGAAAAGAATGCTGAGAGAGAGTCACACAGAAAATTAGTGCAGTAATTGTCAAGGCTCTTCTAGACATAGTAAACAGACCTATAAAGAAACCTTCCTATTCTCTTTGTAAAATAATATCCTAGCTTGCTTCTAAGGTTGGCAGTGAAGGACAGTCACTCTGTGTGTGGAGGAGCAGTTGGACTTTTAAGCCCTTATGCTGCTCCCATTGTCCCCACACTCTGCAAAGCCCCATTTCCCTGAGTTGTCTCTCAGATTCTGGCAAGCTTTCAGATATCAGTCTCAGACGGTGTGCCTCCCTTCTCTGCCACCCTGCTGCTTTCAGCAGACTATCTCTTCATAAGCACTGATAAGACTGCTAATTTGTCAAGACTACCACAGGCCCCAAACCCCAGGAATTCCAGTCCATAAGGAGTATAGCTGGTTTTGGAACCCACCCTCCATAAAGGTTGTGTTCCCACGAGATTGTCACAAAGTAGTTTTTATTCAGGTTAGATATACATGGCATAAAATTTGCTCTTTTAACCATTCAGTGGCATTAAGTACATTCACAGTGTTGTACAACCATCACCACCATTTATTTTCAGAACTTTTTCATTATCCCGAACGAAGCTCTGTTCACATTAAACATTAAATCCCCATACCCTTCTTCCTGAAGACTCTGGTAAGCTCTATCTACTTTCTGTCTTTATTAATTTGCCTATTGATATTTCATATAAGTGGAATTATACAATATTCTTTTGTGTCTGGCTAATTTCACTTAGCATAATATTTTCAGGGTTCATCCATGTTGTAGCATGTATCAGAATTTTGTTCCTTTTTAAGACTGAATAATATTTCATTGAATGTATATACCACAGTTTGTTTATCCATTCATCTGTTGGACATTTACACTGCTGCTAACTTTTGGCTATTGTGAATAATGCTGTGCTATGAACTTTGATGTACAAGTACCTGTGTGAATCTCTGCTTTCAGTTCTTGTGGGTATATACCTAGAAGTAGAATTGCTGAATCATATGGTATTTCTGTGTCTAACTTTTTTGACAAACTGCCAAACTGTTTTTCACAGCTGTTACATCATTTGTCATTACCACTGTCAGTTCACAAGTGTTCCCATTTCTCCACATCCTCACCAATTCTTGTTATTTTCTGGTTTTGGCATGTTTTGCTTTGTGGCAATTGCCATCCTAATGAGTGTGAACTGGTATCTCATTGTGGTTCTCATTACATTTCCTTAATGACTAGTGATGTTGAGCATTGATTCATAATACCTGTTGGCCATTTGTATATCTTCTCTAGAGGAATATCTATTCAAGTCCTTTGCCCATTTTAAATTGGGTTCTTTGTTTTTTGTTGAGTTGTAGGAGTCCTTTATATATTCTGGATATTAATTCCTTATCAGATATATGATTTGCAAATATTTATTCCCATTCTGTAGGTTGCCTTTTGACTGTTAGTAGTGTCCTTTGATGTACAACAAAATTTTAATTTTTATGAATTCCACCTTTTTTTGGTTACCTTTGCTTGGCACCCTTGTCAGATATCAGTTGATCATAAATGCAGATTTATTTCTGGGCTGTCTAGTCTATTCCACTGATCTGTATGTCTGTCCTTATTCTAGTACCACATTGTTTTGATTACTGTAGCTTTATAGTCAGTTTTGAAATCAAGAGGTGTGAGTTCTCCAACTTTATACTTCTTTATCAAGATTGTTTTAGCTTGTCGTTAAATTTTATTTCCTGCTCTGCTTTGTGATTGCCTTTTACTAACAACAGTGGCTTAAATTTATTGAGCAGAGTGCCAGATACTATGTTCAGCATTTAAAATGAATTATCTCATTTTATTTGCACAGCGACCCTATTAGGTATTGATAGCATCCCCATTATACAGATGAAGAAACTGAGACACTAAAAGGTTATTTGAACTCATGCTTGTAACTGTGACATCATATTACTTAGTTACATTTACTGCATCTGTTTAAACATTTCCTAAAGTTCAAAAGAAATATCACTTTATAGACTTTATCTTAAAATGAAGAAGTATGCACAAAAAATGAACAATAATATGCAGCAGCCCTGTTTGAGCGCTTTGAAAACTGAAAACTTAGGGAGGCTTGACCCTCTAACCAAACCCTCTACTGCCCATGTGTACCTGGTTGAGGGAAAGAGTGTGGGGCTAAACTCTGAGCACATTTCTCCTGGCCGTGTCTTGTGTGTGCCCTTCCTGATAAGAGGAAGGGTTACATCCTTTTATAATTTGTCCTGCAGAGAGGGAACACCTTTATTCATTTCGTATACTCAGAAGTATTACTGTTTTGCAACTAACAGAAAAGAACCTTATGAGTAGCAACAGCCTACACCCAGGTACCACCTGATTTGCATAAATATCCTATCTAGATTCTTAAGCTTGCATTTCCCACTCTCACTAGGTTTCTGTTTTGTTTCATTTTTTACCTTTTTGGCCTATTGCAACTTTTCTGGAAACTAATCTACCTATTTACCAGGTGCACGTAACTTGTAAAAAAATGATTTGCAGCTGTATCATAGCCTGGTGGACACAGACTTTAGGCCGCCTGAGATCTATTCTTGTAATTCATCCTGTTTCAAGATTCATAATTAAAAATAGGAACATAGTATTTTGACTTTTTAAAAGATTTGTTGAATCTACAAATACCAATCATGGTTATTATGATAGCAGTTTGTCCTACCTGAAGGATTAGTGCTACACTGAGTAAACAAACCAAAGTAGTTCACATTTCTTAAGTAATTCAGTGATTTGTTCTTTATGCCCTCTACTTTCTTGTAAGACATCGGGCATAGACAACTGTTACACATTACAAGTTGAGTGTCCCTTATCCAAAATGCTTGGGACCAGAAGGGTTTCAGATTTCAGTTTTTTGGATTTTAGAATATTTGCATATATGTGTTGATGAAGTGTCAAATTCTGTAAAATATTTGAAGAGATTCATTTGGAGCCAAATATGAGTGACCAGTGGCCTGTGACACAGCCCTTAGGAGATCCTGAGAACATGTGCCCGAGGTGGTCAAACTACAACTTGGTTTTATACATTTTAGGGAGACATAAGACATCAATTGATATATGTAAGATGTACATTGGTTTGGTACATCTGGAAAGGCAGGAAATCTGGAAGCAGGTGCCTTCCAGGTTATAGGCAGATTCAAAGATTTTCTAGTTGGTAGTTGGCTGAGTTGTTATCTGGAATCAATAGAAAGGAATGTCTGTTTTAAGATAAGCAGTAGTGGAGACCAAGGTTTTATCATGCAGATGAAGCCTTCAGGTGGCAGCTTCAGAAAGAATAGATTGTAAATGTTTCTAATCAGACTTAAAGCATCTGTTCTATCAGTCTTAAGATCTGCTTTAATGTTAATGCTGCTCAGCTGTGTCTGAATTCCAAAAGGAAGGAGGGAATAATGAGGCCTGTCTGACTCCCCCTTCCCATCATGGCCTGAGCTAGTTTTTCAGGTTAACTTTGGAATGCCCTTGCCAAAAGGAGGAGTCCATTCAGATTGTTGTGGGGCATAGAATTTTATTTTTGGTTTACATACATAATGAGATATCTTGGAAAAGGGACCCAAGTCTAAACATGAAAGTTATTTATGTTTCATGTATACCTTATGCCCATAGACTGAAGGTAATTTTAGACAATATTTTTTTAAATTGTGTGTATGAAACTAAGTTTGTGTACTTGAGCCATCAGAAAACAAAGGTATCAGGTGTGGAATTTTCTACTTGGAGCATCATGTGAGCACTGAAAAAGTTGCAGATTTTGGAACGTTTTGGATTTTCAGATTAGGGATGCTCAACCTGTAGTATATTTGACTTATCTCTGAAACATTTCCTTTTGAGCATGCTTAGGGACTCTCACAAACACTAAAAGTTCTTTTTAACTATAGTAACTATTTTCTTTTAGATGATAAAATAATCAGCACATGGCCTCTGGCAGCCTTCCCTTCAAACTGACCTCTTTATTCTTTAAACACTACCCCCTTCTGACAGGGTGTCTCATAGATCATCTTGATTCTTTTTTCTCCAAATGTGGAACGGCCTATTCACCAAGTTTTTTTTTTGTAGAAAATAGTGCTAATGACCAAAATCTGGGCATTAGATGTGCACTTCATATTGTTTCATATAAAATATTCAGAGTAGAAAAGAGTGAAGACAGAGCAAGAAAAAATTTTCTTCTTTTAAAAGGGCATATATTTATGTTGGTAGTTCTAATTAACCTCTACCTTTATTTCATCTCTTTAAACCAGTTTCCTCCTTTTCCATTATATGATCTTACTCAATAATGTGTTCAAATTACAATTTTGGTCCTCCCTTCTGCACTCCCGCCAAAGTTAAAAGGCTCTTCTTCTTTTGTAACTCTTGGCACTAGTGCCCTGGTATTGCATTCAAAGTATGCAGGTTCTGACTGTCCCCTTGTCAGCATCATTTGTCCTTCAGCTCTCTGAAAAGAAAAAGACATTGCAAAATTTTTCTTACGGAATACTAAAGTATATAATGCACTCATAGATTTCCATAAACTTAGACGTAGCATGAAGGGAACAAAGACAGTTTCAAGGTTTTCTGGATTTAACCAAAACTCTCCTTTTGCTTTGCACTTTGATGGTAACAATGTCATTTATCTTTTATTACAGCCAGCTTTGGTGTTGAAATTTCACATATAATGTGTTCATTCACTGTTGTAGCAGTCAACTTTTTAAAAGCCAATTTAAAATGACAGAAAATATGCCCAAAGTAATGTTAAGAATCATAATCATAATAGATCTTTAAAATTTAAAAAACTTAAAGTATAATAATTTCTTTAGGTACATATTGTCGTAACATTGTCTCATTCAGTAAGAGTCACTCCATAAAAGACATCAAGACATTTGGATCATAGCATATTTTCATTATAGTTTTTATATAGTTGTCTTACATTCTTGATCAATCTCTAGAGGTTTTCTTTTCCACATGAGTATGGAGAATTTAGTTAATTTAACTGCCAAGAGTAGCCTTGGTGACAATAATACAATTTTAGGGTGAATTAAAACATGTCAGTCTCCTAATCTCATAAGCTATGATTTTCATATTATCTTCATAGAAGGGAAAAAACCCACAAACTCACTTTTTCCTCGTGACTTGGTAAATAGGTTTCAATAAGATCATAGATGCAAAATATCATTGGCCTTCCATATCCAAGGGTTCCACATGCCTGGATTCAACTAACCATGGAATGAAAATACTCAAAAAAAGAAAAACAATAAAAAAATACAAATTTTAAAACAATATAACAACTATTTACATAGCATTTACATTGTATTAGGCATTACGTGTAATCTAGAGATGATTTAAGGTATATGGAAGGATGTGAGTAGGTTCTATGCAAATACTATGCCATTTTATGTTAGAGACTTGCATATTCTTAGATTTTGGTATCCTCGGGGAGTCCTGGAACCTATCCCCCTACAGATACTAGGGGGTGGGTATATCTTTTGCCAAAATCTTATCAGTATCAGAATGACCACAGATAATGCTTTCATCTTGGACCCTAGCAAAGCCTGGGGCCGTCGTATCTTTTTTTGTTAATTTCTTTTTTTCTTCTTTTTTTTTTCCTGTGGTTTTTCAGAGATAGCCCTCATCAAGTGCTAGAGCACTACTTCTTAAACTATCCATAGTAAGAGAATAACATTTTTTCCTTAACCTGTTGCCAATCAATATGTTGTCCTACTCCTATGACTAATATGTATCTTTTTTTTTTTGAGACAGTCTCGCTCTATTGCCCAGGCTGGAGTGCAGTGGTGCAATCTCAGCTTACCACAACCTCTGCCTCCTGGGTTCAAGCGATTCTCCTGCCTCAGCCTCCTGAGTAGTTGGCACTACAGGCGTGTATCACCATGCCTGGCTAATTTTTGTATTTTTAGTAGAGATGGGGTTTCACTATGTTGGCCAAGCTGGTCTCGAACTCCTGACCTCATGATCCACCCACCTCAGGCTCCCAAAGTGCTGTAATATGTATTTTGTACTACATGTGGCACACCACAGGAGTTTGATGAACCCCAAGCTGGCTTATACCATGTTCAGTGAAATGAGACTGATACATGCTCAAATGTCATGGCCATGTCAAATTACTGCAAGTTGTTGAACACTTAATTTCTGTACTTATAGGTTATTAACAGTCTTCAGACCACAAGTTTAGTTGCACTGTAGTTGAGAGTCTCATTTTGTCTGTCTAGGCACACTTGCTTTTAGTCAGGAAAAGTGGCACTGCTTGAAGGCTCTGTATGATTCTGAGCTCCATTGGGAATGGGAGTTCTGATTGCCCTTTCCAAAGAGCTGCCAAATTCTCACCCTCAGCTGCCTTTGGGTCAAGATAAGGCCTGTTTCCCCTTTGGGGCTAGACTCCTCTGCACCTATATCTTCCTTTCTCTTTTCTTCCTCAGACTGAGTAAGCTCATTGACTTACCTTCAAATTCATTAATTCTTTCTTCTAACTGCTCAAATATGCTGTTGAGCTCCTCTCATTAATTTTTTATTTCAATTATTATACTTTTGAATTCCAAAATTTTTATTTGGTTCTTTTTGTAATTTTTATCTGTTTATTGATTTGTCTTCATGCCTTCCTTTATTTAGACATCGTTTCTTTTAGCTATTGGAACATATACCCTAAATTCCTCTGTTTTATTCATCCATCTGTGTGTGTCTCTTAATTCTGTCACCTTTTCTCTGAAGCCACTGCCTCTGACTTAGTTCAGTCCACAATAAACTCATACCTGGATTATCTGAATTACTGTAGAAACCTAATTTCTTCAAGTATTATTTGCTCCAGACTTTCTCTCCTTTCCTCTTGGATTTTTAGTTACCTATATGCTAGATCTTTTTCATATATTCCTAATCTCTCTCACACTTTGTTTGGTTTGTTTATTCTTTTCTTTGTAGTTTAGTTACTATAACAGTTGATCTGTTGTCACGTTTACTAATCCCTGTCTCTTCTGCGTACAGTCTGCAATTAAACCCACCCAATAAGTTCTTAGAGTTCTTAATTATAAATATTATATTTTAAAAACCTTAAATATCTCTTTGATTCTTTTTAAACAGATTTTAGTTCTGTCAAAATTTTTCTTTTTAGAAATTTTTGTACTTTTTAAAAAATATATTGATAGTTATTTTAAAGTCCTTGTCTAAGTAATCTTTGGGGTTTTTTATTGTCTTTTTTTTTTTTCCTGTTTCATTTCAATATTTGGTC
Source organism: Homo sapiens (assembly GCF_000001405.40). NCBI lineage: Eukaryota > Metazoa > Chordata > Mammalia > Primates > Hominidae > Homo > Homo sapiens. The sequence goes on along the minus strand of NC_000013.11, from coordinate 95,950,571 downwards.
CTTTTCTCTTTGCATGACTTTTTTTTTTTTTTGTGAGAGCCAGAAATTGATGAAAAGCTGTAGAAGCAAAGAGCTAAGGTTTGTTCTGGTATCCTCAGTGCCAGATGCTCACTTGCTTCTGTTGAAGCTTGTTTTTAGGCTTTGTGAAGGCTCTACTATTTTTGTGTCTTACTTCTAGGATCTGGCCTTACTGGGTCTCAAATGAAAGTCTACAGTGTATATAGTACTATATAGTACTTGGACTTTGGTCTCTGTCTTCTCAGTACTATTTTATAGCTGTGGTTTCAACCTCTCCGTTTCTCTTTCCTTCTGGCTTTTGTAGAGGTGTTACCATGTATATGTGCAGGATAGGAGTCAGCAAATGACTTGAGAGGAATTTGTATGGAGATTTTTCTGGTTTCCTGCAGTTTCCTTCTCTCCTACCCTCTCACCCTGCATCCTGCCCTCAAATCTCAGCACTTTGGCAGCCCGTACTTTGACTTCTGCTTTCCAACTCAGTATTTCTCCAGGACGCAATCTGGGGACCCAGGGATGAAGTTTAGGTGAATGTGGAGCTTGCTGCTTATGCCTCCTGCTTTCAAGGACCATAATGCCTCACTTCTTGATTGGTGGTTGCTTCCCCG